>NC_000004.12:44076712-44386136 GCF_000001405.40 Homo sapiens | reverse complement strand
ATCCTGTTTTCCATCGCCACTGAGCCATTTTACTTTCCCAACAACAATGCACAAGAGTTCTAATTTCTCCACATTCTTCACAAATCAACCGTTTTTTTTTAAGTAGTAACTACTTAAATGGGTGTGACGTGGTACCTCATTGGCATTTTGATTTGCATTTTTTTAGTGATTACTGATGCTGAGCATCTTTTCATGTGCTTATCAATCATTCATACATTTTCTTTGGAGAAATGTCTATTCAAGTACTGTGCACATTGTTTAATCAAGTTTTTTTAATAGTTGTTTAGTTGTAGGAGTTCTTTATATAAATTTTGGATAGTAACACCTTTTCAGATACATGATTTGAAGATACTTCCCTCATTCTGTGGGTTGTCTTTTCATCTGTTTATTTTATCATGTGATACACAGAAAGAAGTATTTAACTTTGATATAATAATGCGGCTTATCTATTTTTCTGTTTTCGCATGTGCTTTTGTTGCCACATCCATGAAATCATTATTAAATCCAGTGCCATGAAGCTTTCCCGATTTTGTTGTAAGAGTTTTAAAGTTTTAGCTTTTAAATTTAGTTCTTTGATCCATTTTGAGATAATTTTTATATGTGACATAAGGTAAAGGTCCAAACTCTTTCTTTTATATATAGATATACAGTTTTCCAAGCATTATTTGTTGAAAACACTTTGCATTCCCCATTGAATAGTGTTGGCACTTTTGTCAAAAATCATTTTACCGTATAAGTAAGGGTTTATTTCTAGGCTTTCTATTCTATTTCCTTCGTCTATATGTCTATCTTTATGCCAGTATCACACTGTTTTAATTCCTGTAGATCTGTAATAGGTTTTGAAGTTGGGAAATGTGAGACCTAAAATTTATTTTGGTTATTTAGGTCCCATGAGATTCCATCTGAATTTTAGGCTGAACTTTTTAAATTTTTCTGAATAAAATGTCATTGGGGTTTTGAAAGTCATTGCATTAAAGTGTCTACCTAACACTTTTGATAATACTGACATTTTAACAGTATTACGTCTTCCAATCCATGAAAATGTTTTTCCAATTTTTTTGTTGTTCTTCTTCTTCAGTTTTGTAGTTTTTAATGTATAAGTCTTTCACCTTCTTGGTTAAGCTTATTCCTATATATTTTCTTTTTTTTTGGTCTATATTCTTCTCATCTATTATATTTTTAAAATTTTCTTGCTATTATTTTTAATTGACACATAATAATAATACATATTTATGCGGATACCCTGTGACATTTTGATACATGTGTAGAATGTGTAATGATAAAATTGGGGTAATTAGCATATCCATCATCTCAAACATTTATCCCTTTTTGTGTTGAGAACTTTCATAATCCTCTCTTCTAGCTATTTGAAAACATACAAGAAATTGTAGTTAACTATAGTCAGCTTACCATGCTGTAGAACACTGTAACTAGAATGTGTTCCTCCTATCTAGTTGTAGTTATGCATTCATTAACCAACCTTTCCCAGTTCCTATTCCCATTCACACCCTTCTCTGCTTCTAGGAACCGCTATTCAACTCTCTACTTATATGAGAGCAATCTTTTTAGCTTCCACATATGAATTAGGACATGTGATATTTATCTTTCTGTGCCTGATTTCACTTAACATAATGTTTTCCAGGCTTATCCATTGTGCTGCAAATAACAGGATTTCATTTATTTATGGCTTAATAGTATATACCACATTTTTAAAAAGCATTTATCTGTCAATAGACACTTAGGTTGACTCCATATTTTGGCTATTGTGAATAGTGCTCTAATAAACGTAGGAATGTGGAAGTCTCAGGCATACTGAATACACACCCAGCGGTAGGATTGCTGGATCATATGGTAGCTGTATTTGTGGTTTTTTGAGGAACTTCCCTACTGTTTTCTATATGACTGTACTACTTTACATTCCCACCAACAATGTATAAGAGTTCTCTTTTCCCTTTATCCTCACCAGCATTTGTTATTTTTTTTTGTTTTTTTTTGATAATAGGCATTGAACCTGAGTGAGAAGATATCTCATTGTAGTTTTGATTTGCATTTCCCTGATGATTAGGATTTGAGCATTTTTTAAATATACTTGTTTGGCCATTTATATGGCTTCTTTTGAGAAATCTCTATTTAGATCATTTGCCCATTTGTAAATTATTTGTTATTTGCTGTTGAGTTGAATTCTGTGTATATTTTAGTTATTAGTTTCTTGTTGAAAGAAATTTGCAAATATTTTCTTCTATTCTGCAAGTAATATCTTCACTCTGTTGGTTGTTTCCTTTGCTATGCAGAGGTTTTTAGTTTGATATAACTTTGTCTATTTTTGATTTTGCTGCCTGTGCTTTTGAGATCTTATTCATACAATTTTTGCCCAGACCAGTGTCCTGAAGCATTTTCTTTGTGTGTGTGTGTTTTTTTCCAGTAGTTTCATAGTTCAGGTCTTACATTTAAGTCTTTAATCTATTTAGAATTGGTTTTTTAATGTGGTGAGAGGTAGGGATCCAGTTTTATTATTGTGTTTATGGTTATTCAGTTTTCCCAGCACTATTCATTAAAGAGACGGACTGTCCTTTCCCCATTGTACATTCTTGCCACTGTTGTTGAAAATCACTTGGCTGTAAATATGTGATTTTTTTATGAGTTCTCTGTTCTGTTCCATTGGTCTATGTGTCAGTTTCTATGCCAGTACCATGCTGGTTTGGTTCCTAAAGGTCTGTAGTATATTTTCAAGTCAGGTGTGATGCCTCTGGCTTTGTTCTTTGTGCTCTAGATTGCTTTGGCTATCTGGGGTCTTTTGTGGTTTTATACAGATTTTAAAATTGTTTTTTTCTATTTCTGTGAAGAATAACATTGCTATTTTGATAGGATTGCATTGAATCTGTAGATTGCTTTGAGTAGTATGATCATTTTAACAATGTTAATTCTTACAATCTATGATCATGGGATGTCTTTCATTTTTGGTGTCTTTTTCAAGTTTTTTTTATCAGCGTTTTATAGGTTTTTTTGCAGAGATCTTTTATCTCCTTGGTTTAATCTATTCATAGGTATTCTAGGTATTTTATTTTGTTTTTTTATAGCTATTATAAAATGGATTGCTTTCTTGTTTTTTTTGTCAGCTAGTTTGTTGTTGGTGTATAGAAACATTACTGATTTTTGTATGTTGACTTTGTATTTTGGAACATGATTAAATTTATCAGTTGTAAGAGCTTTTTGGTAGAGTCTTCAGGTTTTTCTACATATGAGATCATGTCATCTGCAAACAGGAACAGTTTGACTTTCTTCTTTCCAATTTGGATCTCCTTTCTTTCTTAGGTTTAATTGCTCTGACTAGAAGTTTCAGTATTATATTGAACAATAGTGATGACAGTGAACATTCTTGTCTTGTTTGAATTCTTTTTTTTTTTTTGAAATGGAGTTTCACTCCTGTTGCCCAGGCTGGTATGCAATGGTGCAATTTCAACTCACTGCAACCTCCACCTCCCGAGTTCAAACGATTCTTCTGCCTCAGCCTTCTGAGTAGCTGGGATTACAGGTGCCCACCACCACGCCCGGGTAATTTTTTTTGTATTTTAAGTAGAGATGGGGTTTTACCATGTTGGCCAAGATGGTCTTGAACTGTTGACCTCAGGTAATCTGCCTGCCTTGGTCTCCCAAAGTAGTGAGATTACAGCTGTGAGCCACCATGCCCGACCATCTTGTTTGAGTTCTTACAGAAAAGCTCTCAGCTTTTCCCCATTCGGTATGATGTTAAACATGGGTTTGTCATATATGGCCTTTATTGTATTGATGTATGCTCCTTCTATACCTAATTTGTTGAGAGCTGTTTTCATGAAGGGTGTTAATTTTTTTCAAATGTGTTTTCTCTATCTATTGAGATGATCATATGGTTTTTGTCCTTCATCTTGTTGATGCCATGTCTGTAGTGCAGTTCAAATCTGATGTTTATTGATTTTCTGTCTAGGTAATCTGTCCAATGTGGAGAGTGGAGAGTGGGGTATTGTAGTTCCCAAATAGTATTATATTAGAGTCTGTTCCTCCATTTAAAACTAATATTATTTGCTTTATATATCTGAGTGCTCCTGTTCGGGGTACCTATATATTTGCAATTTATTATATTCTCTTGATGAATTTATCCCTTTATCATTATACAATGACCTTCTTTGTCTGTATTAGTCTGTTCTTGAGTTGCTAGAAAGAAATACCTGGATCAAGGTAATTAAAGAAAATAGGTTTAATTGGCTCATGGTTCTGTAGGCTGGACAAGCCTGGTGCCAGCATTTGCTCCTGGTGAGGGCCTCAGGAAGCTTCCAATCATGGTGAAAGGTGAAGGGGAAGCCAGTGCATCATATGGCGAGAACAGGAGCAAGAGAGAAGTGGGGAGGCACCACACACTTTTAAACAACCAGATCTCAGAGTGAGAACTCAGCCATTGCCAAGGGGATGACATGAAGCCATTCATGAGGGATCTGCCTCTATGATCTAATCACCTCCCACCAGGCCCCACCTCCAGCATTGGCAATCCCATTTCGACATGACATTTGGAGGGGACAAACAACCAAACAATATAATTGTCTCTTTTTATACTTTTTGACTTAAAGTCTACTTTATTTGACTTAAGTATAGCTATTCCTGCTTAATTTTGGTTCCTGTTTGCATGGAATATCTTTTTTCATCTGTTCACTTTCAATCTATGTGTGTCTTTATAGCTAAGCATTTTATTATATTTGATGCTACTTTAAATGGAATTGTTTTCTCACTTTCCTTTCTAATCAGAAATTTATTGTTTGTATGTAGATATACGAGTGACTTTTGTGTGTTAATTTTACAGTTTTGCTGAGTTCATCTATTAATTCTAGGAGGTTTTGTAAATTGGAGATAAGCATTCATTTTTAAAAATAGGAATATATTTTAGATATAACTTAGAGTGAAAATCTCCCATGGCATTTATATATTGAAGTATACATTAGTATATGAGTTAAATACTACCATGAGTAATAATTGTGAATGCTCCTAATTTTAACAGAAATATTAAGAATTTCCATATAAATAAATTTGAAAAGATTTTGAAATCTAATGGGGCTATTAAAAGTGAGTGTATTAATTAGATAGCTGAGGTAGACATTATATTCTTTTTGAATCCACAAATGTTTATGACATTTTAATTATAATAAATGGTAGAATAATAGATTACATGACTTCATAATTCTAATGTAAAAAAATTAAAGGAAGGTTTCACTTTGAGAGTCTTCACATTTTGTGGACAAGAGTGAAAAATAATGTGAACTTTGCACTTCAACATTTTATAAGAGGAAAACCCCCCAAATTATAAAAAGATACATGATGAATCATCTTCAATCTAGACATAAAACATAAAATATATGAGGAAAATAACATGATAGAGCAAATTGATGTACACCCTAAATATTTTCTTTATTCACTGCAAAGTGAACCTGTATTTATGATTGCAGATGTGAAATTTGGTGACCACAGAAGCGTTGTGGAAACTCTGTAGTAAGAAATTATCATTTATGTACTATAATGTCAAACTTTTAAAATTTGTCAACATTTTAAATAATAAAATTATATTAATATGAAATTAATAATTAAAATTATTTGATCACATCTCAGATTTAGTCTTAGGACCTTGCAATTTGTTAGATATAATTAAAATACCTACTTTGGGCTTAACCTTTGCCAATACTGATTTTTTTTTTTTTTTGAGATGGAGTCTCGCTTGCCAATATTGATTTTAACATGTACTCATTCTCCATTTGGTCAAACTATTTAATAGATTTACTTCTATATTTTGTGGTTGGTTGTGTTTGAATAGGTTGTAGAAGTGACCTGAAAGTAGAATCTGGAGTAGCTTAATTTGATAATGTTGTTAGGGACCATTAGAAAAATGAGGGTCTTATAAGGAAGGATGGTATATATGAAGTGTCATATCATAGAACAGTGAAAGAAGAGGTAAATTTTATTTCTCTGCAGTTTGCCTAGGGGTAATCTTGAGGCTCACAATTATAGATAAGTTGTATAATTAAGTGTGACTCTTTAGGAAAAAAACACATCTATATCTATGGCTATGTCAGTATGTATATCTGTATAAGCTAGATAATGTGTGTCTTTATAAGACAATGCTAAATTCAGTGTTGATGTACAAGGCAAATATAAAATATTATAATAGTTTTTATTTACTTAAAAAAGAACACCTAACTATATTAGGGAAATTACAAAGTGATCCACTAAAAATTTTAGGCTTTGAGTGTGATTTTAAAATATAAGTCAGGTCTGTGTAATTGCTAGATTACCATGGTATATGTGGTGGTCATACAATAGGATAGATTGAAATACAAATTTTAATGTAAAAATTAATGTAATTTTGCTTGGCAACAATACTTAATTCCATTACCTAGTTTAATATGGTGTTTCAATCAAATTAAAAAGCTGATATAGTTTGCAGTGTGCCATCTGATGGAAGTTATTTTACAGTAAACTGTAAGTAACATGGGATCTTTGTGAAGTGCCATCTTTTCTCCCTTTCATGCATATGTGCATGTGTGCTTAACCACACACACATACACACACCTGCAATGGTTTTAGTTTCCATGGACTAATCACATGATTTGCACAAAATTTCCAAATTAAATAAACAGAGCTTCCTTGGCCAGGATCAAGTATATACAGTTTTAATCTTCTGTATGCAAAAACCTAATAATAGGTCTCAGTAGTCTATCACTTGGTGCGCTCTAATTCCAAGGTGTGTTCACTTCACAAGGTTAGGGACAGTTCTGCACAATTTCATTTTATTTAGTCATTTTTCATTTACATTGTGTACTCAAAGTGTAAGTAACTTTTACATTCATATAAAGTATTGATTTACTTGTGAATAAAAACAATTGCCCCCTGGATAGATTTAATAATAACCCCCCAAAGATGTCCATGATCTAATCCAGGCAACCTGATAGTATGTTACTTCATATGGCAAAAGGAACTTCGCAAATGGTTCAAGTTAAGGATCTTGAGATGGGGATATTATCCTGGATTATCTGTGTGGGCCCAATATAATCACAGTGGGTCCTTGTAAGAAACAGGAAGTTCAGAGTCAGAGAGAGGGATTAGAAGATGCTCTGCAGCTGGCTTTGAAGATGAAAGATGGGGTCATGAGCTAAGGAATATAAGTGGCCTCTGGAAGTTAGCAAAGAAAAGGAAACAGATTCTCCTGTGGAGCCTTTGGAAGAAACTAGTCTTGTCAGCACTTTGATTTTAGCCCACTAAGAATAATTTTGGACTTCTGACCTCCAGAACTATACAATAATACATTTCTATGGTTTCAAGATACCAAGTTTATTGTAATTTATAACTGTAGAAAATTTGTGGTAACAGCAGGCTTAGGAAACTAATACAACCCCCAAATCTTTATGTGACTTGGGACTCATGTAATAGCTACACTCTAATATAACTCAGATGTGAAATAATGTTTCATTGTTTTTTCAATTGTAAGGAGATGTAGGTATAACTTGGATTTTTATCCTTAATTATTGCTCTAGAGCAGTAACATGTACCACATTTCAATAATAGAATCATTCCACCATAATATGATAGGTGATACATTCAGTTAACAAAGATAATTCCCAGTTTACTAAGGATTAACTTTATTTTATTTATTTATTTATTTTTATCATACTTTAAGTTCTAGGGTACATATGCACAACGTGCAGGTTTGTTACATATGTATACATGTGCCATGTTGGTGTGCTGCACCCATTAATTTGTCATTTACATTAGGTATATCTCATAACATGCTATTCAGTGAAAAATAAAGCAGATCAGAGAATAGTATGTATAGTATTGTGCCCTGCCTAATACACATACATGGAGATATATATATATATATATATTTATACATATATATATAAAATATACATACATATATATGTATGTATTTTTTATTTCAGTCCGTAGGGAAAAGTATGGGAGGGCTTATAATAAAATATTAACAATAGTTATCTCAGAGAGGTGGTTTGATTTTTTTTTTGCTTTCTTATATTAAAATAACTATGTGTTCTGGTTTTTCTACAAGAAACACATTCTTTTTAATAAAAAAATTAACTTTACATACGGGCGATCTCATCATTTCACAGTCTATGGAGGAAAGCAAATATCTGTGCAGCAAAATTGCCTATGTATGGCAAACAGAATTATGAAAAGTGTTCACTAGGAAGATAGGAAAGGAATGATTTTTTATCTAATGCTTGGGCTCAAGAAAAGCTTCACAAGAGTGGGGAAGGGAAAGAAGAAGACGTAATATAGCACAAGCAAGCTTACAGATCCTTGAGATAACAAGTCCACACTACTTCCATCTAGGCCTGTTTGATCATGTGGTTTTCTTCAGTGAAGCCATGTTACCTACAGGATAATAAAAAGAAGACATGAAGAGCAAATCCCACAGTGACTTTTCTCCTTTCCTTCTTTTGTAGTGGAATAGTGCTTAGACTTAAACAAGAGGAACTTGTGTCCTGGACGCCGCAGGCTGGACCCACTCTGGCCCTTCTTTAGTTCTGGTTTTCCCCAAGCATATGTTAAATCTGGGACCAAGGACTGGTGATCACCCTGCAGCTGTGCCTTCTTTTAGGCTATGCTTGAGGCACTCAGGACCCCATAATTCTACCCCCCAGAAATGGCCTTGAGCCTGCTTCCTGAGCCTATGCTGGCCTCCTCCACAGGTCTATCCTTCCATGAGTAGACTCTTTGCCAGTGTGCTTTCTCTTAGACCTAAGATATGGCCCAGAAAGGGCGCTTCTCAGGAAATGAGAATGGAGCTTAGTTTTGCAGGCTGCAGTGTCCAAACATGTGTGAGGGAAAACCCTCACCTTAAGAGAAGGAGCCAGGGGAGGAAGAGAAGTGGGGCTGGCCAGAGTATGGAACCCATCTCTCTACACATTACTGAGCACTGCCATGAAGCCTCAAGAAATGCAAGAATTCTAAATTCCAGTGTTGCCTCCAGGTTGTTAAGACTGCTTATTTGTAAATGGAGGAGGCTAGAGCATAATTTTGTTTAACAGTAGCTTCGTTTGATTTATACCTTTTAAATACTTAAACATGTGGTGTGTGGGCCTCATTTATGTTTTTACTGAGTCCTGCAAATGTTGGAGACAAGTCTTTTCTCAAGGATTATTTCTCTTTCTTTCACAGTCATCCCATGTACTCAACCAACCCAGTGATTTACAGATATTCTACATCTTTCCATGCCGCTTGCTGCTTCTGCATGTTACCTCCTTTGCCAGGAAGGCCCTTCTCTCCTTTTCAATTTAAGAACCTGACACACATTCTTCAAGACCCAAACCAAAAGTGATCTTTGACTTCCTCCAGTCAGAATTAAGTACTTCTCTGTTGGTGCTCCTTTCACTCCTGTTAGTCCTAATACAGTTTTTATATCCCTCACTAGAATGTGAGGTCCTTGGTGAAAAGCATCACTTTTCATTCATTTCTGTATTCCCATTGCCTGGCACATAGCCAGCATTAGTACTTTGTGTTTCTCACATGTACTAATGGAGTGAGATGAAAATCACATAGGTTTCTTCTTTGTCTTGGTCCCAGTAGAAAACATCAACAGTAGATACATGGGTCATTAAGGCTAAAGAAAATAAACTTTATAAATGAAGTTCCCTCAGGTTCAAAGTGCATTACTCTCTGGTGAAACTGTTGACAGCATGATTTTGTCTTAAGGCTGAAGTAGGGGTGGTGGCCCTACAACCTTTTTGCAAATCTTAGCCTTGGGAACCATTGCTGGGAGAGCTTCTGAGTACATTTACCATTTGGCTGCATGGAACATTGTGCACCCCATGCACTCCTAAATGAGCCAGCTAGAGAGCACCACAGAACATGAGAAGAGACAGTTCCAGTCTTAACTCAGGAATGAAGGTTGAGGGCCTGACTCTGGTGTGCTTCCTGTGGGGGTTAGGAAAGGAACATGCACGGTCCACAAAATAACTGGATTTTCTTTTCTGGTACATCCATCAAGTAGCGTGTGAGGGAATTATGAGTGGTAAATCTGTGTCTTGTTTCAGAGAAACAATAATTGCAACCAGTGGCAGCAATTACTGCAGTCTCAATCACTCCAACCACATAATCACTCCCCTTAGAGGTAGGGGGAAGAGGATATAGAAGAAAATGAATGAGTAAGGAGTAGAGAGAGAGACACAAAATACTTCCTCCAACCCTTGCTGAGTTGTGAAAACAAAGGATGTTTTCTGGTGAGTGAGAAAGAGATTAAGTATAATCTCCGAGGGATTTGGTATAATCCCTTAAAGTAAAGACAGGCAAACAATATGGTTTTGTTAAATAATCTATTGTTGTCATGACTGACAAACCTTGTGTGAGGCTCACCGTCTGTTCTGCCTTCCCAGTAGGCTTTCCACCTGGTTCTGTGCACCAGGAAGCCAGTTTTTATAGATTATTTCAAAGTACTCCCTTACTTCTGGCTTTCAGTTGGATTTGGCAATAAAAGGTTTTCGGTAGACAACTGTAATCCAGGTGAGCTCAAGAGAACCTGGAATCTGAAGATACAGATCCTATAATTACTAGCATTTGGCTACTGTGGAAGCCCAGGGGTCTTTGGCTCACCGAGTGAGAAACCAGGAACAGAGACATCTCACAGCAATCTCTTGATGCCTTCACATTGCACTTGTTTCCTGACTCATTGACTGTTGTTTTACTCCTGTTCCTCCACCCCCTTCATTTCTTACTTATCTTTCTAATTTATCTTCCTTCATTTGTATGTACTTTCCTAGGCTACCTTGATTTCTATCTTTGTCACTTTTGTGTAGAATTTCCTAGCACTTTATCCCCTGCCTCAGATACTTTCTGGAGTTCTGTCTTCCTTGTTTCTTACCTCACACTCCCAGCATACACCTTTTGTTCCTCAGCAGGCCGCCCCTGCTCATCTCTACTGGCCACATTGTCTGACTCTTTATTGTCTTATATCCTTTGCTTCGTGGAAATAATTGACACAATGCTTAACTTTCTAATTCTGAGGTCTCTTAATGTAAAATATAAACAATTCAGGTGAATGAATGTCATAATACTTTAAAATTATAGGCATACCTTGTTTTACTGCACTTTATTTCACTTTGCAGATAATTTTTTAAAATAAATTGAAGTTTTGTGACAACCTTGTATCAAACAATCTTAGCATCATTTTCTGACAGCATGCGCTCACTTCATGTCTCTGTGTCACATTTTGGCAATTCTCACAATATTTAAAACTTTTTCATTGTTATTATATCTGTTATGATGATCTGTGATCAGTTATCTTTGATGTTACTCCTGTAATTGTTTTTTGGGGGAGCATGAACCACACGCATAGAAGATGGCAAACTTAATTGATTAATGTTATATGTGTTCTGACTGCTCCACCAATCAGCCTCCCCCCACATCTCTCACCCTCACCTCAAGCCTCCCTATAGTGGCCTTTAAGTGTTCAAGTGAAATGAGTCACATGTCTCTGACTTTCAACAAGAGCTAGAAATGATTAGGATTAGTGAGGAAGGCGTGTCAAAACCCAAGACAGATCAAAAGCTATGTCTCTTGCACCAAACAGCCAAGTTGTGAATGAAAAGATAAAGAGCTTGAAGAAAATTAAAAGTGCTACACCAGTGAACACACAATGATAAGAAAGTGTAACAACCTTATTAGTGATATGGAGAAAGCTTAAGTGGTCTGCATGGAAGATCAAACCAGCCACAACATTCCCTTCAGCCAGCATTCCCTTACTGTAGAGTAAGACACTAACTCTGATTCTGTGAAGGCCGAGAGAATGGCAAGCAAACTGCAGAAGAAAAGGTGGGAGCTAGCAGTCTTTAGGTCAGCCCGCTGTTCTCTCCTCTGCAGCTTGATTGTCCTTTCCATTCAACAAGCACATCTATATGCATTTTTGCGTTAATCTTCACTTTAAATTTGGGTCTACCTGTTAGGGTATAGTAAAAGCCTGTGCAGTCATCTAAAAAAATTATAAGTAACCTAGTTTAAAGAATATTGGCCATTGCCTACATAGTAAACTGATTTTGGAGATTGCCAAAATTGTGCCAAGAAGGTTGTAATCTTCCCTTATCTTGCTTATGTAGTCGCCTAAACTGTTTTGTGTTCTAAAGAATAGTACTTGGAAAAAAACAGATTTATATGTTTTTAACTAAGCCGATCTTTTAATGTGATGAGTGAGATCTGAGACATTTCACAGTGTCTAATCCAAGGTTTCATACTATGTTGAGTATTGACTGGACATCTGAAATGAGAATGAAAGAGGGAGAAAGAATAAGAAATCCTTATCTTATTCTTTTTAGAAGGGAATGTGGCATGGGAAAGTAAGAGAAGGAGAGTCTGAGAAACATACAAGAATAAGATGGGAAAAAACAATCTGTTAATGATGTTTTTCATTTATTTATGGAAGACATATTTACTATCTGTTGAGTGCCAGGAATCATGTTAGTCCTGGCATACACTGATGATTAAAAATAATTAAAAACAACTAAACTTGTATAATACTTCCTATGGGTCAAGATACATAATAAATGCTTTAAAATATTAAATCATTTTATCTGCATAATGACACTGTGTGGTAGGTACTCTTATGGTCTCCATTTACAAAGAGGAAATGTGGGATAAACAGGTTAGGTACCGAGAATCATAGAGTGAGTGAGTTGCAGAGCTGGGATTTGATCCCAGGCAGCCCCACTCTGGAGCCCTTAGTCATCACAGTACTCTATTGGCCTTTTTTTTTTTGAGACAGAGTCTCGCTCTGTCACCAGGTTGGAGTGCAGTGGTGTGACCTCAGCTCACTGCAACCTCTGCCTCCCAGGTTCAAGTGATTCTCCTGCCTCAGCCTCCTGAGTAGCTGGGACTACAGGCATGCACCACCACACCTGGCTAATTTTTGTATTTTTAGTAGAGACAGTTTCACCATGTTGGTCAGGCTGGTCTCGAACTCCTGACCTCGTGATCCACCCTCCTCGGCCTCCCAAAGTGCTGGGAATACAGGTGTGAGCCACTGCGCCCGGCCTCTATTGACCTTTTTTGAGGATCTTAGTCTATGAGCATTGTAAATGTGGTGAAAGAGATGGCAAATTTGTAAGAGAAATTACTAGCCACAGATGCATAATTCTATATTATTGAATAGAAAAGTGTCCATATTTTATGTGAGCTGCTGAAACCTACCATATGAATTTCTAAAGCCATTGATACAGCTGGGATTTTAATTATGGTTGTGCTGCAATGAAAGATAATGTGGAATTATTTCTTTGCAGCAAGCATGCAACTTGTAATCGTGTCCCAGGTTTTTAAAAGAATTGAAGCAATGTCTCTGAAATATGGCCTGATTTGCATAAGCATAAATTAAGACACAAATCTCTGCCTGGAAAGACATCTTATTATCAGCTTTAAGACCTTTCTTTTCTGAAAGAGTGAAGTATGTTTTTTTAAATCAGAAACTTCTGGATTTTGAAGTAGGTTTGTAAGTAAACTGATTGAAGGAAAAAAAAAGGTTTCTTTACATAGAAATAAGAAATTCTTCAGAAGACATCCTCTTTTTCTTCTTTAATGCTTTACCCCTTTGCTTCCACTCAGTTTAACTGTTCCTAAAATACAGACCTGCTCTTCTGTCACCTCCTCTATAAGGCTGCCTTGATCCTTCCTGCCCTTAGGTTGATCCTGTAGCTTTTCTCCATGCTGTGCCTATACCCTCAGTGTAGCTTTAGCATTACCAGTGCATCTGTCTAATTTACCAGTAATTTTTGGTACGTCTGTTTGTCTTTTTCTGGAATGTAAGCCCCTCGAGTGTAAGGACTGTATTACATTAGTCTGATAGAGTGAGTGACACACTGTTCACTGGTGCATCTACCTAATTTACCAATAATTTTTGGTACATCTGTTTGTTTTTTTCTGGAATGTCAGCCCCTGGATAGTAAGGACTGTATTACATCAGTCTGATAGAGTGAGTGACACACTGTGCTTATTAAAAGACTGAATAATTATACCATGAAAATATTTTCTAGTAGGGAATAATGCTATTTCAATTAGAAAAAGCAGATGCATTGCTTCTCAGAAATATAAAGATTGTCACCAATTTAATTTTACCATTTCATAGACAATATTGTTTTCCAGTAGAGGATCAGAAAAATGTAACCATAAGCTTTATAAGTTATGTAGAGCAGAGATTGAGGGAATCAGGATGGAAAGAAAACAAGGCTGAATCACAAAATTTAAAAACTGGACAGAACCTTAATAAAAAATAAGAAAGGGAGGAAAATATATGCTTTTGGATACCTAACAAATGAGATATATTCATTTCATTTTATTATCATCATGACCTGAGTTGGGGATTCATCTATTTTACAATGTAGATACTGATGTGCAGCAGGGTTGTAACTCATAATAATACTAACTAGAGAGAACCACTTTTAACAACCTGGAATTTATTTTCAAACTTATTTGTATGTGTATGTTTTAGGATTGAGATCATATATATGTTTGCATTCTGCTTTTTTCATTTAATATTTAATTGGGAATAGCCTCCAATGCTTTCAATATCCTTTGATAATATACTTTTAACGACTACCTATATTCCATTCATTTACCAATCCATTCATCCGTCTACCACTTATTGGACATTACTCTGTGCCAAGCAGTGTGCTCTACCTCAGGGATACGAAAGCCAATAGATAAAGTCCCTGTTCTTATGTGACTTTTTTCAAAGATAAAAGTTTTGTGGTTGTAATGGCTAATTTTATTTGTCAACTTGACTGGGCTAAGTGATACCCTGATAGTTGATAAAACAGTATTTCTGGAAGTACCTATTAGAATATAAGAGATTAGCATTTGAAAAGGTTGAGCAGGTAAAGCAGATTACCCTCACCAAAGTAGGCAGGCATCATCCAATCCATTGACTGCATGATTACAACCAAAGGGGAAGAGAAAGGGCAAAATCACCTTATCTGCTTGAACTGTAACATTCACTGTATCCTGTCCTCCAGCATTAGCACTCCTGGTTCTTGGGCCATAAGACTTGACCTGGATTTACACCATTGGCCTCCCTGGTTCTCAGGCCATCAGTCTGAATTTCACCACTGCCTTTCCTCACCTTTCAGCTTGCAGACAGCAAATTTTGGGGCTTCATGGCTTCCATATCATATGAGCCAATTCTTCACAATAAATCTCTTTCTATGTATCAGTTTACAGTATCTTCTATTGGTTCTGTTTCTTTGGAGAACCTTGACTAATATAGGAGCCAGTACTGTTAGGCTAACTCAGCATTCATTTCTACCTCCTTCTCCCTTGCCACTTCTAGGAATTGAGGCTGGAAAAGAAATACTTTTTGCACTTTTCTTTTAGCTAGACTTAGCAGTGTAACTCAATTATGGCCTGTGGGATTTAAGTTGAAATCTAGTACTGGATTTCTGGGAAGTTTTTGCTTATAAAAAACCAGACTGATGCATTGAGATTCTTGATTGTTATCCTCCTTATTTCTGCTTTGAAAGAAAACATGATATCTGAGCCATGTCTACCATCTTTCAACTATAAGACTATAAGCAATATTCTAAGGATATTAGAGGAGAAATATAGAAAAATCCTGTGATCCTTGAGGCATTGTTGAAAACCAAAAGCAGTGCCAGCCACTACTTAGCAGTAGACTTCGTGAGAAAAATTTTTAGCCCATTGCTAATTATTCTGATAATATAAAATTCTAGATGTATAATTATTGGACATAGGGATATAGCTTTTTACACCCTTATATATTACCATCTTGGAAGTTTGAAATATTTTATCTTCCCAAACATGTGAGAGCACCCATTTCAAATGTCTGGTCTTCTTATGTATACATTTGCAACTCATTGTATTGCTTTAATGATAGTAAAGGTAGACTTGAGTTCAGGAAGTAACCCCATTTTCTCTGTAGGAGAAAGCAGGATTGGAAGATAAGTAGTGGAACACTAATGGATGCTCAGGAGACTTTCATAAAAAGAATATTTCCTTGTGTGAAGTTTGCAGGTGAAAGAGAACTCAACCATGATATCTAAGATGACAGAAACAGAATTGCAATGTCAGAAGATACTAGTTCCCATCCAGCTTTATTTTCTTCATCATTTGAAATATGTAGGTATTTTTTAATTCAAGAAATGTGTCAAGAATTTAGGTAAATTACAGTAAAATTCTAGCCAATAAGTATGATATTGTTTATTAGAAAAAAGCAAAACTGTAAGTGCTCAGGAAAGAAATGCCAGTGAAAGCAATTGTGTCCATCTATTACTGTAATTTCTTGTGCCTTTTTTTTTTATTTTTATATTTTTGAGGCAGAATCTCTCTCCGTTGCCCAGGCTTGCGGGTGCAAAGGTGCAATCTTGGCTCACTGCAGCCACAACCCCCCTGGCTGAAGGTGACTCTCCCACCTCAGCCTCTCAGGTAGCTGGGTCTGCAAGCATGTGCCACCATGCCTGGCTAATCTTTGTAAAGGCAGGGTTTTGCCACGTAGCCCAGGCTGTTCATGAACTCCTGGGCTCAAGTGATCCACCCACCTTGGCCTCCCAAAGTGCTGGGATTACAGGCGTGAGCCACCATGCCCCACCAATCCCTTTTATTTTAAATAAGTGGTTATCAAGTAAGTTTAGCAAAATTCAGAAGACCTGGCATGTTAAGTGCTCTGTAATTTGCAAATTCCTTCATATAAAATGTGTGAATCCTGCTGACAGGTTGGAATGGGTCTTTTCTTTTGAACATACTCGTAGCTGGTTTGGAACAATGGAGTGTATATTGAAGTGGCAATTAACTCTTCTATATAGAAGGCAGACATTTTTTCTTTGGGAATTGTTTTCTAGAACCCTAACCATGACCTAATTAGAAGTATAAACATAATCTTAAAGGAATTTAAATAATCTCTGTCCAATCAATTACAGAAGACTGTGCCGAATGAATTCTCCTCCTTCTTTAATCCATTCTCATTCCAGTGTAAAGCTCTTTCATCCTAGTAAGTACTCTGACTTTTTCCCCTTAACCAGAAAGGAACCTTCTCATTCCACGTCTTCCTTATACTGGTATGCATTCAGCTACGATGAATACTTGAGTGGAGTTGCTGGTGGCCAACCAGCCTACAGGTAACTGCAAAAAAAGGACAGAAACAACTGAGGAGTGGCTATACTGATGACTCACTGAAGTCCAGTCATGTGTAAAATCAAGGCAGAAGTAGTTCAGTGCAGACACCGAAATGTGCCAAAAGGTAAGATTTCTAGAAAGTGTATTTTCTTAATGATTATAGAAACTTTAACCCTTTCTCAAATGTCATCATTGCCCTTCATATTTAACTATAACCTGAATTGAGATTGCTTTCTCTGAGGCAAGTTATTTTGAAAATACTGTCAGACAAAGATGAATCAATAGGGCTTATTGTTTGTTGTCTCTGGGCTTACTTTTTACTTATAGTTTACATAACAGCTTTTCTCCTCAAAAAACCTGTTCCAGTTCTGGGTGCCAAAATCCATATTTATCTTTCTGCTGCTGACTAATTCCAACAGTCAGGGGATCTAAAGCATAGCTAATTTTATCCACATTTGTAAGGGTTCTTCATACACTCAAATGTGGTCCTCCACCTAATCTCACCCAAAAGAATTAGTGTCATTGAGTTTCAGTGGTAATTGGTTGAATTCCAGAATATGGCTCATACAGAATTTGATTTGCTTATTTTATTTTATTTTATTTTATTTTTTTCTTTGAGAAGGAGTCTTGCTCAGTCACCTGGGCTGGAGTACAATGGTGCAGTCTGGGCTCACTGCAACCTCCACTTCTCCACCTTTCGGGTTCAAGCAATTCTCCTGCCTCAGACTCCCAAGTAGCTGGGACTACAGGCAGGTGCCATCATGCCTGGCTAATTTTTGTATTTTTAGTAGAGACAGGGTTTCACCATGTTGGCCATGCTGGTCTCAAACTTTTGACCTCAGGTGATCCACCCACCTCAGCCTCCCAAAGTGCTGAGATTACAGGCATGAGCCACCACAACTGGCCTGATTTGCTTTTAAGACTGATATAAACCAGACACTGAAGAAACTCTTCAAGAAGTTCTATATGTTGTCTGAAAATCTTGATTTTATCCTTAATCTCACTGTCAGGGCATGACTGTCCATATCAGAGGCCTTCAGCTTCATGACATCTTGATAAAGCAAACAAAAGATTTTTTGAAGAAAAAGTTTTTTTTTTACTCTGTCGATTCATTTTTTTTTTTTGGTCCTATCATCATTTAAGATAGCAACCTACAATGAAAGCTTTAAAGGTTATATCAAATCATGAGTATCTTTGATGAGTGATGGTTTCTGTAGTGTCATTTGCTATATTTTATACATTCAGTAGCTGGAAAGATATTTAAAAAGGCACCTGCCTAGATCATCAAACTGAAAGTCAGCAAAAGAAACACTGTCATTTTTTTCTATTGCTGTCTTGGAGGTTTTCAACAATGACACATTTAGTTAATTGAGTCAATAATGGCATTAATTCTAATTTCAAGTATGTTGGGGCCAAAATAATGTTTAGTACTAAGAGGAAATACCTTTTACTCTAATTTTTCTGGTATTTGAAAGTACTTCTTTATAAGGTCCATGATTGTATATATATAATTTCTTGTTGTAAATATAATGTAAAATGTAAACATCATAGCCTCCTGTGCTAAACTGGGTCCAGTAATGGAGGATCTGAGAGTTCTGTCAGCTTCGAGATTGATTGGTTGGTTGGTTGATTGATTCATGTATTCATTAAATGAATAATTTGTTAAATTCCTTCCGTGTATCAGGCTGTGTCCTTGTAGTGCAATAGTAAGCAAAACTAGATATTCTCTTTGTACTCTTGCGGCTTATCATATCGTAATGGGGGATTTCTACTAGTAAGGGAGGTCAAAAGGGGTTCTCCTGAGGACACTATGCCTGAGGTAAGGTGTAGAGGATAAGCAGAAGTTAACTAGGGGAAGGGGAAGTGGAAGAGGAAGAAGGAACAGCCTGCGTGAAGAGCCCGTAGCAGGAGGGAGCCCAGCAAGTGTGAGGGACTGAAGGAAGACTAGTGTGGCTGGATTGCAGCAAAGAATGTGGCTTACTGTGAAGTTGGAGAGGATGTCTATCAGCCACTCATGCAGGGCTTTAAAACATTTTATCTTTACCATAACAGCAATGGGAACTCATTAAAGGTTTCTAAGTAGGTGATTTGGGGAGCAGATAGAACACATACAGCATGACAAAATTCCTCTTCCAAATAAACCACTCAGGCTGTGGGGGTAGATCCCACCTGCCATACGGTGGGATTTCTAGGACTATACAAATGACAGAAGGGTAGTAAGAGGAAGACTGTGTTGCTTAATGAGGTTTCCAGAAATTGGTAATGATATTTGTAATTCCAAATCCTACTAC
The DNA here is from genome assembly GCF_000001405.40 of Homo sapiens. NCBI lineage: Eukaryota > Metazoa > Chordata > Mammalia > Primates > Hominidae > Homo > Homo sapiens. Next base: position 44,366,709 of record NC_000004.12, on the reverse strand, counting down.
AAGGAACTGTGGCTACAATATTGATGCTGCTGCTGCTGCTGCTGCTAATTTGATGAAGTAGGCTAATCCGCATGGCTACATCTCTGTATTAGTCCATTCTCACGCTGCTATAAAGAAACTACCTGTGACTGGGTAACTTATGAAGAAAAGAGATTTAATTGACTCACGATTCTGCAGGCTTAGCAGGAAGCATGGCTGGGAGGCCTCAGGACACTTAAAATCATAGCAGAAGGCAAAGAGGAAGCAAGCACATCTTCACATGGCAGCAGAAAATAGAGAGAGCGAAGGGGGAAGTGCCATACACTTTTAAAGTATCAGATCTTGTGAGAACTCACCCATTATCACAAGAACAGCAAAAGGGAAATCCACCCCCCATGACCAAGTCCTACCTCCCATCAGGTCCCTCCCTAACACTGGGAATCACATGTTAACATGGGATTTGGGTGGAAACACAGAGCCAAACCATATGAGTCTCCTTCATGGAGGTCCCCACATATAAGCCTCCGTGTCTTGTTTGTTTGCTTGGGTACTTGTTTTAATGATTTTTTTTTCTAGTCGTACATTCTTAAGAAGTAAAGTACAAAAGTAAAAGCAAACTATCTTTGCACCCAACAAAAACAGAGAAACACATATAAATATATTTATGCAGACAACCGATATATAATTTTATATAAATCATGTCATATTGTAATTTTACAACTTGCTTTACAAACTCGATTTGTAATCAAGGTTTTTTTTCTTTTGTCAAAGTGATGTATAGCAGCTCCATGTTGATGATTGCATAGTAATCCACTGTAATGTGTGACCATAATTTATGTAATAGTTTCCTCTTTGATGGACATGTGTGTTACTTCCAATTTTTCCCAATTATACAAGACTTGAATGTATCTTCTTGTACATAAATCTTTTTGCCGGTGACTGATTATCTCCTTAGGATAAATTTCTAGATGAGATTGCTGGGTAATGTGGTTTACACATTTAAAATTTCAATACAGAATTCTCTGCCCTCCAAAAAGTTTGCAGTAATTTAATCTTTATCCGTTTGGGTGATACTGTCCTCTATCCCACACTGTTGCAAGGCTGGGTAGATTTATTTTGTTAAGATTACTATTTTTTGCCTTTAGAAAAGGTTACAGGTGATACCTTTTGACTGTTTTCATTTACCTTGTTTTTTTTACTTAATGTCATTGTTCTCAACATTTCCGTATTCTATTCAATGCATTCATTTTTGTGAATTCATCTAAAATAGCTAAAGAATCTTAAAATATTTCAGTGATTAATATAACATACCCTTTCTTTATACACATTGAAATCATCCTTTTAATTCAAGGACAGCATGAGAATTTTGGTGGAACTAGATGCGTTTAACATTATAAAGACTGATTTTCCTTGATGTTGTTAGACATAGTTCTGTTTTTCTCAAGATAAAACCGTTCACAATTTTTTTTATTGAAAAGTATTAATAGACTTTATTTTTTAGAAAAAATATAGGTTTACAGAAACATTGTGCAGTAAATACAGGGAGTTCCCATATGCCCACCACTCTCCCTGCACAGTTTTCCATGTTATTAATATTTTGCATTAGTGTGATATATTTGTTACAACTGATTAACCAATATTAAAACACTATTATTATCTATAGTCCATAGTTTATTATAAGGTTTACTCTTTGTATTGTACATTCTATGGTTTTTGGAAAGTGTACAATGTCATGTATCTACCATTACAGTTTCATACAGAATAGTTTCTTAGCTCTAAAAATATCCTGTGCTCCTCTTGTTAATCTCTCCTTCTTCCCTCACTCCCTGCCTGACCCCGGAGAACCACTGACTTTTTTTTTTTACTGGCTTTATAGTTTTCCCTTTCCCAGAATGTCATATATTTGGAATCACATGCATGTAGCCTTTTTATACTGGCTTCTTTGACTTAGCAATATGTATTTAAGTTCCCTCCATGTCATTTCTTGGCTTGTTAGCTTATTTCTTTTTATTGCTGAATAATTCCAAGCCACAGCTTATTGGTCTGTTTATCTATTAAAGGACATCTTGGTTGCTTTCAAGTTTTGGAAATTGTGACTATGATTGCTAGACATTTGTGGGCAGGTTTTTGTATGGACATAAGTTTTCAACTCATTTGGATAAAGTACAGTTTCTGGATCATATGATAAGACTATGTTTAGCTTTGCAAGAAACTGTCAGACTGTTTTCCAAAGGGCTGTACAATTTTGCACTTTCATCAAAAATGAGAGTTCCTGTTGCGCCATATTCTTACCCTCAGGTTTTGCCAGTGTTTTGGATTTTAGCTATTCTGATAGGTGTGTAGTAGTAACTCATTGTTTTAATTTGCAATTCCCTAATGACATATCATATTGAGCCACTTTTCATCTGCTTATTTGCCATCTGTAATATTTGTGTGTGTGGTGTCTATTCAAATATTTTAACTGTCTTTAAAAAATTAGGCTTTTTTTCTTTTCCTACTGTTGTATTTTAAGAATTCTTTGTATTTTGGATACAAGTCCTCTATCAGATATGTGTTTTGCAAACATATTCCCCAGTGTATGACTTGCATTTTCATTGTCTTAACATTGTCTTTTGACAAACAGAAGTTTTTAATTTTGATTTTGATAAAGTTTTTCTTTTATCGATAGTGCTTTTCATGTTGTATCTAAAAAGTGACTGCCAAATCCAAGATCATATAATTTTTCCTTTATTATCTTGTAGGAATTTTATAGTTTTGTGTTTTATATTTAGATCCATTATCCATTTTTAGTTGATTTTTTGGTTAAAGGTATAAGATCTATGTTTAAATTAATTTTTCTTTTACATAAGAACATTTAATTTTTCAAGCACCGCAAATGGTTTTTTGTCCATAGTTGGACAAAATTTGTCCTTCAACCAACCCCCATGTTACTGATACCAAGACATAAATGTGGTTATTGATTTAAGTGCAGATATGAATGTTTAGCTATCTGAGTAGTCTACATGAAAGCAATAAAAGTGACTACTGTGTGTATACCAGGAGTCTTTTGTCTAGGATAGAGATCCCTGGCAGCAACACTTCCATGTTGCTTAATTTGAATAGAACCAATATGTTGTTTTGAACACATAAAGGACTACTCTCAAGTTGGTGCAAAATTACAAATGTGCCTAGAGGAGAAATTCTATTTTCTAACATCTCCCCTCTCTTTCTTGGTCCTTCTTACAGCATCTCATTTTACTCAAGTCTGTGATCCTTGTCTTTGTTGGCTTGCAGTGAACTGCATTCACTGTTTGATGCTGGAAGCAGAGTTTTCAGCTAGTTGCCTGAGCTCCTCCTGATCCTTACCCTGGTAGAGAAGCTCTAGTCCCAGTATTACAATTTGTAGGAACACATCAAAGATATGTTTTTAATGCCCTCTTTAACCTTAGAATAAATAACTTGGAAGTATTTCTCTTAGTTCCAAAACTTTGATATGGCTTACAATGGAATAAAAAAGCCGGAGGAGTTTCAGTTACTGATTCTCTTCTAATAATTCTGTGATTTGATACCATAGTGACAGGGATCAAAAACGTACTTATAATTAATGATGCTTTCAGTTGATTTGAAAACAAAATTTATGTTTAATTCCTCCAGCTCCTTGGTTAAATTACCATCTTGCACATAACCTCCTTTCCAATATAAATGAATTGAAAATATCAATCTAAAAAATAATTTAAAGCCATATAACAACATGCTTATTTTGGCCCTAATTTTACTAGGCTGTTTTAACCCACGTTATAAAAAGAAAAAACATAAAGCAGATGGATTAAGTATTATAAATATATCATAACATTTTGAGTATTTAAAAATTATATTTCTAATCACTGAGCTATTTCTTAGTATTTAAGTATCTGCTATTAAATTTTTTTTTGGTCCTAAATGGGTTAACTTTTTAATGAGATTTTGTAAAAAAAAAAAAAAATTACCTTTAACACAGAAGAAACTAGGCCACTTGAAGTTATACTGGTATCCTCTTTATAATTCATAAAGAAGCTGAGTAAATTCTCTGTAGTATCATTTGAAATATTTATTTTCCATTATGTTCCTACCACAATTACCCCTGGTTTCTATTTCAACTCACCTGGACTATTTTTATAATCACTTCATGATGTCCTCACTTGAGTCATTTCCTTCACTGTTTTGCCGTACATTCTACAACACTATTTGATCTTCCACAAATGCTACCCTGCTCATATTATTATAGGAGCCATTCTGTATTGTTTTGTAGAAAGACTATGTATTTGGAACAAATACTGCTTACTATCTTTGTGATTTTTAAACACATGCTTCATTTTATAGTAAAGACACTAAAATACCCAAGTTGAAGTATTACCAGAAAACTCATGAAAGTTGAGGTTATGATTAAAATAAAATAATGCATATTCTCTTTATGCTTCTCATCTGCTTAAGAAATAAAGTTCTAAATTCTTAACTTTGCACCTAAAATCAACCAAAATTTGGTCTCAGACAACCTGCCTACACTTGCATTGACTCACCTACGTGTGGCTGGCATTTTAGCCAAAGTCTGCTCAGAACTTTTCTATCCTGTGTTTGGCTTTTCTGTTTCTGTACGTTCACCTCTATTTATATTTCTGCTGCCTGGAATTTTTTATCTCCTCTACCTTCATCATTTGTTGAAATGCTACCAATCCATTAAAGCCAACTAACAGCATATCCCCTGATTCCTGATTAAATGTAAACAGCCTAAAATGACCCTTTTTCTTTCTGAGATTCGTGGGGCTCTGAGATTTTTACTTTCTTATGATACTTAACAGTTATTGCTTTGGATAATAGTTACCTCTGGTTTTCTGACTATAAGGTACTCAATAGCAAGGCCAGTATTATGCATGTTTATGGCACTTAGAACTACATCAGACACAAAGAAAGCTTTCTATAACCACTTGGTGATTTAATGTATGATTTAGCTTTCAATATTCATAATTATCCTATTATTTCAAGATTACCTCTCATAGAGATCAATCTTTTTCTCATTAAATCATTAAAAATTGGCAAAATTTAGTATAATTGTGTTTTTCCTACAGTAGCTCAAGGGGACTTACCAGACCATTTCAACAATGCAGATTACATATCACCTTGAATATTTAAAAATTATTATTGTCTAGAAAACTAGTTCAAATTGACTAACAGCAGAAATGTTTCCTACTTTTTAAGAGATTGACAAATCTAGTCCTGTTCAGGAAAGAAACTGAGGCATCACTATTAAGTATTTCATGTTTTAAAAGTATCTAGTTCATTTCTGACCCAAATCCATCTCAACACCGAAGGCTCCATTGTATTATTGAGTGAGTGGTCTTTTGTAGAGAACATGTTAAACAATGGCCCAAATAATGGATATTATCTTATAATATACTATATGGCTTAGAAAGACTTCTTAACGTGTCTAGTATATTTTCCATACTTTAAGGCAAATTTTACTTAAACCAGTTCTGACAAGAATACAGATCTTTCAGTCTTAATTATTCCAAGGAAAACTGATTTTATAGCCTCTCCTGTAAAATAAGGATCTTTACAATGAATGTGGTAAATGAACCCGAGAGTTATTTTAATGGCAGATGAAATATGTCAGTGAAAAACTTGAAGTGAGTACGATCAAGGGAGAAAAAAAATCTCACTGTGCTTGAGATTAGGTGAACATAATGGCATATATGAAGACTTTTAATGATGGCTCTCAGGGAAATTCTACTTTGAGATAGAGAATAAGAGATGATAATGGATTTTGATGGAAGAGGAGAGGAAAAGAGCATTTGAGAAAACTGGAGATGAAATATTGGGAATCAAATGGAAAAAAGCCATGAGGAAAGAAATATAAACATAAGTAAATGAAATAAGGCACAGAAGGGCTTTTGTAGATTGCATTTTTAAGAGATATTTAATGCCTGTTAATCTGAAATTTAAAGAATTGTTGGCTGTGCATTTATATTGATTTGGTATATTTTTTAAAATTAAAAGCCTTCAGACACTAAATTTTTATGATCACTTTTTAGAAAGCATCTCTTGAGGATTTCTGTTTTCACTTTAATTAATTGAATGTAAAGATTGCCTTTTCATTCTGTTTTCTCGATGCTCCTGGTTGTTTGAAAAAGAATTCTCTGTTCATTTAATAAGAAAACACTTGTTCCTTAGTTTACTTCTCTAGACTTCCAGTGGAAGTAGTGATAATTAAAATCATCCATTAGTATAATTGTTGTTTTCCTTCTGGCAACTTGGATTTTATTTTTCTTTGGCTATGTCTAAGTTTTCCGTAGCAATTTTATGAAAATATCCATGAAAGATGACTGTATTATTTACCCTGGATGGCACTGATGGAAAGCAAATCATATGTACTAAGTGTGTAAAGCAAAACAGGGAGCAAGGCTTTTCTTAACTTCTTTTGTCTTTTATTTGAAGCCAGGAGTATATAAAGCAAATAATTTTATAGATTCTTAGAGAATTTGGATGGTGTGTGTAAAACAGTTGGGGTAATCTGCCTTTTCATTATATTACATTTATAATTTATATTTTTCATATATTCCTCTTTATGAATACAATATTTTATTAAAATATAAAAGGCAACATTTAAGTTTTGTATTGCCGCTAACTTCTATCTACTGAATAAATTTACTGAATCATTCCTAGTCCCCTGTATCATAAGGGAAAGTAGTCTACCCCTGAGAAGGGGTTAATTGTTACTATGTATGTGTATCCTTAATGTAATAATCTACATAACTGTGTATTTAACCCTACTGAAATAATGTCCCTTATTTTTAAAAAGTCACATAAATATGTATATTTTCTCTGCATCACAGAATGGTAGAATAAAAATGTATGATTTTGTTAATGTCTGTCATCTCAAAAATATTTAGGAAAAAACTACATGCAAATTTTAAATAACACCTCCCTTATCTGGTCTCATGATGAATTTTAAACTTATTCAGAATGGTCTGTGGTACTAGAAGTTTTATCTAAGCTTAAATAAAAATTATTGCCCTACATGGATTTAATTCATGCTCTGCATAAGTTAGGTCTCACAAGCAGCAAGAGCAAAAGAAGAGAGTTAAATAATTAAGAAATAAATAACATTTATATAAAACAAGTTACTTGGGTTGAGTGTTCTGAATTTTATTTTACTTCAGTACAAGAGAATTTACATATAAAAACAAGTTCTGCTGATATTTCCTATATATGTTGTTTCCTTCTCTGTCGCTAAGGTATATTTATATCCAGTCTACAAATAACGGATGATTTAGATGATTAATATGTTTTATAAATAAGTTGGCATATGCAAAATTTATTTCATTTTATTCTTATTATAAACTTCATCCTACTGTTCTAATACAATATCAATCAGAAAAGCATTTGATGTTTCAGGGAAAGCCAGTTAATAGAAGAAGCAACAGTGTTAAAAAAAAAACCCTAGAAGAAAACCTGGGCAATACCATTCAGGACATAGGCATGGGCAAAGGCTTCATGACTAAAACACCAAAAGCAATGGCAACAAAAGACAAAATTGACAAATGGGATCTAATTAAACTAAAGAGCTTCTGCACAGCAAAAGAAACTATCATCAGAGTGAACAGGCAACCTATAGAACTGGATAAATTTTTTGCCATCTATCCATCTGACAAAAGGCTAATATCCAGAATCTACAAATAACTTAAATTTAAAAGAAAAAAACAAACCCATCAAAATGGGTGAAGGATATGAACAGACACTTCTCAAAAGAAGATATTTATGCAGCCAGCAAACATATGAAAAAAAGCTCATCATCACTGGTCATTAGAGAAATGCAAATCAAAACCACAGTGAGATACCATCTCATGCCAGTTAGAATGGCAATCATTAAAAAGTCAGGAAACACACATTGGGAGGCCGAGGCGGGTGGATCATGAGGTCAGGAGATCGAGACCATCCTGGCTAACATGGTGAAACCCCGTCTCTGCTAAAAATACAAAAAAATTAACCGGGTGTGGTGGTGGGCACCTGTAGTCCCAGCTACTCGGGAGGCTGAGGCAGGAGAATGGCATGAACCCGGGAGGCGGAGCTTTCGGTGAGCCGAGATCGTGCCACTACACTCCAGCCTGGGTGACAGAGAGAGACTCCATCTCAAAAAAGAAAAAAAAAAAAGTCAGGAAACAACAGATCTGGAGAGGATGTGGAGAAATAGGAACACTTGGACACTGTTGGTGGGAGTGTAAATTAGTTCAACCATTGTGGAAGACAGTGTGGTGATTCCTCAAGATCTAGAGCCAGAAATACCATTTGACCCAGCCATCCCATTACTGGTATATACCCAAAGGATTATAAATCATTCCACTATAAAGACGCATGCACATGTATGTTTATTGCAGCACTGTTCACAATAGCAAAGACTTGGAACCAACCCAAATGGCCATCAATGATAGACTGGATAAAGAAAATGTAGCACATATGCACCATGGAACACTATGCAGCCATAAAAAAGGATGAGTTCATGTCCTTTGCAGGGACATGGGTGAAGCTGGAAACCATCATTCTCAGCACACTAACACAGGAACAGAAAACCAAACACTGCATGTTCTCACTCATAAGTGGGAGTTGAAGATTGAGAACACATGGACACAGGGAAGGAAACATCGTGCACCTGGGCTTTGGGGGGTGGGGGGCTAGGGGAGGGATAACATTAGGAGAAATACCTAATGTAGATGATGGGTTGTTGGGTGCAGCACACCACCATGGCATGTGTATACCTATGTAACAAATCTGAACTTTCTGCACTTGTATCCCAGAACTTAAAGTATAATAATAATTATAATAATAATAATAAAAGAATATTTATGTTTAGAGAGAATAACTACTGTGCTGATACAATAATCCTTTAATGTTCATGTTTCCTTTTATTTTAATGATACCAGAGGAGAGCATTTATTCAAAAAGAAGGTACAATGTATGAAAAAAAATCTCTACTTAAAAATGTATACAGAAGTTATCTTTTTTCCTTAAATTTTAATGCAGAATGATGACCATTATATGTAGTATTCACAGTCACATCCTCTGAAGTATATGTCTAATTCTAATGATTCCTTTAAGCAGAGTTATTCATGAACTTTAGCTTAATATTCTATGTTCCCTTTTGTTAGAGAATTGGCTTTAGGCAGAGAGTCCTCTGCCATTAATAGTGGTGTTAAGTGACCCTTCACACTCTGAAATATTCTTATAATACACTTTAGATTTTTGGTCTTTTGTTTTTAGAGCCATAGTAGGAATTTTATGGTTTTATCTATAATTACTCTTGAATTAATCTTACGGGAAGACAAATGCTTCATTCATTTATTCAAATATTTATTACTTTTTCTTTTGATGCCAGTGGTTTGGTAACGATGGAAGAGAAGGGAGAAAAGGAGAAAAAGGCAGCCTCGCAAAGAAAGACAAAGGCTAAATCTTTTGTCAGGTTGCCACCACTTTACCAGTTTTGTTGCTTTTGTCAAGTTATTTATCCTTTTTGTTTCTTAATTTTCTCATCTTTGAAAGGGGAGTAGAATGATGTGCTAGAGGAAGAGATGTGGTTTAATTCATGTGATGTAAATTTTAACTATATGTTTGTTTTGAAGGGTTTTTTTTTTTTTGCCTCAAATGCCTTTCTTTGATATAAATGCCTTTAAAATAGAGTTTTGTGGGAAATGGCATGACATCTTACAAAGGAGGATAGTCTACAAAAGTTATATCTTGTAATTTCATGGAATGTTACAGTTTTCAAAATATTGTTCTAAATATGGAAGCATTTTGAGTCTTAGGCCAATCTTATGTCATAGGCATGATGGTCATCAATATCCTCACACAGACAAGTCTCCAAGTTCCGTGGACAGCAGGTGTCTGAGACAGAAATGGAATTTGGATGACATAAATTGTAGTGGACTGTTCTTTTCATTTGAAACTACCTCCCAGGCCAAGCACGGTGGCTCACACCTGTAATCCCAGCACTTTGGGAGGCCGAGGCAGGTGGATCACCTCAGGTCAGGAGTTCGAGACCAGCCTGGCCAACATGGTAGGAACCCTGTCTCTACCAAAAATACAAACAATTAGCCAGATGTGGTGGCTACTCGGCTACCAGCTACTCGGCAGGCTGAGGCAGGAGAATCGCTTGAACCCGGGAGGCGGAAGTTGCAGTGAGTTGAGATCGTGCCACTGCACTCCAGCCTGGGCAACAGAGCAAGACTCCGGCTCATGAAAAGAAACTATCTCCCAGATTCTTTACAGAAGGTAGAAAAGGTGTTGATCTAAGAATAACCTAACAGATCTATCTATGGGATTAATTCTCCTTGAATAACTGTCAATTTATAATGCTTAGTCTTTCCTTTATATTTTTATTTTGCCACAAAAGAATAAATGATTCAAAGAAGTACAAGAGAGACCACATCAGTCATTCTTAATTCACAGCAAACTGCTTGGGATATTTGGGGTCTGACTAAATTTTTGGTAAAGCAGGTAAAATATTATAGTTGAATGAGAAGCAGTAAAAAAGACATTTGATGAAAGATACTTTTAAGCTATAGTCAAATTCTGAAAATTATGAAAGATTCAGAATAAGTTGAGGAGTAAGTTAGGAAGAAGTATACTCAAGTATGAGGGGCAAAGCCTGTATGGCTAGAAGTTATATGTAGTATATGTATATTTAGGGTTGAATATGTGTGTGCACTTGTTTGTACAACCGTATTCTAAGTTTAGTGGTCATTTTGCTAGTGATTATTGATGATAATACTCAGATTTGCAATTTAGCTATAAAATGTATGACTTTATATACTTTAATGATTATACTTAGCAGTTTAGTTCCTGTATTAAACATTTTAATTAACTGCACTGCCCCATATATTAATAGAAGACAAATAATCCACATTCTTAATTTGCGTTTGATATTATAAAATGAAGAACTGTGCTAATTTTGATTTCTTACTTGATCATGCCCATGCCCTCAATATAGAGACCAAATAATTTTCACGAAGAGATTGGATGAATGGTAATTTATTCTGTTTATCTAAATACGCTACACAGAAGTCAACCCTAGCTGTCAAAACAGAAATTAACTCAGAAATAAATGAGAACAATTTCTTCATGGCAAACATATTACAAAATTCATGTAGGATTATAATAGAATTAGAACCATCTATAATGGCAAAGAATATTTTTAAAATTATGCATAAAACTACATTGGTTGATTAGTTAATTTAGTTTTGAGATCACAAAATATTAACAGCATGGGTTGGAGTTACTAAAACCTAAAACACTTTGTCATAGTTCTTAATGAGGAAAAGACGAAAGAAAAAAAGCAACATGCTCAGCTATAAAGCAAATGTCTTAATTGATCTCACTAACTCCTGAAAAAATGACCTTATCACTGCATAGTTTAGTAATCAATGTTTCTAGTGACTATATTATTAAGGGAAGGATAAATTATACATTGGTGTTCTCTGTTTTAAAAGACAGAAAAAAATCATGTTTTGATAATTCTCTTTCAACAATAATAAGTAATTTTTAAATAATGCTTTGTCGAATACGGGAGTAAACTTTAATTATCTGGAGACAGTTTTCATTATAAATATCAGTACTGAATTCTTCTCAATTAATTCAAATATTCATAAGGTTTTCTACTTGAATATTTAGTTTTAATACAACAATTATATAAGACAATGTGTTGAGACAGCTAAAGCTATCTTATTATTTACTTCCTACTTCCCAATTATTGTGCATTTATTCATTTTCTCACAATAATATCAACTTTTTAAAATGAAGAGCATTTCATAGTTCTTTTTCACTCTTTTTGCCTTTCAGATTGGGAATACATACTAACTGCATGATGTCCATTGTATGCAAGTTATTTGCTAAATGTTTTACAGGCTCTTCCTTGGGGAATTTATACTGTATCTATGATACTGTAAGGATATGTTAAGTAAAGCAACACAGCATGGTGCTTACAAGTATTTAACATTCCTGTGCCTTAGTTTCTCCATTTGTAACATAGGGATGATAATACTACTTACCCATGAGGATTTTACGAATCCTCATGGATTCGTGCAAATGAAATAATTTGCACTGAACACTTAGAAAATTAAGGACAGACAGTAAGTGCTCAATAAGTTGATAAAATGAGTGTATTAAATGATCCAGGAAGAGGAGGTTGCATCTCCTTTAGGCTTCATTAAAAATATAGTACCTGAGATGGACCGTACGGATGTGATCTGGACAAGTGGAGGAGGTAAGCCTCTGAAAATGAAGGTTGTTTTAGGTGGAGAAAATGACCTGAGCCAAAGTTTAGAGCTGAGACTTTGTGCTATATTTAGGGAAGAGTCATCCAGTTTCCCTGGTGTGAAAAGTAAGCGTGAAGGAATGGAATCAAACTAGCTGGAAATGTAGTGTTGAAGCCAGGGAGTAGGAAGACTGCTAGGCCAAGCTAAGAAGTTGTTACTTTAGGAATTAAACACAGACAAATAAACACACACACACAACAAATGAACTTAAATATGTTTAAGCTGGAAGCTGATATGATTAAAATTTATCATAGAAGAGTAATAAGTTTCATTTGAAAAAAGATTGGTAGAAAGGATACATATGTTATTGCAAAAAAAACTAAGCATTAGAAGTATGGTAATAAGAATGTGAAAGGGGGAGTTATGGAAGGATGTTAGAAAAATAACTTTTGTTTGGATTGAGTATCTACTAGATTTTTAAAAAAATATTGGTTGCAGGGTTACCAATTCCAATGGTTGGAGCAATCCAAAGCATATTTTCCAACCCCAGTAACATAACTGGGACTGGAGTAGCTCTGTCTTACATAACAGTGAACAACTATTTGTCTTAGTAACAACTATTTGTGGAATAGAGGTAAACAGTGATTAGAGACAGTATTAAAAGTTTACTTTGGAAAGGTGAAAAGGTCCAAAATCAGTAACCTAAGCTTCCATTTTAGATGCTAATGTTAAGTGATATAAGCCAGGCACAGAAAGACAAATATTATATGTTTTCACTAATATGTGGGAGGTAAAAATATTGAACTAGTGGAGACAGTAGAATGATGGTGACCAGAGGCTGGGAAGGGTAATGAGAAGGGGGATAAAGAGGTGATAATTAATTGGTACAAAAATATAGTTAGATAGAAGGAATGCAACCTAGTGTTTGGAAGCACGATAGGGAAACTGTAGTTAATGATATTTTAGTGTATATTTAAAGATAATAGAGTAGAATTGCTCTGTTCTTAAAGAAATGATAAATTCCTGAGATGCTGGATACATTAATTACCCTAATTTAATCATTACACATTGTATGCTTGTATTAAACTATCACATGTATCCCATAAATATATACAACTCTTATACTTGTAATAATTATAAATAAAAAAGCAAAAATATATAAATAATAAAAACAGCAGGATAAATGAACTGATACACACAACTACAGTGATGAACTTCAGTACTTTTATGTTGACCAAATGAAGCAGACACAAAAGATTTCTAACTTTATGATTTCATTTATGTGAAATTCTGGAAGACACAAAACCTAGTTCTAGCAGGTTAGTGGTTGTCTGTGGCCAGAAGGGCAGAAATTGACTGCAATGTGGTAAGATAACTTTTTGAATTTTGGAAACATTCTGTATCTTTATTCTAGTGATAATCACCACTTACATGTAGATATTTGCCAAAACTCATTGTATTGTACACTTAAAATAAGTGAATTTTTATCGTATGCACCTTTATACTTAATTTAAAATGATGATAACAACAAATGTCTATAGCTAAGTAAGCACAACCTGAGTTTTGGTGAAAGCAGTTGATATTATAGTGGGAGAGAATGAGATGGATGCTTACAAAAATTCTAGTGTGGTCAGATTGAATACCTACTTCAGGAGTGGAAGAAGATAGAGAGGTGTTACATAAAGGTGCCTAATGATAACCTATACCTTTTTATGCATTCTGCTTTCCACCTTGAGCATAGATAGGAATATACATAGATAGATGGATACAATGAATATCTACCTTTAGATTATGGATATTATATAATACTTTCTTTTCTCATATTTCAATGTGTTTTATATTTTCTATGATTTCTAAAAATCTGGTCTTTATTCTCTTTTATTATTTCTATTTTTAATAGAAATAATAATTTTAATATATAATATACAAAAATATAAATAGTATATAAAATATATAAAATAATATTTAATATATAAATAATAATTTTGTAATATTTCTATTCTATTCTCTTTTTACTATTTCCATTCTATTCTCTTTTTATGTCCTATTCTCTTTTTACTCTATTTCTATTTCTATTCTTTTTAATGTGTCTTTCCTTTTACTAAATTTCCCATCCTTATCAATCAAGTAATCTAGGTATTATCTTTGAGAAACCCTAGTGTTACAGGCTAACCATCATCACATATATCACATAGCCACAGGTCAGCATTGCAGTGCTTCAGAGGCATTGTGGAACCCAAACAGACCACTGAGGAATATGCATGATTTCAGTGTAATCTGACAAAAGTCTGGCCCATATGGCTAATAAGACTTTCATTTAGGTAAACTGGAATCATTTTAATGAATCCTGGCACTCATCCACAGAAATGAGCAGAAGCTTTAGGGTACATGGAATGAGAAGAGAATTTCTGAGTCCACAGTAGTGGCCAGGTAAGAAGTTCTCTATATCCCCAGTCTCATTTTCTTCCTGTCAAATATTCATTACCAATAAATAAAATAAATAAATAAATAAAAGAAATACTTATTTTATGTTTTATTCTTTTTAGACTGTGCCTGCTGTGACAGTTAATGGAGTTTGAATGTTGACTGAATAAGTTGGAAATAAAATGTTTAATAAAGAATAAATAAATATTTTCAGTTCAGTTGTGTAGCTATAACTACCCAATAACTATACCGTCTCTGCTGTACTCAGCAGTGTTCTAGGCAGGGACAAAATGTTCAGTTAGTGAAAGATCACATTCATTATTTCAAGGATCTTATGATCTCTATGTTCTATTGTACCATATTGATACTTTACATTAAAGATATTTTCTAGATTGTTGCATTGTTAGAGAATGTGAACCTTAAGCCCTTAAAACTCAGTGTTCCTCTCATTTCAGACATCTCCACAGAGATGTAGTTTCCTGTTGAAATTTGTAGACATTCTTGAAACTTTATGGTCCATGAATATATAATTTAAAAACCAATGACAAAGATAATTTTGTAGCAATTTGTGTTATTTGTTTTTCTGAAGAAACGGCCAAAATGATATGGAAATCTAATTTGGTTTCATACCAACTAAATGGGTTTGTTTGGGTACTTTTAATGCACAAAAATTCTTTTTAATGACTTAAAATTGAACTAATTTGAGTCCTGTGGTGAAAATGTCAGATCAACTAGCCCATAATGTTATCCCCAGAACGTCATTTATTAATGCATTTCACAATTATTTAGACAGCCAGGAGCTGTTCCTGGTGCTGAAAATAAAATGGTAAGACAAAGTTCATGTTTTCATTAAACTTGCATTCTAGGGAAGAAGCCAGACAAAATTCACCAATTTAAAAATCAATATGTAAATAATGAAAGATAATTATAAGAATGTGAAGACAGAGCACGGTAAAGGAACAGAATAAATGGGAGAGAATTCCTTTATAGATGGAGGTCAGGGAAGCCGAGGATCTAAATTTGGAAATATATCTGAATAAAATTGACATATTGAGTGAATTGGAATCTACCCTGAGACATCCCAGGTAGCCAATATTGAGTTAATTGGTGAATGCAATAGTGGTTGCATTCATGTAATTTTGACGAACGTCTGATTGGACTGCACAGGAACATAGGAGGAGAAATGAAGAACAGAGTAGGTATTGACAGCCCTTTCAAGGACTTAGGCTGAATTAGGGCAGAAAATCAATATTTGTTAAATAAATAATGGAAATGATAGTCTAGTTTTTCTGATTCATTAAATGCCATTTTACATTGGTGGCATTTCATAAATTAGTGGTTATCAAATGTTCTTCTAAACAATGAAAACTTTTTATTCATTTTAAAAAAATATATCTTTTGTAGAGCAGTCATACATAAAAAGATATCCTTAGAACATCACTAAAAAATTTTTGGAGTTGTTAGCTTGCATATTGCCAACTGATGTTAAATTAAAATACTTTTTAGGAGCTGCTATTTCAAGTGTTGTGCTAGAAGCTCTTGTATTTATATTTACATATAGACAAATATATACACTGACTTTGACTTAATGACCCACTTATTATAGGTGTACATGAAACCACAAGAGTGCAGAAATAAAAAGAACATGTGACAGTTCATGGATATTCTTCCAAACTGGTTTTGTTTTTAGTTTTAGTTCTAGTTTTGGCTAAATTGTGGAGGAACATCTGGTTATCAGAAGGGGTTAGACTGTAAGGCTTCAGATGATGGGTAGGATTTTAATAACTGAGAAGGTGTTGTGAAAACGGCATAATGCATAGAAAGAATTTTGAAAGGTATCAGTGTTAAAACATAGGCAGGAAAGTATGAGACATATTTAATAGATGGAAAATTATCAGATACAGGCAGAGGAGGAAGAATAGTAAAGGGGAATCAAAATGTGTTAAGTATTTTTTGCCCTAATGTTATCTCAGTAAACATTTGCAAAATCTATACCAGATATTCTTATTTTGCTAATGAGGAAATCAAAGTGAAAGAAGTTATATACCTAGTCAGTGGTAGATGGAAATAATATTCTGAAGCTTGTCTCTCTCTAGCTCTGAAGTGTTCTCCTCTGGTCTCTACTATCTATAAATAAACCCAGAAAGAATTATTTGGCCCAGATTTTGGTGGGTATTGGATGCCAATTTAAAAATTTTTAACTTGCTTTAAAATAATGAATAATAAATATTTAATAAAACAATAATATTAAGTAGTATTGAAGGATTTAATATAGGCCTTGATACAATCAGAGTTGTGCTTTGGAAAATTACTTGGAAAAAAATTAGAACTAGGAATGGAGGATTCAGGATAGGAAGCATAGGTCAAATCTAGTCGTGTAAGTGCAAGGTATCTAGGGGATGGCAGTCATGGAAATGCACCTCTTAGCTCTCCCTTCTGGAAAGAACCTGCTGGTGAGCTGTAAGTTGTACAGTTAGTGGACAGCTTCTAGTCCTTAATGCTTTCAGGATGACATTAGCTTTTGAACCACAGTCATGCTTTATTCTGGGACAGCTCTCTACCAAGACAGAACACGGCAAGGGTGCTAGAGCCTGGTCATTCCTGCCCGATGTTGGACAATTGCAATGGGCATTCCTTGCTCTCAAGCTTCCCATTGGATTAGCTGAGGCTTTGTCTTTATTGTGATCTGAGGTGCCCCCTGCCCAGTGCTGTTTTCCTCACCCATACTCCCTTCCTTAAACATTTTTCAGATCTGCATCATATTCTGAAGGCTTTCCCAACCCAATATTTCTCCTTCTTCTTTTTATCTTTCACAGACATTATCCACAACAAACCACATGCACTCCTAACTTCATCTCAAAATGTTTATCCTAGGATCAGCAAAGCATGATAATCAAAAAGTGAAGATGGTTGCTAGAGCTGTTGGTAAATGATGATGATAGCATTGGTGGTAGTGGTGGTGGTGGTGGTGGTGGTGGCGGTGGCAGCGATGGTGGTGCTACTAAGCATAGACATTAGCATCATTTAAGTTTTTCTATAGTCTTGTCTACAAATACACCTTATAAATGTGCAGTTTCAAGAACATATCTAAAAAGATGTATTTGAAGAAAGAGAGGAAAAAAATCAGAAAAAAATGAGGCTCAAGGGTAGTAAGAGGGAGGACTGTGCCAACTGACAGGGGAGAGTTTCAATAAGCAGGAGGGAATCAATGCCAGAAATACTGCCAACCTGTCAAGGAGGGTGAACACAGCAAGAAGGTCATATAACCGGTTTTTGTGCATGTGTCTGAAGTGTTTTTGTTCTTAAATGTGAATATACATGGCTGTAAGCAACAAGGACTGAAAAGGGTCACTAATCTGGAATCATGTGTGTAGACTTTAATGATGTTCAACACATCATTATCACTTCCTTTCTAAAGCAATACGTATAGCTTTTCTAATAAGTATTTTTTGGTAAGGAATTAGTATACAAATAAAAACTTACAGTAGTGAAGACACACATATATTAACTATTAGAATGAATATCATTGATCAAAAAAACAGAAACTGAAGGTACATACACACTTAACTTGCATCTTTCTTTGAGATTCTGGCTAGTTTATATTTATTTTTCACTGTAGTTTGCATTTATTTTCTACCCTCACTGAAACAAATGGCACTAAGCATAATATTCCCTTAAATTGATTTACACCTATATTTTCAAGTTGGACTTTCAGATCGATGTTACATTGATAGCGGCATTATTGCATTTATTTAAAACTGAGTTACGAAAATGGAAGTAGAAAAATTGGGTTTTGAATATTCTTTACTTGTCTAATATTTAGCCCAATTAACTGTGCCATTTTATTTAGTGATTTTCATAGCTGACCTACAATGTCTTTACCGTGCAAAGTTGCATGTTCTTTTTTGTGTAATACAGTCATTTTAATTATGGTCTTTACCTTGTCCTTCTATGTTATTTGAAGCTAGATACACTCATTAGGAAGGAATGGTGAATTTCTAAGCAAAATTGGGCTATAATTTTTGTACTTGCTGTGTGTATTTAGAGAACAGTTCTCCAACTGTGATATTCATATAACATTATTTCTCATGAAGGTAACTTGCTGACTTATTTCAAGTGAAAGGCTGTATTATGCCCTACAGGGATAATAATGACATTTTTTCCCTATAAATGTATCTAATTATTTCTTTAATGGTACCAGGAGAAACATGTGGCTGCCTGCATTGCCATTAGCATGATTCCGTTTTATGCATATAATACTGCTAAATTCACAGCTGATTTTAAAACCTTATAGCTGAAAAGTTATATATAAAATTCTATTATTAATTGTAAATATCAGTGTTGATAATGCTCATATTTTAATCTAATATAATTTTCTCATTAGTTATATTGAGGTCATATACAAAAATTATGCATTACTTACTTGTTAATGGTTTACTGGGCTTTCTTGTCAACTAAAGATGTTTAGCTGAAAAAGCTCAAGAATAGTGCACTAAACAATGTGGAACTAATAGGAGCAAACCGAGGGATTTCTTCATGGAACTCCTCTTCCAGGATCAAATGTTAAAGATGGTGGTTGGAAAGTCCCCACTGACCAGTAGCCATTGGCTCTTGGTTTCTTCAAGGATGTACTCTTATCCTAGTGATTTAGTTGCCAGTGAAAGCTGAGTCACTTGCCATCATGTCTGTTTTGTGCCACATTGGTAATATTGAAGAACTGCCCTGCACCACCTGTGGCCCAAAGCCCATGTTCCAACCATGATTGTCATGGACCTTAACAAGAGAAACTCAGATGACCTTTCATTTATTAGGTGTACTCAACGCTGATGTTACCATGTTTAATAAGCTATGATAGTAGCTTTGAAATAATGTGAGCAATTGCTCATTTCTACAAGTTAGCATTACATTCACTTTAAGAAGGTCTGGAATTATATCCTTTCTTACAGCATCTGAGCAGCAGTCTCTGCTTACACCCCCAACCATAACATGGCTGTATTTGATGTTGTGGGCCATAGTATCATTCAATATAACGTGTCTTGGAGTACCTCAATCTGAAGAACTCTAGACAATGCTTTGATACACTGGACTTATTTCTTCATTTTCCACTGAACCCAGGAGATATTCAACTCAGGTCTTAGTAGTCTTTTTCTCTCCTTCCAAATATATACTTTACTTTTTGTGTTCATGGTTTATAAAACCAAGTTTACAATTCCAATCCCTTGTAGTAAACATGAAGATATATATTTCCTTTAACTAAAACATATATACGTAATTAGGAAGAGCACAAGCTCTATAAATGAGTGTCAGCTTGTGGTGACTTGGAGAAGTAAGAAGGGTCAGTCACCATGACACTTCTCTTTGTACTAGTGCTGTCATCTGTGTTCCAATACCCAGTCTCTTTCATGTAGCCAAGAGGTGGGTGACATTTGTATGTGCATATATTTTTAGTTTGAGCCAGTTTCATCTTTTCTTTGAACTTGAAGTCTGCCAATAAAAATAACCTCTGGCCATTTTTTTAATTAATTAACCATGTGGTATAGTTGTATAATCGAGCTGAAATTAGTTGAAATCAGTGGCTAGAATTTAAATATAAGGAATGTCTATGAGAGTTGAAATTGTCGCTTTGAATATCACCACAATTTTACATGGGAGTTGAATTTAAAATATCTCCAGAATATAAGAATGTGAGGATATAAAATATCACAGATTTTTCAGTGTGCTATGATATTTCCCCAATAAATATCTTTTGAATGAGGACCAAGGGCATCCGGTTACAGCAATCAACTGAGAAACCAGGCAGAATGATCTTATGATCCTAAGGTCATTTTGAAAAAGCTGAGCCTTCGAGATATAGAAATGTACATGTGATCATTTGAATAAAAAACTTGGAAACTGCCATAGAATTTGAAAGTGGGATCATATTGATCTCTAAGTCTGATCAGCTATTCAAATGCAGATCTAACAATATTCATACTGTTTCTTTAAGAAGGTAGCAACTTGTTAAAATTACAGCATAACCATATAAATTATGAACGCTTTAACTAGATTGAAATCTCTAGTACCATAAAAGCATCTCAATTTTTCTTGTATTTCTTTCATTGTATGTGGTTTTTTTTTGTTTCCCAGAGTGCAGCCTTTTCTATTTAATTTTTTAAGTCTATTTGTTTTCTCATCTAGATGATGTATAAATCAGTCTTAAATTATATAACACATACCTGTATTCTCCCCAGTTCTAGGCTTTGTTGAAAATCTTGTACTCAAAAATATGGAGTCTAGTTGAGAGGATAAGAAACAATTTGATTCCAAACAAACAAGCAAGCAAACAAACATGAACATCTCTTGACTAGAGGAGAGTATATTTATATTTGGGGCCTAAAGAGAAGGTATAAGTTTGGTCAATATGTATGCTACATGTATAAACTTTTTGATTTTTTATAGTCAATGAAATTGATCCTGGTTATGCTAGCTCTCTGCAGCACTTAATGTTTCGTGAATGCTACATGATAAATTAGGTGTATGTAAATAGTCTTTTAGATAGCTGGGATCTATGGTTTATTTTTATTTTAACTATCTCTACAGGTTGAATTTACCTCTAGAATTTATTGCTATTTTACCAGTTCTTCATTTTGCCTTGTATAAATCTGACCAGAGAGTACTTTTGAAACCATTTTTGGGGGCAGTTTATTCCAACCTGCCAAGGACATGTTTGAGAACATTTTCAATTTTCTTTATTGTTTGAATATCTATGATATTCATTCTTTTTACATTTATTATTCATTAGAACAGTTTATATTAAAACTTGGGGATTTTTGAATAAGTTAAAAATAATTACTATGGTAAATTAAAACTTAAAGGCTAACTTATTGTTCTTAGTAATTAATAAAATGTTCTTAAATACTAGACTACTATAAATGAACAAAATAAGTCCTAGAAATACCTAGCATAAGAAAGAAGAAACTGTCTATTCAGGCTTGAGAAACATACTAAAGTAGTTCAATTATAGTATGTCTAGAAGGCATAGGAAAGGCAGTGAAGTGATCTCTTGGGACTTGATGAAAGAACAAAGAAACAAAAAAGAAGAGAAAAATGAGAGCTAAAGTTTAAGCTGAAGAACAGTGAGGAGGGAACAAATATGAATACTTTACTCTCTGTTGCTTAGAGGAATGTATGTTCCTAATAGAAAGGGTAAGTTTAGAGCAGTGTTTCTCAAATGGTGGCCCATAGCACACAGTCCTTTCACATATTTATAGGAATTCCTTAATATTAAAAATTATCTGTTTTCAATTCAGTGATAATTGAAAAATTAATATAAGCATATTGTGAATCAACTCCTTGGCCATTATGTCAGAATACCACATCTCATGCCTGTATTTGTGTTTGTTTTTAGGCCTGTACTGTAGCACTACTGTAACTTTGTAGCAAATAACAAAGGAGAGAGGGAGGCTTAATGTGCAAAGATGTCTTGGAACTAAATCTAATCCTGTAGTGTCCCAATAGTCTATGCAACTGACAGTTCCATAGTAGTTTGAGTGGAGAAAAATACAATTAGTTTAGTGTTAAGTACATACCCGGCACAATGACTAACCTTGTCATTCCAGCATTTGGGGAAGCTAAGGCAAGAGGATTACTTGAGGCCAGGAGTTTGAGTCCAGGCTGGGCAACACAGGGAGACCCAATTTCTACAAAAAAATGAAAACATTAGCCCAGTGTGTTGGTGTACAGCTGTAGTTTTAGCTACCTGGGAGGCTGAGGTGGGAGGATCACTTGAGCCCAGAAGTTTGAGGCTGCAGTGAGCTACGATTTTAACACTGCACTGCAGCCTGGGCGACAGAGTGAGACCTTGTCTCTAAAAACTTAATTAATTAATTAATTAATTAAAAAACCTGTAATGTGGGCTAGGCGTGGTGGCTCACACCTGTAATCCCAGTACTTTGGGAGGCGGAGGTGGGTGGATCACAAGGTCAAGAAATCAAGACCATCCTGGCCAACATCATGAAACCCTGTCTCTGCTAAAAATACAAAAATTAGCTGGGTGTGGTGGTGTGTGCCTGTAGTCCCCGCTACCTGGGAGGCTGAGGCAGGAGAATCACTTGAACCTGGGAGGCAGAGGTTTCAGTGAGCTGAGATCGGGCCACTGCACTCCAGCCTAGCGACAGAGCGAGACTGTGTCTCAAAAACAAAACAAAACAAACAAACAACAACAACAAAAAAAACCCTGTAATGTGATCAGTTAATTTTCAGGTAGTAGACACTGATTTTGTTCAGCATAACATTTTTTGTTACAGTTTACTAATGTGATTATTAACATATTTTTGTTAGTATATAATATAAACTACATTTGGGTATTTTAAATTTTAATTTTATTCTTGTGAAAACCCTAAAAACTTAATGTCTTTATTCAGGAATGACTCATTTTAATGGACTTCACTTTATTGTACTTTATAGATATTGCAATTTTTTAATAAATTGAAGGATTTTGGTAACCCTGTGTTGAGCAAGCCATTTTTCAGACAGCAGGTGCTCACTTCATGTCTCTGAGTCACATTTTGGTTATTTTCTCAATATTTCTGACTTTTTCAATATTATTATATCTGTTTTAGTGATCTGTGATCAGTAATCTTTGATGTCACTATTTTATTTGTTTTGGGGCACCATGAGCTGTGCCCATAGAAGACAGTGAGCTTAATCAGTAAATATTGTGTGTATTCTAACTGCTGTACTGACTGACCTTTCCCTCATCTTTCTCCCTTTCTTTGGGTCTCCCTAATCTCTGAGACACAACAATATTGTAATCAGGCCAATTACTAATCATGCAGCAGTCTCTAAGTGTTCAAGTGAATAGTCTCACATTTTTCACTTTAAATGAAAAGCTAAAAATGATTAAACATACTGAGGTAGGCATGTCAAAAACCAAGACAGATCAAAAGCTAGGCCTTTTACACCAAACAGCCAATTTGTGAGTGGAAAAGCAAAATTCTTGAAGGAAAGTAAAAGTGCAACTCCACTGGACACATGAGTGATAGGAAAGTGAAACAGACATTGCTGATATGGAAAATGTTTTAGTGGCCTGGGTAGAAGATCAACCAAACATTCTCTTAAGCCAGAATCTAATCCAGAGCAAGGCCCTTATTTAGTTCAGTTATCTGAAGGCTAAGAGAGACGAGCTGGTTGCAGAAGAAAAGTTAGAAGTGAGCAGAGGTTAGTGCATGAGGTTTCAGAAGCCACCTTCATAGCATAAAAGTACAAGGTGAAGCAGCAAGTGCTGATGCATAAGCTGCAGTAAATTATACAGAAGATCTAGCTAAGTAATTGATGAGGAACACTGAACAACAGATTTTCAGTATGTAGAAAACAGCCTTCTATTGGAAGGAGATACCATCTAGGAGTTTCATAGCTAGGAAGGAGAAGTAAATACCTGGCTTAAAAGCTTAAAAGACAGGTTATCTCTCTTCTTAGTATCTAATGCAACTGAAGACTTTAAAGCCAATACTTGCCATTCAGAAAATCCTAGAGCTCTTAAGAATTATGCTAAATATACTTGACGTGTGCTCTATAAATAGAATAACAAAGCCTGGATGAGAGCACATCTGTTTATAGCATGGTTTACTGAGTATTGTAAGCCCACTGTCGAGACCTACTGCTCAGAAAAACATATTCCTTTCTTTTTTTTTTTTTTTTTTTTTGAGACAGTCTTGCTCATTAGCCCAGGCTGGAGTACAGTGGCCCAATCTTGGCTCACTGCAATCTCCGCCTCCTGGGTTCATGCCATTGTCCTGCCTCAGCCTCCAGAGTAGCTGGGACTACAGGCGTCTGCCACACCCAGTTAATTTTTTTGTATTTTTAGTAGAGACGGGGTTTCACCGTGTTAGCCAGGATGGTCTCGATCTCCTGATCTTGTGATCTGCCTGCCTTGGCCTCCCAAAATGCTGGGATTACAGGCATGAGCCAACACGCCCAGCCTATTCCTTTCAAAATATTACTGCTTACTGAAAATGCACTTGGTCACCCAAGAACTCCGATGGAGATTTATAAAGAGATTAATGTTGTTTTCCTGCCTGCCAACAGAGCAGATCCATGCATCAAGACCTTTAAGCCTTACTATTTAAGAGATACATTTCCTAAGGCTATAGCTGCTATCTATAGTGACTCCTCCTATAGATCTGAGTAAAGTAAATTTACAGTCTTCTGGAAAGGATTTGCCATTAGAGATGCCATAAAGAACATTTGTGTCTTGGGAGGGAGTCAAAATATCAACATTAACAGGAGTTTGGAAGAAGTTGATTCCAACCCTCATGAATATCTTTGTAGGGTTCAAAACTTCAGTGGAGGAAGTAACTACAGATAGAGTGGAAATAGCAAGAGAACTAGATTTCAAAGTGGAGTGCTGCAG
The DNA here is from genome assembly GCF_000001405.40 of Homo sapiens. Taxonomy (NCBI): domain Eukaryota; kingdom Metazoa; phylum Chordata; class Mammalia; order Primates; family Hominidae; genus Homo; species Homo sapiens. Next base: position 44,341,659 of record NC_000004.12, on the reverse strand, counting down.
TTTAATGATAAAACTTGAATGAATGAGGAATTGCTTCTTATGAATAAGGAAGGAAAGTGGTTTCTTGAGACAGAATCCATTTCTGGTGAAGATGCTGTGAACATGCTGTGAACATTGTTGGAATGACAACAAAGCATTTAGACTATTCCATAAACTTAGTTGACAAAGCAATAGCAGGGTTTGAGAGGATTTGCTCCAATTTTGAAAGAAATTTCACTGTGGGTCAAGTGACATCAAATACCATTGCATGCTACAGAGAAAGCCTTTGTAAAATCCATCAATGAGGCAATCTTCATTGTTGTTGTATTTGAAGAAATTGCTCCAGCCACCTCAGGGTTCTGCAAACACCACCCTTCTCAGTCTGCACCCATCAACATCTAGGCAAGGATCCTCCACCAGCAAAAGGATTTGGACTTGCTGAAGACCCAGATGATTGTTAGCATTTTTTAGCAGTAAAATATTTTTAATTAAGGTATGTATATTGTTTAGACATAGTGCTATTGCATATTTAATAAACTGTAGTACAGTATAAATAATAACATTAATATGCTTCTGGGAAACCAAACAATTCATATGAATCATTTTATTGCTATGGTCTCAAACCAAACCCACAATATCTCCAAGGTATGGCTGTACATAAGTTCATCTTGTAGACTTTAAATTTTCTTCATGGTATTGTTTACAGTCAGTAAAATTTATAAACATTTTATATATGTTATATATATAATACATTCATATAATATACAATCCTATCACAATGTAGAACATATCATCACATCAGATAATTTCACCGTATCTTTTCCTGTTAATCTTCATCATAACTCCTTCTCCAAGGCAAGCACTCTTCTGATTGTTATCATCATAGATTAATTTTGCCTGAACTTGGACTTTTGGAATCATATAGTATATGCTCTTGAGTGTTCACCCTATTTTGCTCAGGTTTACGTTGTTGCATTATCAGTAGTTCAGTTATTATTATTGCTCAGTAGTATTCCATTTTCAAATACGTCACAATTTGTTTAACTATCGATCTTTAAAATGTACATATGTCGGCCGGGCGTGGTGGCTCACGCCTGTAATCCCAGCACTTTGGGAGGCCGAGGCGGGGTGGATCATGAGGTCAGGAAATGGAGACCATCCTGGCTAACACGGTGAAACCCAGTCTCTACTAAAAATACAAAAAAAAAAAAAAAATTAGCCAGGCATGGTGGCGGGCACCTGTAGTCCCAGCTACTCGGGAGACTGAGGCAGGAGAATGGTGTGAACACAGGAGGTGGAGCTTACAGTGAGCCAAGATCGCTCCACTGCATTCCAGCCTGGGCAACAGAGCCAGACTCTGTCTCAAAAAAAACAAAAATGTACATATGTAAGTTGCCTCCAACTTTTATGTATTATAAATATATTCTTGTACAATTCTTTCAATTCTTTGTATGGATATATGTTTTTATTTACCTTGGGCAAGTCCAGGAGTAGAGTTGTATCAAATTATGTGTCTATTTCATTTTATGAGAGTTCAAAATAGATTTCCAAAGTGGCTGTACATATAGGAGTTTCTGTTTCTCCACACCCTTTTACATATTTAGTGCTGAGAGTCTTTTTTTGTATTTCCCTGGTGACTAATGACATTGAACACTTTTTATGTGCTTATTGACCATTTTTGTGTTTTCTTTTTGATCTGTCTGGTCAAATTGATTTCCAATTTTTATTGAGTTTTGTCTGTTGACTTGAATATATTGACTTGAACATTGTTGTATTGTGTACAAGTCTTTCATATGGTTATTATAAAACTGCTAATTGTTTAATTTTCAAGTATTTGGCAATTATCTGAAATATATTTTTGCTATTGGTTTTTAGTATTGTTGTGATCAGGAAGCATATTATGTATAATTTAAATTCTTTCAAAGTATTGGTCTACCTTGGTGTATGTTCCTTCTCAATTTTTTTTGTAGCATTTTAACATTTACTATTATTTTAAGCTGGTTGAAAGTTATAAAATCTTCTATATCAGTATGGATATTTTTGTCTCCTTGTTGTGTTAATTACTGAGAGAAGAGTGTTAAAACCTTCAACTATAATTACAGAAATGTCTACTCATTTTCATGGTGTCATTTTGTTTGTTTTTTGAAGCTTCATTGTGAGGTATATATATTCAATTGTTATGCCTTCTTGATGGATTGACCCTTTTATCATTTGAATCGACCCTGTTTATTTTGTATAGTCCTCCTTAAACAGAAGTTACTTTGATATTAACCCTAAATTTTCTGAGGTTTAATTTTATCAAGTTGTGTCTTTTGCTGTATGTCTACTCTTAAATCCTGCTCTCAGTATGTTTGGAATTTCTCTAGGGATTCTAAGAACTCTGGAATAATAGTTAGTGCCCCTTTAAAAATTTATTTTGTGATTTGAGGGATTCTTCTGCTGCATATCCAACACTGGTCTCCAAAATTCTTTGTTGTCTTTGACTCCAAAGATTGTATTTTCTCTTTCTTCAATAAATAAGACATGAGTTACTGTTAATATATTTACAATTTTTAAAAGTACTTTTTGCAGTTTTTAAAGAAGGCAACCATATTACAATTGGTAATCACTTTATTAACCCTAAATTTCTATATTACGTGTGGCCTTCAGACAGCTCTTGTGAGTATATTGGGCAGGTAACATTTCCATTTGGGAGAGAAAGTCAGTGAGGCTCAGAATGTGCTTTCCTGTTCAGAAAAGGCCTAATCTTTTTCTCCTATATACTTATTTTCATGTGTGTCTATAAGGGACTTATGAAGAGAGCTTTTTTCTATTAAAATCGCAGATTATTTTTCTCACCATCTTCCCTGCCAATTCCTTGTTCTAAAAAGTTCAATTTTAAATGTATCTACTTTTGAAGATTTTCTCTAATTTGCTCTACTATAGAGTTCTTTAGTAATTATATCTCTTGAAACATGCACTTGTTAAATTATTTATCACAAATTTCAGAAAACTTCTCCATAATATTTTGTAAAAGTTTTTATGTGTTGCATTAAAAAGTCAGAAATCGAAACCACACGTGTGGTATCACTCACGCACACATCCATACGTATCTGTTTTAATATCCTGAGAGCATATCAGAGAAAAAGGCATGTAGCACTACCTATTAAGATATTCCTACAGAAGGCAAATACACTGCAGTTTTCGTAGAGACAAAGCATAAGTTGCATATTGTCATGCATCTAGGTGATTTGTTCTACTCTCTCTGGTCTTTACTGAATAGTTTTCCTAGAGATATAAGCTTTACCTGTTAAACCTTCACTTACCTTTCTCTTAGGTATATTTCAATGCTGTTCTGACATCTTAATATCCTGGATTATGGATTTTACAAAACAGTAAACCAAGTCAGACTATTTTTAATGCTAATTTGAAAAATAACTTTTATGTTCTTTAATATGAAAATGATGTATTTCCATTATGGAATATTCTGAAAATTGAGATAAGCATAAATAAGAAAATACACATCATCTCTAATTTCATTACTAGATTACTATTGTTAACATTTTGCTGTATATTTTCAACCTGTTTACCCCTGTACCTATATATTATTTATAATAAGAGGTTGATGATGCAATGCTGATTTAAATGTATTTTTTTCTCATTAAACAGACTGTGATGATAATTTTATATCACTGAATAATCTTTCACAATATAATTTTATTTGCTGCATAGTATTCTGTTTACTTAAGCACTCATATCCATTTTCATCATAAATATTGCATATATTGTAATAAAGAAATGTGTTTAGTTATAGGGCATTATTAAGCAGAATAAAATATTAGTACTATTCCTGTGACCAGGATATATAATTTTAAATAGTTCAGTTCGTGTCATTTGTACAATTTTGGACTTTTAACATTTTACACACTCAACAATGTGGTATAAATACCATATTATTGCAATTTTTCATGAAGCATCAATTAATGACTAAATATATATACACATATATATATATATATATATTTTTTGAGATCGAGTCTTGCTCTGTCACTCAGGCTGGAGTGCAGTGGTGCAATCTCGGCTCACTGCAACCTCCTCCTCCCGGATTCAAACGATTCTTCTGCCTCAGCCTCCTGAGTAGCTGGGACTACAGGTACACACCACCACAACTGGCTAATTTTTGTATTTCTAGTAGAGACAGGATTTCACCATACTGGCCAAGCTGGTCTCGAACTCCTGACCTTATGATCCGCCCACCTTGGCCTCTCGAAGTGCTGGGATTACAGGCGTGAACCACCGTGCCCAGCTGACTGTATATGTTCTATGAAAACATATAGCATATATGCTATTTTAGGTTATAGTTTTTACTTTTAAAATAACGTAATTTTTTAATTGAAATAATTTTGATCAAGGTCCTTTTTTCATAGGTTTGACCATTTAAAATTGATTTTTAATCATAATTGAACTAATTTATACTCCTACCAGCCTGTCTTTACTGAACGCTGGCCAACAATCTGTTTTAGTTATTGTTTAAACATATTTGCTAATTTGCCACAACAACAAAAATACAGTTTATAATTGATTGTTAGTTAGGTTGAACATTTTAGAGGTGTTTATTACTTGTGTTTCTATCTTCTTTTATGACATATTAGTTCAGATCCTCTTCTGGATTAACCCCCTTTTAGACATATTTACTCTAAATATTTTCCAATTTATCATTTAAATTTTATTTAATTTTTTTCCATAATTTATTCAATCTTTCTTAAACTAAACAGACTTCTCTCGTTTAGAGATTTGTTATATGGCAGTTTCATTTTATTGTTTTATTTGATATACAGTGAAGATATAATTTTATTCTTTTTTAAAAACAAAGCACTAATTAATTATTTCTCTATCTCCTAATAAAGGTATGTAGATATCATACATTTATTGTTTATTATTCAGGATATTTTAATTCATTATATTATGACTGTTTATATTTTCTAACTGTTACTGGTACAGAGAAAAGTTGCTGATTTTTTCAGTTTCATTATCTTCCCGGACATTTAAATGAGATTTTCTTATTTTTTGTTTTTCAGTTTATGATTTGCAAATAGTCATGCTTTCTCTCATAGTTGTAACGCTTATATCTGTTTAATGTCTTGTTGTTTTGTAAACCTGAAATAACATTTTTCGATTTTAATTTTGATACAGGTGCCTTCAGTTACTCACCATAAATAAAATGTTGTCTAATTGAGTATGATAGGCTTCCTTACCCTAAATATTATTTATTTAAAGAGATAATTTATTCTTGATTTTCTAATTGGGTGGTATTGAAACCTATCATATAAATTTTCAATTCTGTGAAGATGTTCTTTTTCTAATTTTTCCAATTGATAAAATATTTATTCTTTAGAGATTCTAACATTAATCAATTTTATATTTCTGAGATGCATCATTGCTAGGTTTGTTAATATTGTTTTTAATAGTCTAATGAATCATATTTGCTAATATTTTATTCAGAAATTTAAATTTTATATTTTTTCTTTTTTTTTTTTTTTTTTTTTTTTTTTGAGACGGAGTCTCGCTCTGTCGCCCAGGCTGGAGTGCAGTGGCGGGATCTCGGCTCACTGCAAGCTCCGCCTCCCGGGTTCACGCCATTCTCCTGCCTCAGCCTCCCAAGTAGCTGGGACTACAGGCGCCCGCCACTACGCCCGGCTAATTTTTTGTATTTTTAGTAGAGACGGGGTTTCACCGTTTTAGCCAGGATGGTCTCAATCTCCTGACCTCGTGATCCGCCCGCCTCGGCCTCCCAAAGTGCTGGGATTACAGGCGTGAGCCACCGCGCCCGGCCTTTATATTTTTTCTATTGTGGGTTGGGGTTCCCAAAAGGTTGTAATCATTTCGTTGAATCAAAGGATGTTTTTCTCTTTTGCACTCTCTAGAAAATCATTTTTCTTGTATCTGTATCTATATTGTAAATATAACAGGGGTTATTTAGGTCTTTCCCTAAAAGTATTTCCTGAAAGTATCCTAAAAAGCAGTTATTTATGCCTTTTTCTAAAAGCATTACAAATTCACAAATAGTTCTCAAAGAAAACTGTCATTTTGTAGCAGATTATTTATCTTTAAAATATCTCCTGAGTTATTTAAAAATTTTTAAATTTACTTCTAATGAATATGTGAGTGAAAATTGTTCTGGGCTCCACCAACACCCCAACAACTCCTGTAGGAAACATATTTTTAAAGTTTCTTTACAACTTTTATTATAGGTTCAGGAAGTACATGTGGAGGTTTGTTATATGGGTAAATTGTGTGTCTCGGGGTTTGGTGTTCAGATTATATGTAAAAGAAGGTATTTTTCTTCCTTTAATATAAAATTGGTAGATGAAATAAATTTATTTTTTAGATTAAAATATTAATAACAACTGAATATCTCCCGTGGCTAATAGTCTTTTCAGCAGTTTCAGGATTTTTGTTTCTTTCTTTTTATTAAGTATTTCACTTAAAATTATTTTCCATTACATTGAGATGATCAACTTTGTTAGAATATACTGGTGCATAGTATCATAATTTCTAAATATTCTTTACATCTGTTATATGTAACTTTTCATCCTAACTTTGTGGTTTCTACCTACACCATTTAAAAAACGTTTTGCCAGAATCAAATCTTGATTAATTGTCCATTTGACTCCTTTTCATTGTCATCTAAAACCATATTTTTATGTTCTTTTCCCTTGTCTAATTGAAATTTCGTCATTGTGTGAATTTGCCAACTATGTGTGAGTGTTCAATAAATGTTGAGAGGTTACTTTCATTTTGGATGCATTCCAGATAATCTGTAATTGGATGTTTGGGTTTCATTTTGATTATTAAGCAATTGAGCAAACTTTCAAAATTTCCAAAGTGTATTTATTTATTTAATGGGCTTATAATTCATGACAGTTACTATTCCCTAATATTTATGGTTCTAATATTGGTGTTTTATTCCTTTGTGACCAGATTATGTACATTAGTTTATATCCTTGGTTTTTCTTTTTGTTGTTGTTATGTTCAAGGATTTTTTTTACATTGTTATATATTCTCCCAAAATTTCTGTTTTAAATGGCTGCACATTATGACAGCATATTATTTTTAAATGTTTTCATACATTTATAATTTAATCCCTATCAGACTTGCATTAATGCAATTTATGCCTTGATGAATACCCTTGTTAGTACATCTTTATGCCCACCTTCAGTTATTTCTTGGAATAAATTCTCAGAACTAGTATGACTGGATGAAATAGACATAAACACATAAAAAAACTAGCGAGGATTTTGTTTGACCATGTATAATTTAATTTCTTCCTTCATCATGATGTATCCAGAAAATGTATCCTGTACAATTTCTGCTTTGAAATTTATAGAAGGTTTCTTGGTTACCTTATAACCAGAATGTGTACTGTACAATGAAGAGAATTTTATCCTTTTTTTCTTTGCTGTATCATAGTAACTAGAAGAAAGCCTGGCACACAGCAGACAACCAATGTATTGAGTGACTTTTAAAACATATTCAGTGGTTCACTGGAATAAAAAATTTATGGTATCTCTCTGTAGGGTGCTAAGTTCAATATACTATAGCTATTAACTCAACTTTATTAATTCTGTTCTTCAAATTCTCTATAAGTTTCCTAATTTCTATCTTTTAAATTAGCTATAAATGGGTAGTGATTTCTCCAGTTGTATGGTGTTCAATTTTTCTCATGCTTCTAACAGTCTGTGATCCATGTATTTTGATTATACCTTTTATGGCATATGAAGGAACATGAATATTATACCTTTCTAAGAATATTAAATGATCGACTTTTTTTCTTAACTTCTTTGGCACCGAATAATATAGCAGTCACTCCTTTTTACTTTTGGATTTGCCTTATGCTTTTGCCTTTCATTTAAAACTTTTCTTTCCAAGGAGTGTCCATCTTCATATATTACTCTTGTATCATGCCTCTCATTCACCTCAATACAACATCACATTCTTAGCTCAGCTCCTAGGTCATCTTATTTTTACTTTCTAATCTGTTACCTATTACCAGATAAAAATGATCACTTAATAAATGTGTGAGGAAATGGATGAGTGGTAAGGTCAATGACTGGTAGCAATCAAGACATTGCTGAAACAACTGTTAGCTACATACTGCTGCTAGAAATCATGAGAGACTTGACCTTAGTTATACCTACCCAGCTTGTGCTCAGCTCTGCCTTTGTTGATTGATACTATGCCTGTGCATCATAGGAGGGTTGTGAGTAAAGCACAATATTGAAGTATTGACTTACATCTTTACTTAAGACAGTAGCCCAGGTTTTTATTAAGAATGTTTCCTATAAAAGCCTTCTTTTGGTTTGCTTGCGACTTATTAAAGTGCATGATATTCTTTATACAGCCTGCTATTGTGTGTAATTTGAGACAGATTCATTATAGGCTGACATCTTTCCTGGTCCCTGTATTGGATTGTCTGTCTTCATCTTTAATATTAATCGGCGACACAGTCTTTTCCAAAGTCTAAAATTGTGCCTGTATATTCTATGAGATATTCATTGCACTGTCTCCCTATGATTATAATGAAGGAACTAGTGTGATCAGTTGGTTATCTGGCCATTAGAAACAAAGAATGACAGACTCTACAATCATTATGGCCAATTGATACAAATAGTTGTGAACATAGCAGGTGTATTGAAATGAATTGGTCTCTGCAATTGACCTTAGTGTTTGTGTTTCAGGTGGTTCTCAACTGAGGGTGACTGCCCTTTGAGGAGACATTTGACAATGCCTGTAAACATTTTTGGTTGTCACAACTGACATCAACAGAGTCAGAGTTGAGAATCTCTGGTCTGTCATGTAAAACCAAGAGCATTTTTGAAACAGTGATATGCATTTGGAACATATGTGATATATGGTACTATAAAAATGGAAACATTTATGATGGAATTTGTATGATGGATTTGTCTTTTCCTAACTATGGAGTTTTCTTTTTTAAAAAAAGAAAGAGATAATAGAGTGAAAAAGAACCTATTTCTCTTTCATTTAAACTTTTCTTGCCTACTGTATTACTGGTAAAAAACAAGTGAGATAATGAGAAACTGTGAGAAATGCTTTGTAAGAAGTAAAATAGTACATAAATGTAAGGTACTGTCACAGATGAAGTCAACAACTAGTTATTGAAAACTTATCTTGTATGAATCTATGGAGAATAAAAATGGTGAATAATATTTCATTCCTTTTTGTGTAAAGACTGAAATTTGTAGGCAGGATTAATATATTTTATAAATGCAAGTACTTGATTTGAAACAGTGTTAAGGTATATTATATAACAGCCATGTGTAACAGAGAAGGCTGAAGGTCCTGGACCATGTTTCTCCATCTTAATTCCAACAGAGCAGATCCAGTCATCTGTTCAAAACATACTGAGTTTCTGTATAGACTGTATTTGAAAAACAGGTTAGTTGCTAAGAAAACCAGGAAAAACACTGGGTGATCTATTCTCACTTATTTGATACTTAAGAACACTGAAATTTAGAGACTGTGTAGCTAGAAAATAATTGAACGATCAGTGAAATTTACACCTCTGATTACTTAGAGCATTTCTTTCAGCGTATTGCATTAAACTTTATTTCTGGTAAAGGAATGAAATTTGGACCATGTTTCAGTTGAGAGTATCTACTAGTTTCTGTAGTGTGACTGTATTTTAATTTTTTTATTACTTGTGCCTTATTTCGGGTTTTTGAAGAATTGGTTTAAGAAAGATACAGTTATTTACGTGGATTATTGTAGGGTTTCATGCCCTCTCTTGCTTTCTCTCTCTCTGTGTATATATATAGCTCCACATACATATCCATATATATATTTTATTTTTTTCATATATATGAATTTATATATATATACACACAGAGAGAGATGTGGATTATTGTAGGGTTTCACTCTCTCTATAAAGCTGTACATATATATATATATAAAACTATATATATGGCTCCACATCTCCACATATATTTCCATATATGTATATATATGTAATTTCAATAAAAATATATACATTTTATAAATTACTATCATCTTCAAAATCAACAGGAAAGATTAGCAGTGAGTTTTCCACTCAAAAATGGTAACGAGTTTTGTTTGCACATTGGTTAATTCATGTGTGTCACATTCATTACAATAAGAACAGTGTCTTCTTGTTAACAACCTATCTATGATCTGTTTTCTCTGTCCAAATCTTTTTCTCAGTTCTTTATAATATGATAAATAATGTTATATAGGGCAGACATATTTTCCAAAATAATATAATTTTACAGTAATAGGGTCGTTAAAGTGCGTTGGAGCTAGTTTTATTTTTATTAGCATTAAATTAAAATGCTCTCAACACTGGGTATGCCTGCCTGTGATTAATACTCTGGTCCTTACTTTTTCCTAACAATATTAGAGGATCGATGATGCAGAATATATATTTAGGGCATGACAATTAGAACTATTCTTTTTATCAAAGAGCTGTTGCCAAACTGAGAAGGAAAAGACAGCTTCAAAAATGTATTTTTTCATATTTTATTTTTTAATGAACTTCCTTTAGAAAGCATGTGAAGCCATCATGCCTTCTCCACATACCTAGGATTGTGAAAAACTTTTCCATTGATGAAAGAATATTTAACATGTTTAATCTACAAAAGTGAAATTTTTCCTGTCTTCTCATAAAGTATCTATTATGCCTTAATAACAACTGATTAGGATCAAGGAAGAGGAAGTGTCACAATGTGGTATGCCTCATATCTTCTCTGGGAAACTGCATTTGTACCAGTACCCCCTCTTCTCTGGCTCAAACAGAAAACTAATTGAAGCATTGAATCATCCTGATGGACACACTGTCTTTGTCATCTCCTTCATTGTCATCATCATCATAAGCAACCCTAGCATGAAATTGAGTACCTACTTTTACTATCTGCTTTGAGCTTTACATATAGTACTTCATTTAATTTTTATAGCAACCTTTTTGGTAGTTTATAGACATATTCACCGAGGCTCAGAAAAATTAATTAATTGAATTATTGAAGTTCACACCTGTGGTAATTGTCAGATTCTCATTTATTACCAGGTCTCTTTGATTTTAGATGCTAGTTTTTCTTCATAACTGGTTCCCACATTTTAACTACTTACTTTTTGTTGTAATACAAAGATGCAACTGGAGCCCTTGCAAAATAGCTAACATTTGGGATACTGATAACATCCATGAAAAATAAAGCTCTGATAAAACATGGTATATGAAACTAATTCCAGATGTAAAAGCTTTCTAAAAAAGTCATAAACTAAGAAGAGAAATTTGGGCTCAGCAGAACTAAATAAAACATTAGTACTATCTAGTGACAGTGTTATGGAAAATAAGGACAGCATTGTTCTGAGGTTTCAAGCTAATAGTCAATGCAGGTATAATTTTCATTAAGTGCGATATCCACCTGAGGTATGACCCACATTTGTAGATTTTATAGGAAATTCTAACAACATATTACTGATGACTATAAGACTAACCAAAAGGTCCACCTAATTAGATTCAAACGTATCTAACCTGAAATGTGAGGTTTTTAGTTACAATGAAAAAAAGAATGATAATAGAAAAAGCTGACATGTTCATTGCATTTTTTTTCTGAATTGATGGGGCTTTTCTATATAGAACATACAGTGGGTATAGTGGCTAGATTGTGAAGTATTGAGATATGAGGTTCCATGATAGATATCATATGGTATTCCTTGTGAATTCCAGTAGATGGAAGCTTCTGTGGTCTTCAATGAAAAGTCAGAGTTACATTTACTGTTGTCTACTATAGCTAAAATCTAGGGATCAAATTTAAAATAGATATTTAAATTTTATGTGAAAAAGACTATTCCAAGAATTATTTGTATCTCAAGAATATTATACTGATAGAGTACTGTTAATTTTACACCTAGCACAGGGGGCTCATATTTTCAACTCACCTTTGTTTTATCATTCAATAAATTTGTTTTACTTATATATGATATACTACAAAAGTTTGTCTTGGGTACTCATGTTTCTAATCTGGTTGCACAAAGCAAGATAAGGGCTAATTGTATTTCTGATTAAGATCAAGAATGTGAGAATAATGGATGTGTTACATCTATATAGAGCTTTACAGTTTATATACAGCTTATATATACAAAACTTTATTTTTTACAATTTATCTTACCTCAGTGTCACTAAAATTAATGCTTACAGAGGGACCCTTTAAAAAATTAGAAGATAAAGTAATACAAACTTATTAGGAAATGTGTAAAATGGGAGAGAATATTTTTCCTTTCCTCAAAAATTCACTCAATAGTTTTCTCATATTTTTCTTCAAGATAAAGAAAAATACTCTCTCAGTTTTTCATTTAGTTTCTTACTGCCTAAGAAACTAAATCTTTGCCAAAAATGCAAGTAATTAGATTGGTCATTTCTTGATATCTCAGCATGTTTTAAATATAACAGATTTCAAGAAAAACAAACCCCAGCGAGGTTGTTTTTTATCGTAAAAAAAAAAAAAGTGGAGGATTTATTCTTGAAGTATTGAAACCCGTTAACTCTTTCAAGACCTAAGGTAATATTTACTTCTTTGATGTAATATTCTAAAAAGAACACTCCTCTTCTTATGGTGCCTAACCATGATCCCAAAACTTAGCAAGACTATAAGAAAGACTTTATAATCTGTCAGTTATGTAGATGAGAAAACAAAAGCCCTGGGAGAGTAAGTATCTTGCACGGTTGGACACCTAAGTGTCTACCGAATGGGGACTGGAACCCAGTTTTCCTTCCCCTTGTACTCCTGTCCTTAGCTGCCATGGAGTGATGGTAAACTTAATCTCTACTGACAGTCAATAATGAAAGAAAGTCCAGAGCTCTGCAATTTTAATAGATTAATGGATTTTCCAAAATTACTTATGGGTAGTTAAGACTCCATAAAAGCTGGAACTATTTTCCCCACTCTGTTCAGCCACATTTATTATTTGTCAAAGCTTAAAAGCAACTCTTTGGATGGCACTGATAATTTAGGAACTTGATTCTCATGATTTTTGCTATTGCAGAATAGTTAATAGTTTTGTGTTTCTAATGGAAAATCATCTAAAACTATTTATGTTAAATAGTTACATGTGTAATGATAACTGTACATTTTATGGATGTCCTACATGTATAGAGTGCAAATTGCTTTAAGCCAGGGAAAGATACATGTGGTAGAGCCGTTGGGATTGGCGAAGTGTATATGTCAATGATGTGGTCATCTAGTACTCAGCTGGGTAAAGACCTCTTTCTAATGCAAATCTATTTGTTGTAGTCAGAGAAGAAACATTTAGTAGGTGTTAGGAGAGATCCTTTAAAAATATAGTAAGTCAATTACGACATGGTTACCCATGCTGTCAACAAATTAACCAATGATTTGGTTTGCTTTCTGTTTGTTTTTCATTCAAGTTTATTAAAGCCTGTTTTGCATACAAGAAGAGTACATATATTTAAGTACACAGTTCTATGAGTTGGTTTACTTTCATGTTGATGTTTTTTGCAAAATGCCTTCTACAGGAAATAATTCTAATCATTATGTGTTTTTATTTGGATCTTGTGTTTGTACTTGGATCTATATATCATCCATTTAAATATTAGTAAGCTAATAAATTAGTATTTGATGTGAGAGAAGCATTACTTCACTTTCCTATAAAAGAAATATGCTTCAAGGAGTATGTAAATCCTCAATGTGCTTTGGAAGTTAGTATTTTAAGACTTTCTTAAAGTTACCAAATGTTTGTATTTTAAATTACTTGGAACAGTGTCTGATACAATGCAAGTGCTTAACAAATGATGGCTCTTTGTAATGATAGATTAAACTTTCACAGCAACTGTATGAGTTAGGATCTACTTCATTTTTATGCCTCCATTCAATAGATGGGGCTGTCGAGGCACAGAGATGTTGAGTGCCCAAGATCATACAGCTAGATGGTGGAAAATCTGGGATATGCATACAGAAAAGGTTTTTGTTTTTTTTCCCCCAGAGTCTTTATATTTTTAATTGCTACCTTTTATAAATATCTAAATAAAATAATAATAGTAATAATGATATTGATAAGTAACCTTATCTCAGACTTCGGTGTTCTTCCTGAGCCTTGATTATTTCAATATACCCTTTGGGATTGCTCTCAGTTCCAATATTTATAAAAACTCTTGCAACCAGAGCTACTGTGGGAAACATTATACAAACATTCTTTATTATTCCATACATCATGTTAGAAATGTTTCATTTGCCAGAATGTGGTAAGGAGAGAACTATAATTACAAGGAAATAGAGATAGTAAGACTGAAGTTAACATATTAAATACTTACCTGGGGGTAAAAAAGTAGATTCTGAGACTAGTATGTGTAGAAAACGGACAGATCGAAACCTGACTTAATTTTAAGTTGTTTTCACAGATACATTGTCCAAACTGCTAGAAGTGGAAGACAGCAAAAAATGTGTGTTTTCAATTTCACTTAATACAGAGTTTGAACCTCCTTGCTATAAAAAGAAGAATGTCTTTTGACCTCTGACTTTATATGTTTCACTTGTTTGAACTGCATTTTTATTTTCTCACAAATTAAAAACTGTATCTTTCGGCAAAGAGCCCATTACAGGAACAAATCTTCCTTGAAAGTGTTCTGAAACAGGCTTCATTTTCATCCTTGTGCAATTTTATTTCCAAACTGAGAGCCAACTGGAGCATGTCAAAAACAGCTGATGAGTAGATGAAGTAATGACTTCTTACATAACAAGATTAGTTTTCCCATTTGGCAGAATAAAGGGATGAGGAATATGAGCTGGTTAATTTCACTCTCAGAATACCTGTTACTCATGCATGGAAATCTTTCTGGAAAACGATTTGCCTTCAAATGTTTATATATTGGAAAGACTGGAGTATTAGTCATGGATATACATAGTAAATAACCAGAAGAGAAAAAACCTAAGTAGACAAACAACTAGACTCATGGACATATGTAGTACATAACAAGAAGAGAAAAAGAGATAACCAGACAAACAACTAGGGTGTAAAGCAGAGGAAGAAAGACATATTTGTTTATATAAGAAAAGAGGAGCAAAAATGTGAAAGTAAAATAATGCTTAAACTTTAAATTGTTTAGGCATATGCAGTGGATAGTAGAGGTGATTATCTTGGTAATTCATGCTCTAACCCTTCAGGTTAGTAAAATATACAGGAGTAGATCTGAGATTTTATTATACTGTGGGCTTTAATTATTCCCTTTCATTAAATCAACTTATAATATAAATCCATGAATTAAAAGTACACGGTACAAAATAGAATCCTAGTTTTAAGTAAAAATTAATGCAAAAAAATGCAGACAGCTACCAAAATAGACATATACACATGCACCCAATCATGTCTAATCATAGTCATTGGTGCTGTTATTGTTCATAAAGGCAAAAATAGCCCAAAATATAAAGTAATATAAGTTGAAAAAAATAGGAAAAACTTCCTTGAACATGGAAGATGCTTTTAACATAGAAGATTCATTGATCTATTCCATGACTAAAACAAACAAATGAAAAAACACAAGGTTGTGAACCTAACTGAAGAAGCAATGACATTACAAGGGATATGTGTTCCACACAACATTTTAGAGTACTTTTCTGATCTGGACATTTGCACAATGACTTCCTTGGTCACGGTTGGCTTGTCTTTACATTCAGAAAGTCTGTCTCAAGAACTTCTCCATTAAGTTTAAATTTTTTCTTAACTGACCACTTTTTGAAGCAGAAGAAAAGCATATCTTATATCTGCACACATTTCTTCCTGTCTTGTTTGTGGTGACTTATACCTAATAACACTAGCTCGATTATATCCCCTGTGAATTAAGGAGATAGGGATACCCCTCCTTCTACAGGGCTATATTTAAATGTTGATATTTTCTAAGTATAGAAATACAGAAAGACTAAGCAAGCCTGCCGATAATATCTTTGTGCCTGGGGCAAAGGTATATATCATATGCCTCAATATTTATTTTATTTTATCACTTTTATTATTATTTAATTTTTATAGGTACATAGTAGCTGTATATATTTATGGGATACATGAGATGTTTTGATACAGGCACGCAATTTGAAATAAGCACAGCATGGATTATGGGGTATCCATTCCCTCAAGCATGTATCCTTTCAGTTACAAACAATCCAGTTACACGCTTAATTTTAAAATTTCATATGCCTATTTAAAGTAATTTATCA
Source organism: Homo sapiens (assembly GCF_000001405.40). NCBI lineage: Eukaryota > Metazoa > Chordata > Mammalia > Primates > Hominidae > Homo > Homo sapiens. The sequence goes on along the minus strand of NC_000004.12, from coordinate 44,325,445 downwards.
AATAAGCAAGTTGTTAAATAAAATAGGCTCTGTCTTCATACTTTGACCAACATATGTTCACAAGAACCTAGAGGGCTAAGTTTAAATTTAGAATTTTCAGATGTCTCAGAGTTCTAGAATATGGCAGTTCTAGGAACAGTATTCCTTCGCCCTCAACTTTCAGTCTTTATTCCGTTCTCTTCACTTTGAATTTCTCCTGTATTTTAAAGGATCTTACATACACACCTCACGTACCACAATTTGCACATCCAGCTTCCACCCAAACCACCAAAGAAATAGCTGTGGCTAGATATTTACATAGGGTGCATTCAAACAGACAATTGCATTTAAAGTTATTTTACCCAGAATTATAGAGCTTTGGAGTTAAGCAACACGTAGAAATTCTTGCCTGAAAGAAGATTATCTTTCCACCCTATTTGTTCTCATGCTTATATAATCTGATCTGATCTTTAAAACAGTGGTGTGCGATAGAGTTGGCAGCTATATCACTGGTAAAGAAAATAAAGTTCAGGGATGTCAAGACAGTTACATAAAATCACAATTAGTAACATAAGGCCAGTCTGAAATTGGAACATTCAAATTTCAAATTCTTTCCTCTTAAAAAGAGAAGTAATTGATAATATGTTGGTGAATGTTAAGCAACCAGATGCTCAGACATTTAAAAAGTCTTATATTAAGAAAATAACATGTTTATCAAAAGTCTCCAAGGGGAAGCCAATATTGATATTAGAACATGAGCAGAAGAATCTTTATTCCTAAAATACTATAAGGAAAAATTCATCAGCCTCAGGGGCAATTGAAAGAAAAATTAAACATTGAAGGAAATTTTATGGTTAATATTTATTAGTCAACTTTAAGATCGAAAACCATGTTCACATTATTTGTCAATGTTTTACGACTGTGCTGGAAAGTTCCAGGAGAACTTGGAAAAAGTGGAAACAAAATTACTTTCTGACAGTTAAACTGTGAAGTAAATGCATCAGATCAGAGACATGCAAATTTCCCTGAAAGAGAAAGATTAGCTTCTGCAATTGTTAAGACTAAACTTATTATAACTGAAGACAGTAAAATATCAAAAGAAAGAATGTACCCATCAAAAAAGAGTTAGTCATAAAATGAAGTATGGAAAAGAGAGGATCTCAGAATTAATAGCTTGACTGTGTCAATACAAATATGGTCTAGAGGAGAGGATGTCTTTGTCAACAACCTGAATATTTAAATCTAATTGGAAAAACCATCCCTAAAGTTGGTATGTACATACCAGGCTGGCCTATCCTGCCATTAAATATTTAATTCATTTAGCCCTCTATTTGCTCTAACTCTGTACTCTCTGGACTTTCTTGTGATAAAAATTTGGTTTCCTTTTTTTTTTGTTTTGTTTTGTTTTGTTTTTTTTTTTTTAATTATACTTTAAGTTTTAGGGTACATATGCACATTGTGCAGGTTAGTTACATATGTATACATGTGCCATGCTGGTGCGCTGCACCCACTAACTCGTCATCTAGCATTAGGTATATCTCCCAATGCTATCCCTCCTAGAACAGTCTATAATGGCTCATTATTGCTTGTTGGAGTGAGACAGACCAGGCGATGATAATGTTTTATTAGGGTTTTTCTGGCTTGTATATCAATCAAGAAACATTCTAGTATGAGACTATTATTTGCCCAAACTTATTTCTTATTAACAGATTTTTGATACTTTTGAAATCTTCCCATGTTAAACAAATACATGAAAACTATTAGGTTGGTACAAAAGTAATTGTGGTTTTTGCCACTGAAAGTAATTTTTCATTTTTCCAGCAGCTCTCATGAAGGATTCTAAGGATGGGATAAAAAAATCAAAGGATCCCAGGGCAAGTGGTGAGTTGTAGACTTGTCATACGTTTCCTGAACTATTTACCCTGAACACTATTTTTTTTAATTTTTAATTTTTTTTGGGGGGGGGTGGGTGGGGATGGAGTTTCACTCTTGTCGCCCAGGCTGGAGTGCAGTGGCGCAATCTCAGCTCACTGCAACCTCTGCCTCCTACGTTCAAGGGATTCTCCTACTTCAGCCTCCCAAGTAGCTGGGATTACAGGCGCCAGCCACTACACATGGCTAATTTTTGTATTTTTAGAAGAGGGAGGGCTTCACCATGTTGGCCAGGCTGGTCTCGAACTCCTGACCTCAGGTGATCCACCTGTCTTGACCTCCCAAAGTGCTAGGATTACAGGTGTGAGCCACCGTGCCTGGCCACATGTTATTATATGAAAATAAAATATTCATGCTACCCAAAGTGATCTTCACATTCAGTGCAATCCCTGTCAAAATACCAATGACTTTCTTCACAGAAATAGAAAAAGGTCATCTTAAAATTTGTATGCAACAACAAAAGACCTCAAAAACCTAAAGCGATTCTGAGCCAAAAAGAACGAAGCTGGAGGTATCAAGCTACCTAATTTTAAATTACACTACAAAGCTATATTTACCAAAATAGCATGGTACTGGCATAATAACAGACACATTTATCAATGGAACAGAATAGAGAACTCAGAAATAAATTCATGCACTTGTAGCCAATTTATTTTACCAAAGGCACCAATAACATACATTGAGAAAAGAACACTTTTCAATAAATAGTGCTGAGAAAACTAGATATCTATATGCAGAAGAATAAAAATGGATCTCCATCTTTCAACATATACAAAAATTAACTCAAAATAGATTACAGACATAAATGTAACACATGAAACTGTGAAAGTACTAGAATAAAATATTGAGGAAATGCTACAGGACATTGGCCTGGGCAAAGATTTTTTGGGTAAGAGCTCAAAAGCACAAGCAACCAAAGCAAAAATAGACAAATGGTATTATATCAAGCTAAAATGCACAGCAAAGGAAAAACATAAAATGAAGAGACAGTCTACAAAATGGGAGAAAATATTTGCAAAATATCCATCTGACAAAGGATTAATTACTAGACTATATTAAGGAACTGAAACAACTCAAAAGCAATAAACCAAATAATCCAATTAAAGAATGGGCAAGACCTGAATAGACATTTCTCAAAAGAAGACATACAAATGGCCAATAGTGTATGAAAAAAATGCTCAACATCATTAATCACCACAGGAATGCAAATCAAAACCACAATACAATATCATCTTATTCCAGTTAAAATGGCTATTATAAAAAAGACAGCAATTAAATGCTAGCAAGGATGTGGAGAAAGGGACCACGTGTACACTGTTGGTGGGAATGTAAAATGGTATAGCCATTATGGAAAACAGTATGGAAGTTTCTGAAAAACTAAAAGTAGATGTATCATATAATTTAGCCTTCCCACTGCTTGGTATATAACCAAAAAAAGGGAAATCAGTAAGCTGAAGAGACATCCACACTCTCATGTTTATTATAGCATTATTTACAACAGCCAAGATACAGAATCAACCTAAGTGTCCATCAGTGCATGAATGGACAAAGAAAATGTTGTATATATGCACAATGAAATATTATTCAGCCATAGAAAGAATAAAATCCTGTCACTTCAACAACATGGATGGAGCTGGAGGTAATTATGTTAAGTGAGATAAGCCAGTCAGAGAAAGACAAATATTACATGTTCTCACTCATGTAGGAGCTAAGGAAAGTTTATCTCATGGAGGTAGAGACTAGAAAGGTAGTTAGCAGAGGCTACAAAGGAAAGGAGGAAGGAGTGTATGAAGATAAGTTTGTTAATGGGTACAACAATACAATTAGAGAAAGGGAATGAGTTCTAGTATTCAATAGTACAGTAGGGGAATTATACTTAACAATAATTTATTGCATATTTCAAAATAGCTAGAAGGATATTGTAATGTTCCCAACACAAAAGATAAACGTTTGAGGTGGTGGATATCCCAGTTATCCTGATTGGATTATTATACATTGTATACATGTATCAAAGTATCACATATACCCCAAAAATAAGTACAGCTATTATGATATATCAAAAAAACATAAAACAAACTAAAACACGGAAAACAGTGATCCCCTTTGGATTAGCCACTGTAAGATCTGTTACCTATGCCCAAATACAGTCATTAAGTGACACAGTAAGTCTTAATTTGAAAATTGTTGCCATCAAGTTGAGGAACATGGCAAATTCATTAGTTAAGTCAACAAATGATATCAAGTGCATACTGTTTGTAAGGTCCTTGGTGGACAATAGTGCACAAAAATAGCATTGTTCCTGATTTAATAGCTTATATAGTTAAAATAGGGTTTAAGACACGAGGAAGTAAGAGTAACTAAAAACAAAACAGGTATTTAAACAGATACTTTGAAGGAAATAAATGCAGTGAAGTGATAAGCTAAACAAGGTAGAAAGTATTCACCTAGGATGGTTGATGAAGGTTGCTATGACAAATGGCTCTTAGCCCATGAGCATTACAAGGGACAGATTCTCGGCATGTAAAACACATTTACAAATACACCTGGGAATGCTATTTTTGGCACCTTCCAGTTTCACTATCAGGCTTCTCCTCTCACTTAAATCTTGTTATCCTTTTCCTTGCCTTCTTAAAATATCTTCAATCAGAAAAACAAACAAACCAAAGTGCATTAGCAAAGAGGAGGTATTAATTGGCTTTTTTTTTTTTTTTTTAAGAATCAGGAATAAACAGTGGATTTTTCCATTTCACTCTGTACTATTCTTCCAGTCACTATCGCACAGGGATTTATTATATGTTCATTAGCATTGTTTTCATTTATTAAAACACAGCTACTGCTTTACTGTTGTGCATCCCAGTCTTTCAATTTTGAAACCTTTCCTGAAAATAAATCCAGAGTCTTCTTAGGTTTTACTTATGCTTCTAAAATAAAAATGCTTTATTTGGTGAGGTCTATTACTCAGTGATTCTCTCTATACCACCAAAATGTATGATGCTTTATTTCACAATATTTATAGGGAAAAAGTCCCAATGAGTAGGCATAGCTATATATCTGAATCATAACATGTATTCTCATAACTTAGGGAAGTTCCTTAGAATCTAAAATGAGATTTTAATTGAAGAAAATTCCAAAATATCCCTCTTTAAAGTGCCCTTAAAAGAACTTAGTTGCAAATTTAAAAGCCCCTCCAGATCTGAGAGTTCTCAAATGAGGGGTCATGTTCTTTATTGAAATTGTCTGGAAAGGTACATAGATAGTGTAGGAAGGGATGGGAGTGATTTGCTCCAGGATTTGAAGCCCCATGGAAGCAGACTAGAGCATCAATTCTCTCTCTCTTTTTTTTTTTTTTTTTTTTTTTTTTTTTGAGATGGAGGCTTGCTCTGTCACCCAGTGTGAGGGCAGTAGAGCCATCTTGGCTCACTGCAACCTCTGCCTCCTGGGTTCAAGTGATTCTCCTGCCTCAGCCTCCCAAGTACCTGGAATTACAGGTGCTCACCAGCACACCCAGCCAATTTTTGTATTTTTAGTAGAGACGGGGTTTCACCCTGTTGGCCAGGCTGGTATTGAACTCATGACCTCAGGTAATCTGCCTGCCTTGGCCTCCCAACGTGCTGGGATTACAGGAATGAGCCACTGCGCCCGGCCTAGAATCTCAGTTCTATAATGGCTCCTTTCTCATTGGAAGTCTTATTGAGACATGGAGAGAGTTCAAAAAACATAAGGCTTTCTGGAAAAACACCTATAATTTGCAACTTCCAGTTTCTTTACTTTTTGGTATTGAGATTCCAGACTCTATTTTTTGGCCTTCCAAATTCTTTACTTTTTGGCATTCCAAATTCCAGATTCTTTTCTTTCCTTTCTGAGATTTTCTCATCTCTGAGAGGAAGTTCATAATAATTCTTCAACTTGATGTGAGAATTTAACTAGACAACTCATCTCCACAGCTACACAAGGAAGGGCTCATGGCGTAGAAGTGATTTATCTATTATTTTATATTTAAGCATTTTACTGTAATCCCAGCTTCTTTTCTCTCACTCCGTATTTTTGCCCTGTGTTGCATTTTTTTTTTTTTTACCACAGGGGTACTCAGTCCCTAAATCCTCTACTTTGATCTCTGTTAGTCACCTTTAATTCTGCTTCCTTCGCTATACATTTTAGACATCATGGCCAAATACCAGTCTCCTGCTAATCCCCCACTCCCCTGCTGGGCGAAACTCCAACTATTGGCCTCTTTTGTACTCTTACTCAGGCTGTGTAAACCTATTATAGAAATTACAAACTGAAGCTTGTGTCACTACAAAACAATGATACCTATCCTCAATTGAAACCTCAGTATTTCACCAGTACTTCAGTATTATCCAAGTTCTCTCTATCTTCCATTATCTGTGGCAGCTATTCCAACTGCCTTTGAATTTCTTAGGTTAGCTAATACCTAACATACTCTTTGTACTTCAGGTAGAAAATAAAAGCAATAGAATGAAAACCTTTGCAATGTCCTGCCATCAATTTCTAGATTGCGTCCGCATCCTTCATTTTTTGCCTTTTCTCCTTCCTGCCATCTTACCTAAAGTGAATTATTTTATCTGTGCCAGGATTCTATTCTTTTCTGCTTTTTCAAGGATACATTTAATAAAGTATTCCCTGTCACTCTTTTTTAATCTCCTTTCTGTCTCAAGGCTTCTTCCACTTTTAAATTTGATGTATTCTCTTCTCTCCCAAAAAAGAACAGCAGCAACAATAAATAAGTTAACAGAAGTCTACAATTTAATCACCTATCTCCAGCCCACATGTAGGCCTATTACTCTTCTTCAAGTCAAACTTTAAAATGTTGCATGTGTTCACGTTACTTGTTTTCTTCAAATCTCAGCCATTCCTTAAGTTGCTGTTCTCGGCCCTCTTCCCTCACTATGTCAGTTAACCTATCTCCAAGGTATCCAATGACATCCTTGTTTCTATATCTAGAGCCACTTTTCTACCCACATCTGACTTGAAGTCTCTGCAGTATTTAGCAATATTGATTATTCCTCCTAGTAAAACATTTTTTTTAAGTTTCACGTTCCAGATGACATCTTGAGCACAAAGATCTAGCTCATATCTTTCCAAAGTTCTCATAGACCCATCAGAAATTTCACAAAAACAAGCCAGGCATTGTAGCATGCACTTCTAGTCTCAGCTACTTAGAAGGCTGGGACAGGAGGATTGCTTGAACCTAGAAGTTTGAGGCTGCAGTGTGCTATCATTGCACCACTTTGAGCCTGGGTTATGTAGTGATACCCTATCTCTAAAAGAAAGAAAGAAAGAAAACAGACAGTATGACATCATTACAATGATAATAAACATAAACAAATGCAAGCAATGGATCAGAAATGTTTATGTGATAATTGGAATATAGAAAGCAGACTACATAGTATTGATGTAGAATATCCTGCAAAAATTGGAGCAAATGATACCAGATATAAGCAGGGGCCTCCCAAGGGAGTCCAGAGATGCTTCAACTTCAGAGTCAGCAAATGCAAAGACCAGTGTAAATCAACCAGCTAATTTATGAAGTAAATGCCTTTAGAAACATCTGAAAGAGATGCATTCCATTCCTGTTCCATTGTAAACCAAGTATCTAGCAATTGGAGTTTTTGACATCCAGATAAATCCTGAGAATTCTTCCCTAAAACCAGAAAGTAATCTTTGTGGGCACTGCTACTAGTGAGTATTAGAGTGAGAAAGAAGTATCACAGAAGTTAAGGGTAGCTTTCATCAAGAGTTGGCAAACTTTTTAACCCATTTATGCCAGAGATTGCAATTTTTTGAATTTTTCCATGAGTGAAAAATCAGACCTTGGCAATGACCTTGAGCTGTAGGATATAAGTAATTCCCACATGCTTAGCACTCCACTAATGGAACACTAGGCATAAGTGGGTTAAACAGAGGATCGTGTAGTAAGTGTTTAGGCTTTGTAGTTACAACTACTCAACTCTGTCATTACAGCAAGAAAGCACCCGGGCCGGGCGCGGTGGCTCACGCCTGTAATCCCAGCACTTTGGGAGGCCGAGGCGGGTGGATCATGAGGTCAGGAGATCGAGACCATCCTGGCTAACAAGGTGAAACCCCGTCTCTACTAAAAATACAAAAAATTAGCCGGGTGCGGTGGCGGGCGCCTGTAGTCCCAGCTACTCGGGAGGCTGAGGCAGGAGAATGGCGTGAACCCGGGAAGCGGAGCTTGCAGTGAGCCGAGATTGCGCCACTGCAGTCCGCAGTCCGGCCTGGGCGACAGAGCGAGACTCCGTCTCAAAAAAAAAAAAAAAAAAAAAAGAAAGCACCCATAGGCAATACATAAACAAATGTGCATGGTTCTGTTCCATTAAAACTTTGTTAGATATATTAACTCCTGCTGGAGACTCATAAAACAACAAAAAAACAAAATGAAAGGAAACATAGCTTCATACAGCAGTAAAATGATTCCTTCTGTGCCCAATTACAGCCTCCTTACTCTAACAAGTTTAGGAGTCTGGTTTCCTGTTTGTTTTTTTTTTATTATTATTTTATTTGTTGTTGTTGTTGCTGAGATGGAGTCTCGCTCTGTTGCCCAGGCTGGAGTGCAGTGGCACTATCTCGGCTCACTGCAATCCCTGCCTCCTGAGTTCATGTCATTCTTCTGCCTCAGCCTCCCAAGTATCTGGGACTACAGGCGCCGGCCACCAAGCTCGGCTTATCTTCTTTTTTTTTTTTTTTTTTTTTTTTTTTTCGTATTTTTAGTAGAGATGGGGTTTCACTGTGTTAGCCAGGATGGTCTCGATCTCCTGACCTTGTGATTGGCCCGCCTCGGCCTCCCAAAGTGCTGGGATTACAGGCATGAGCCACCACGCCCGGCCTGATTTCCTGTTTTTTATCTATTCAAACTATAAGAAGATTACCTGCTGACATACCTCAATATTTCTATAGAAATTGCGATTGATATTCCAATTTAAGGGAGTAATCATCTAGAAGAGACATATACAACTGGTGAGAAAACACATTTGGCTCGGCACACTTGTTAACATAGTACGTTTATATTTATGAATGACGAACAGCATGACATCTGAAGACAACATCATCAAGAGAAAGATCCAGGATGAACTAAAAACAAACCAAAACAAATCAACCCTGGAGGAAATAGAGATAATGCAGAGAACAAAAAAAACAAAACAAAAGAAACCTTAACAATAATTCTTATTGCCCTTATAAATATTTAGGTGTAAATTGAATCTATTGGAAAAAATGTTTATAAATTTAATAAATGAGTGTGGAAATAAAAAAGATAGCCAAAGTCCAAAAGGTAAAAATCAACATAGTTAAGATATATAGCAGAACAAATTATCTCAAAAAATAGCAATAAGTAATCTGAAAGAAAAAAATCAAGGAAATTTGACAGAATTTGGACAGAAAAGAAACAGAAGAAAATGATTATGAGGAAAGTTAAGTAATAAAAAAATGGGAAAAAGAGCCCGCAAAAGGAGTGCTAGATGGAGAGTAGAGAAACACTAGTTTGTCTTATCTGATGTACTGTATACATGGGTAGAAAACCTAAGTCTTCAGTTGCTGAACAACATCAGGCAAAATGACTCAAACAGTAAAAATTTCATAATATCAAGATTAAAGAGAAAAACCTTAAAACTATTTAGAAAGAAATAAAACAAAGTATATTGCATTATGTTGATTTCAAAGGATTGGCACTCAGAAAGACATCAGACTTCTCGTCAGCAACATGGAACCTGAGAACAATGACTTCCTAAGTCTGAGAGGAAAAAAAATGTTTTAAACCTAGAGTTCTACAACTGGATGTGTTATCAATCAAATGTGAGGGTAAATTATACACTTTTTCAGGCATAGAATAACTAAGAAATATCATTATGTATATTTACTCTGTGAAAACAATCATTTTAGGGAGTTTTCCAGAAAATAAAAAGATACTACCCTACTCCAAAATATGAGACAATATAGAATACAAAAATAGAGTAACTAGTGAATCTTATCCAGAAGATGGGAAGGAAGTTAGAAACAAGTTTTCAATGGCTTGTTCTTACATCTGTATGGGTTCAATCTAACTTTTTAATTCTGTGGTACATAATGTTTTCATAATCACATGTTAAATTATGCACTGTGGTTTAACCTTTTTGTATTAAGCTATAGAAACAGAAAATTCTCTTTAGGATGCGTATTTACAGAAGAGAATGTAAAAGTTATAAGCCCTTAATAATTTTTCTTAAAATTTTTTAAGAAATGGAAGAAAAGATAGAGCTTAAGGAGCTAATTTTCTTTCTTTTAATCCAGGGTAAAATAGATAATATTAAGTGCTAGCTTTAAAAAAAGAAATTACAATTTGTCATGTAAAGAAAGAAAGTTTTAAAAAGTGAAAACCCAAGAAGAAATTAAAATGATTAACTCACAAACATTTGGATGTGGAGGGAAAGGGAGATGAGGGATTGCATAAAATCCCTAAATTTTTCATCTTTAAAGGTGGCAAATAATGGAGATCTAAAGCTGATAATGATATAATAAAATTTTAAGTGTCATATTTGAAAACTTAACCTCCAGATGTCCTAAAGAGTAAAAGATTAACACTGGTTGACTCTGAGGTAGAGGAGGAGGAGTATAAGTTTTTTTTTTTTCCTGTTTTTTTTTTCACAATGTCTTTGAATTATTTCTATAATAAACATTTAAATATAAATTTAAAATATTAACTATGCTATATTCATACAATGGAATATCATCCAACCATTAAAAATAATATTATAAATCTCTATGTACTGATAGTGAAATATATCCACAATCTTTTAAATAAAACAAGTAAGTTGCAGAATATATGATATGATCCCTGCTGTGTAAATGTGCATGTTTATGCATATAGATGTGTATATTTATATATGCATAGAAAATGTCCAGTGAGATATCCATAAAAATGTTACTAATGTCTTTTTGTGATTTAGATTGTGTCAGGCAGAGGAAACATTATTCATTCTTAATGCACATTTTATTGCTTGGATCATAGTATAAGGAGCATATATAACTTGTGTAATTAGGGAAATAAAATATCTTATTAATTGGCTTCTATGATACTGCGTTTCCCCTCCTACTTTCCTGTCCATGCTTTCTCATTTGTCTTTATTTTTCAGCTACAAATCTAAATCATCAACACAAATATCTTCTGTAACTTCAGCCTAATATATCTAACTACCACCAGCTGCATCTACTTTTATGTCCCACAGTATTTCAAACTCACTTTTCCAAAACAGAATCCTCTATCTCTCTGTTTTTTCTCACCAATAAAAGCAACCTGTACCATTGTTTAGCTTTCCCTTCTTTTCCTTATGAATGAAGTCTCCATCCCACCAGTTACCAAACTTAGACCTTGGGGTAATATCATTAACCCTCCATCTTCATGACTGAGAATATCCAATCACTAAATCCTTTCTATTTGACCTTCTGTATCTTTTAACTTCATTAATTTTACTTTCTTGTACAGCTCCCCTTATCAAAAATGTTTAGCATATTTTACATGACCATTCATTGTCTGGCCACTGATTTACCTCTTGAGCCTTATCTCTCATGACTCTGTTCTTTGCACAGCCTGTTCCATTTCCGTAAGTTTGGCAGATATGCCTTACAGGCTTCTGCAAATGTTGTTTTCTGTTGGAATGTCTTTCCTCACATCCCTGCTTGGCCAACTCTTGCCTTACTCTTTTAGTTAACAATTAAGACATTCTTCCTGAATCATCCTGTGCCTATTCTGTCTCTCTGTCTTATAAGCATTTATTTATTAAACTAGGTTTCTTATTAGGATATCATATCTCCATTGCCTAAGCTAGTGCCTGGTAAACTGTAGATACTCAATAGTTTTGTATTAAGTGATTAGTGAATGATATATGTCATTTTCCTAAACAGGACCTGGCTTATTAGATGGGTTAAATGAACGGCAATTACTAATTTTTGAAGCACTTAACAAATCTACTCATTGCTAATCATTAACAGGTAGGAGAAAACTTATTTTCATTGAGGAGTTTATTGTGATCCAGAAGCTCTTGTTGCCTCAAAATAAATAAAATAGAAAATTCAAGAGCAGTTTTATTAAAGAGTATAGGTACTCTACCACGGCCAAGTGATTCACCTACTTTAGGGCATCACTGCCTGACAGACCACAAGACCATATGGCTATTATCTTCACTACGACCTGCTGTAACCCCAGAGAAATATCTCCCTTTGTTAATGTGTTCAGTTAAATGCTTTAAGTAGGTAGTGGCGCTCACCCTGCATTTGATGCCACTGATGAGCAGAAGTTTTGGGCAAAACACTAGAAGTGTCACCTTGCTCTGATAGGAGCTAATGGGCAGATCGCAGATACAGACAAGTCCCCAGTTTTCATGGAGTTCTTCAGAATACATGCTTCCTTCTCTGGGCACAGCAGGGCACACCAAGGAAATTTGTTCCAGGAAAGTTACCTACTGCTTTGGTGTTCTTATTTTATGAGAGATGATTATGAAAGTGACCTCAAAAATGGGGGGAAACAGTATGAGTTTGGAAAGATAGTCTGAATCAGGATATCAGCTAGTAAGGGAGTAATGAGAATGCCAATTGCCTCCTCCCAACTGGACACATTGAAAGAAGTTGAGATCCTTCAAAGCTGGAAGGACCCTTTGCTGGAAGAGGAGGAAAATCCTGGCCCCAGCTAGTTCATTGCCGGGCTGTTTCAGGAGACTACCTGGATCAATCATCAAACAAACTTGTTTTCCCATGAAGATTAAAGCCTGTATAAAATATCAACAAACAAAAGACAAATAATCTATGGATATGTGTGTATAAAAACATAATATTTATGCATAAAGAAGTTATGGAGGGATGCATATCAAACTTTGGTATTAAAAGTGGCAGAGATGGGGGATATGTAATGCTTTTTTCATATATCTATGTAAATTTGCTTTCCAGGTGCATCAGTGTGTATACAGAAGTTAGTTCTGTATTCATACGGTAGCTATTCTTTCTCTATTGCTTTTTTTCAGATTTTAGTGCTTGAATAATTTTATTTACTCTTGCATTAGAAAACAAAGTAAATGATGGAAAGGAAAAACAAAAGACCAACATCAGTATTAATCGTGTCTTCATTTTACCCTGAAAAGATAACAGATTATTGATCCCCAGAGATTCAAGTCCTGGCTTGAATGCCCTTTCTATTGCAGATGCAATTAGGAAGTCTATTCAGTTCAATTTAATAGTCCTTTCAAGTAAGTTACCTGACTTAAAACACCCAACATTTGGTGAGCACCTAAATGTGCTTTGAGAAATAAAGAGAAAGAAAACACTCCCGCCACTCTCAAGGAGCTCCCAAAGAGCTCTATATATCATCTGAAAAACCTTTGAGGAACATTTTCCAATATTTTTTACTTAGAAATCTAAAGACATATACCTTTCCCCATACATGTGAATTATCCAACTTTTTAAAAAATCATGAATAGATACACCCCAAACTCAAAGAAGAATGTGAGACTTGTAACTGAAAGTGGAAAGTGGCACTATAAAATAATTATGATTCTTTATTTCTGATGGGTGTCTACAAAAGTGTGGGCAGTCTAGTTATGACCACAGGTCTTCATTAGTTTCAGTTATTTAAGCTCTGTACTAGTTCAGTCCATTTAAGTGTCATCTAGGATGCTGACACAGAATCAAAATAATGACAATGAAGGAACCAAGAGGAATAAAACGGCAGTAATCTGCTTTTTCGATCCAATCAAGCCACGGAGTTGAGAGTTACAAATAAATTAATTTGGCATTTTCTTTTTCAGAACCTGAATCACTTGCATCTCAGCTCCACACTATAAAGACCATTTGTTATTACTGTGCTTTGGACTTGTTTTATAATTTCACCATCTGTTGAATGTTAAATACTGTATATCTTCACTTGGTTTTCAACATTGTAATGACAGCCTCACTATCTGATTGGCAAGGAGGGTGAGTATTCTTACATTGCAGTAAACATACCATGGCATCTGCTGATGACTTGAATTTTAAAATATAGCTTCCTTAAAAATAAGGTGGACAATATTTTTTACTGTATATACCTATAGTTTGAGGTTGAATGAACAATTTTTTCCTTCCAGCTGATTGATTTGGATGTAATGGGTAAACAGGAAAATTATCTACATTTGTGGTGAAAGAATCTCCTCTTATTATCAGAGAAAATGATTTGGAGAAGGAAGGCAACACCGTGGAAGATAGAAAAATTAAGGTGGGGAGAGAGAGAGAGCACACGTGCTCATTGCAGATATTGTCTATTTTGTCATTTAAATTATGGGTATAAAATATTTTTGAAAATTTTGGAAGAGAAGAATGACAGAAGAAATAAGAGTCTAAAAGCTGTTTGTGTTTTGGATTCTAAGAGATTGGTTGGATTGTTATTTATAGACAAATTTGAAGGCCTAACTCTTTTGAAGAAAGGATCTTAGAAAACTGTTTGCCTTAAGAGGAATCATCAAGATGAAATTCAGAACTAAATGAAAAAAAAATACAAAGAAGAGAGATATAGGGGTTGCAGAAGCATGGAACAATTCTGCTTTGTTCTGGTCTTGTGATCTATATACTTGACATTCCAGCTAGTGTGAAATAAATGGATTTATAAGGGTTAATGTATTTTACTGAATCCAGAAAATAATTAATTTATATGTAGTGTCTGCACACCCACTCACACAAATAAAAACAGATTTCTTATACCATAGACTAATGAAGTTGAAAGATTCTCAGACACTGAAATAGGTTAATAGGATTTATAATTAAAACACAAACTTTTAATCACATTTACAATTTCTCTGCACATTGGTGGTAACTAATTATGTTTTATTCCTCTGGTTTACTCACGAATCTGATCATTGGTTCTTGTAGTGAATTAATGTTACCAAGACTGCTAACTTTGAAACATTTCAGAGCATAAACTTTTATAGTAAAATAGAAAGCCTATGATCTTGAAGTAGTTTCTTTTTGTTTTCCCCCTGAAAGTGATTAACCAGCAATGCCAGTGGTTTAGGCCATATCAGGAGACAAGCTTAGAAGAAATTAGTTTGCTGAAAATGTGTTAAAAATCTGTATTTTTATTTTCATTTTTAATATGTTGATTGTTTCATAAATCTCTCTGCTCCCATTTTTATTGCAGCACTAAAATCACTGAATTCAACACTTAATTATACTTAGTGTTTCTTGGCCTAGAAATTATGTATTAAAGCTGTTTCTATGTTCAAAATTAGATTATGCGTGAAGTCCCCATTGTACAAGCAGCATTTATGCTATCAATTGGTTTCACTGGATTACATATATCACTGGAATACATATCAATCTATTTATTTCACTGGACTACATAAGTTTTAAGTGTATCTCTAAAATGTCACATATTTCAGAGTTTTACATATAAACCAAAAAGGTTATATTTCTTCTCAATTGAATCTAATTTAATAATACCAGGTCCCATGTTTTAAAACAATATACATTTCTTTCTTTTTTCAGTTTTTCTCTTTTAAGGATCTCTCCAAGGACTTAGGTATTTGAAAATGATATAGATCCTATGACGACATTACCTTCAAAAATTTGATACTGCGTAAGGCAACTGTGAGCATAAATAATTTTAGTATTTTACAACTAAAATTTAGTATTTTAGTTCGAAAATACTAGAATAGAATCTTATTTATGGAATTTAATGGATTCTCTTAGAATCAAAAACACAAAAAGCTTTTAGACTCATTATCCTTTTGTCATTTTCCTCTTCCAAAATTCTCAAAAATATTTTATACCCATAATTTAAATGGCAAGTCAATATCTGCAATGAGTGCTCTCTCTCTAATGTATTCTAAATTTTAGTATTTAGGACTAAAATTTAGTATTTTATGTTCATACACCTTTTTGAAATTTATAATTAGCTTCATTTTGTGACAGTTATAAAATTCAACAGTACAAGTTGTTGAATATGTTGTGAGTAAAAGAGAATTAAGCATAGCTGAAAGGCTACTGGATTTTCAGAATATTGTTGATCCTCAGAATAATATAATTTGTAAAAGATATATCTTCCAAAGAGTCTTCAAATTCTGTAAAATATTACTTTTATTGAATCTAAGACAGTTTTAAATTGGAAATTAATTTAGGAGTACAAACACCTGCTTTTAATTATTAGATTTAAAATTCATCAGTTTAGGCAGAGCACAGTGGCTCATGTCTGTAATCCTAGCACTTTGAGAGGCCGAGGTGGGCAGATGGCTTGAGCTCAGGAGTTCGAGACTGCCTGGGCAACATGGCAAAAACCCCATCTCTAAAAAAAAAAATACAAAAATTAGCCAGACATAGTGGTGTATGTCTGTAATTCCCCCTATTTGGAGGACTGAGGCATGAGAACTGCTTGAACCCCAGAGGTTGAGGCTGTAGTGAGCCAAGAGCATGCCATTGCATTCAAGCCTGGGTGACAAAGTGAGACTCTGTTTTAAATAAATAAATAAACGTCAGTTTGATTTGTCAAAGACCAGTCAAGTAAATAAATGTTATTTGTCTAATCTATATTCTATTATTATAATTACTATTCAATACACTATGTTCTCTAGATGCTGTGTATCAATATCATCATTCCTGCTCAAATTCAAATTAATATGCTTTTCTGGGGCAAACTCCTGGAGTTTATAATTTATAACTATACTGTAAAAGATATATGGCAGTGATTCAATATGTGTTTTTTCATATTCATCTTTGTAAATATTTTTGTTAGTCTGAATTTTTGTTATTGATTAGTATATTACTTTATTTTAAAATTTCAATCTAAGTTTTCTTGTTTTTATCTTTAACAATGCTTTGTTAAGAGAGAAGCCATAAACCTTAAATAAGATGTGAGCATAGATTACACCTAGTCACTCTCATTTAATAGTACATCTGTTCTTGTAAATTTTACAACATATCAAAAAAGGTATATCTATAACAAACAAATACAGACAATAAAATATTGAAATACAAAATCATATAGATCTTCAAATAGAATGGGTTAAATTATGCATAGTTTTTTCTTACTTGCTGCTTTCCTATTTACATGTGACTGTTTCTGATAGTTTATTATTAGTCCACAATCCATTATACCTGGAAATTGAGATTTAGATAATTTCCTTAATATCCAAATATGGAACAGGTTCTACTTTTTTAAAGGGAAAAAAAAAGAGTTCATTGTAATTTAATCTTTACTATAGACATAGATTCGAAGCTTAGTGAGCACTTATTGATTGATTGAATGATTGATTATACTATATCGATATACCAGTTTGAAAGTTCTGCTTTCATATGTAGCTATGAGACATCACATACATCTAAATGTTTTCGTTTCTCATCTTGAGCTATGAAAGGTTTTTCTTAATTTATAAACAAAAATCACTGGATTCTATATAAAGGAATAACTGTATATTAAGGGATAATATTGTACCTATATAGTAGTAACATAGTTATGAAAAATAGATAAGGGATATGCTTTAGTATATGGAAATAAGTAATAGTGACTGTAATATGGGTCGTATTCCCATGTTTATAAGCAACTTCCAGAGGTGATATCAGTCTTTTTGTAATTCATCTGTCTTGTATCTAGGTCTCTTTAAAATGTTATACATTGAATATGTACACTATATTTGTTTTATGAATTTTTGACCAGAGATTTTATTTAGGTACTTAGTCATGTTAGCTATTCATGCATTTTGCGGAAAAAGAGTTATGTGTACAGCACTGGCCTATTTCATGATAATTACTACTTTGCTCATTATGTCAGTTGATATAATGAAAACCATAGGCTAATATGCAGCTTGAAACAGAGTATTTTCTCTTGTGGTTTGAGATTTAATTATGCAATTAATTGGAAAATAAATTACAGTGGAAGCAATCGTGTTTTATGACCAAATCTACTTAAAAAAGAAATAAAAGCTCACATTTTATTTTTAATCTGACATCATAATGACAACATATTGAACTTCAGTAAATATATTTATAATTTGATAAAAGTTACTGAAAACATGTGGATCTAGTGCTGGACTATTTTCTAGAAATGACATTCCTCTTGAAAATGATCACGCATGAGCAAGTGTACGATGATTTCACAATATGAGAATGTTTAAGCATTTTCCATTACAGACCAGTTTTAGGCAACAGATATAGATGAACTAGCTAAATTTTAACTATGTAAATTTGATTAATTATGGGCATGATAAGTAAAGAAATTATGTGATTATTATTACTACAACTTGAACATAGACTTGGAAGGCCTCTTCAGTTTTTCTGAAAATAGCCCTTCTGCAATATCCCTAGCAAACATTCACTCAGTTTGTTGTGACATTCTTTAGGATATGGTGCATTTTGACTAGCTTTACTAGTTTTGTGACTGGATACCTCCTAATAAAATATCTTTATTTGTATTGAGCTTAATTCTGCTCCTTTATTACTCTTAATTACTGATTTTGTTTATGGCCGCTTTAGTTAAGCAATTAATTACATATTGGATGGCGAGTGTCAGGTCACTTTCTCAGGTCAAAATGTCCCTGGTACCTTTAGCCACTCTTTATATCTTTTGATTTTTCAGACTCCCTGTCATTCTGATGCTTGACTTCAACTGAACATAGTCTAATTTGTTAAACTTAGGTTTCTTCTTTTTCTCCTTTTTAAATAGTCAGTGGCAAAGGGAACTAGTTGCCTATTAAAATCTGTGTTCTTTACTAATAGAAGGCCAATTTTATTGCTTACAAATTTAATAAAATTTTACCTTCCTTAGTTCTGTCAGATGGCAGTTGGCTAAGCTCTGGTCCATCACATTAGACAGAACATGTTCAGGACTGAGATCATGCATTTTTAACAATCTTCCAGGTTATACCAGTCCATTAATTACACTATGAGTAATAGGGTTATGGATAGCTTTATGATTTGGTCCTCCAAATTTCAATTTGTGAAAATTGTATGTTTGCTTTTTAATTTATTTTGACTTCTTTTATCAGTGCAGTTGGTAATGCATGAACTAAGGAGACTAGAATTCAAGCAATACCTTTTTTGATAAAGAAATGTGAAGATGTTTAAATTATATTAGAAAAAGCCCCACAGGCTTTGGATCTGAGAGACATATATTTTAATATCCACCTTACTAACCATGTGAACTTTGTTAAGTCATTTAACATGAAGTGAGGATATAATTATACTTGACCAATCTAGAAATATAATGATAGTATCATACTAAGAAGACAGCACAGTGCCTGTTGCATATTAGAGATATAGCAATCATCAATTTATTTATCTCTTTTTAACTGACGAATTATATTTGTTTTTGTCTTCATTTTCTATTTATAATCTTCTGTTTTTACATTTATTATTTCATTTCTTCCACTTCCTTTGATTTTGTTCTTGTGTCATTGTCTACCTAAGTTGAATACTTAGCGGATTAATTTTTAGTCTTTCTAATACAAACATTTTGGAGGACAAAATTCCATCTAAGTGCTTTTTTATATGCAATATTATTATTGAACTTTAAGTATTTTCTAATTTTCATTAATTCTATCTAGTAAATGACTTATTTGGAAATGCTTTTAGTTTTTAAATATTGATAAATATTTATAAAATTGTTATTAATTACCAATATGAATCCTCCATGTACAGAAAATGTGATAGGATTATTATGATAGCAAATCTTTGAACTACTTTGAAACTTGATTTATGATCCAGTAAATGGTTGGATTTTATAAATGTCTAATTTATACTTACAAATACTCATATTTTTCATTTTGGGGTAAAAAATTGTAAACATACACACATATACTATATCAATCATGTTAGTGGTGTTCCTCAAGTTTTCTGTAAGCTTACTGACTCATTGAATTGTTTTTGTCTGCTTAATCTGTTATTAACTTAGGGAAATATAAAATCACTTAGTATAACAATAGGTCTACTTTTTCTCAGAGCTTTCTCAATTTTTTATGTATTTTCATACTATATATTAGATATATATGAGTTTATAAGTTTTATATCATCCTGGTGAGTTTGTTTAATAAAGAGAAGTGATTCTCTTTATCTTTGCTTTTAAAATTTGATATAAATATAGCTGCATCTTCTTGGTAATTTCGTGTCTAGTAAACTTTTAAAATATCCTTTTATTTTCAATATTTCTGTCCTGTTAACTTGTAAAATTTTTTTGTAATCAGGAAGCAACCCAACTTTAATATTCAAAATTATAATATTCATCTTTTAGGGGGAGAGATTATTTATAATTACTTTTATATTTTATATACTTATATCTATCACGTATTTTAATGTATATTTACTTTTAATTATCTAAACTTTGATTTTTTAATTCTTTTTTCCTAGATTTTAATATGCATACTGAATTCTGTTCTTTTATTTTTCATTCTAGTTATTTTAACATGAATATTTACTTGAATAAAGCATGTGATTAATCAAATCCTTTATTCTACTCTGAAACCATAAAATATTCTTATACTATTTTAATGTAAAACCTTCTCCCACCAGGTTTATTTGCTGTTGATTCCAGGATTTTGGTTCTGGACTTTTTTTTTTTCTAGACAGGATCTAGTTCTGTCACCTAGGCTGGAGTTCAACTCCTGGGCTCAAGTGATCCTCCCACCTCAGCCTTCTAGGTGCCTGCTAGGACTGCAGGCAGGCACCACCATGCCCTGCCAACAAATGCATATATTTTTGTGGCCACCATCATAATCAAGATATAGAACAGTTCCATCTAACCCCCCTGAATTATCTGTCACCTTGGGCTTTGTAAAAACAAAGAGTGTTTGCTAACTGTTCTTAAATATAGAGATCCATTTCTTGTTTCATCTTTCCTAACCATGATTTATTATATCCTATAATTTAATTACTTCAGCCATCAACATAATAGTGGGAAGGTATAAGAGTTTAATCTACAATTACTTAATACAGTACAACAAAAACGTATCAATGGCATTATATTACTTTTAATCACAGCTTATTATTCCCTTTATGTTGACTAGATGTTATGTGAAACTACTGAATAAGAGGCTGAAGACATTCAGGGGCGTAGTAAGTGTGGAAATTGTTAACCAACAAAAAAATGTTTTGATCCAAGTGATGCTTGAAGTGGTAGAAAGATTAGGAAAACTATTTTTTAAATGCAGGCCATCTACTTTACCTCAATTCTGACTATTCTCCTTATTGCATTTTTTTCATTTAATAAACAGTTATTTATTGAATATGTTCTCTGAGTCAGACATGTCAATTCTTCTGTCACCTAGAGGGATTCGTGTACCACATACCTATTTTTCTTCATTTTGTCTTATTCTTCTTGGGCTTAATAAAAACAAAAGCTTTGATGGGGAAAATGGAGTATGATAAAACTGGAAATGTAGATGGTCACTCAGAGATATTTATAGAATCAAAATTCTGGTGTCTCAAGTTGGATAATGACTCCTTAGTACATAAGGTGATGTTAGAGTCTGGATGACTGCATGAGCCTTTCTGCCATTTAGTGTTATGTGAAATTTTCATCAGTGTAACTTCATACATATTGAGACATTATTGATTTGTAACCTGAGTTTGTATTTATCTTGCAGCTGAGATTTTGGAGGGCAATACCTTTTCTGCTAATGATCTGCTAATTTAAAGAATGCTTGCTTTCTTTTAGCCAATTTTAGAAAATGTTAAAAACGATTAGGAGTTTTTTCATTTTTTTTTTCTCAGACAGGGTCTCACTCTGTCCCCCAGGCTGGAGTGCAATGGTGCAATTTCAGTTCACTGCAACCTCTGCCTCCTGGGCTCAAGCAATTCTGCCTTAGCCTCCTAAGTAACTGGGACTACAGGAGCACAGCACCACACCCAGCTAATTTTTGTATTTTTTGTAGAGATGGGATTTTGCTATGTTGCCCAGGCTGGTCTTGAACTCCTGAGCTCAAGCAATCCACCTGCCTCAGCCTCCCAAAGTACTGGGATTACAGGAATGAGCCACCATGCCTGGCCTTATTTAAGAGTTCTTATTACACCTCTAAGCAAATAAACTAGAAAATCTAGAAGAAATGGATAAATTCCTCGACACATACACTTTCCCAAGACTAAACCAGGAAGAAGTTGAATCTCTGAATAGACCAATAACAGGATCTGAAATTGTGGCAATAATCAATAGCTTACCAACCAAAAAGAGTCCAGGACCAGATGGATTCACAGCCGAATTCTACCAGAGGTACAAGGAGGAACTGGTACCATTCCTTCTGAAACTATTCCAATCAATAGAAAAAGAGGGAATCCTCCCTAACTCATTTTATGAGGCCAGCATCATCTTGATTCCAAAGCTGGGCAGAGACACAATCAAAAAAGAGAATTTTAGACCAATATCCTTGATGAACATCGATGCAAAAATCCTCAATAAAATACTGGCAAACGGAATCCAGCAGCACATCAAAAAGCTTATCCACCCTGATCAAGTGGGCTTCATCCCTGGGATGCAAGGCTGGTTCAATATGCACAAATAAATAAATGTAATCCAGCATATAAACAGAACCAAAGACAAAAACCACATGATTATCTCAATAGATGCAGAAAAGGCCTTTGACAAAATTCAACAACCCTTCATGCTAAAAACTCTCAAGAAATTAGGTATTGATGGGACGTATCTCAAAATAATAAGAGCTATCTAGGACAAACCCACAGCCAATATCATACTGAATGGGCAAAAACTGGAAGCATTCCCTTTGAAAACTGGCACAAGACAGGGATGCCCTCTCTCACCACTCCTATTCAACATAGTGTTGGAAGTTCTGGCCAGGGCAATTAGGCAGAAGAAGGAAATAAAGGGTATTCAATTAGGAAAAGAGGAAGTCAAATTGTCCCTGTTTGCAGACGACATGATTGTATATCTAGAAAACCCCATTGTCTCAGCCCAAAATCTCCTTAAGCTGATAAGTAACTTCAGCAAAGTCTCAGGATACAAAATCAATGTACAAAAATCACAAGCATTCTTATACACCAATAACAGACAAACAGAGAGCCAAATCATGAGTGAACTCCCATTCACAATGGCTTCAAAGAGAATAAAATACTTAGGAATCCAACTTAAAAGGGACGTGAAGGACCTCTTCAAGGAGAACTACAAACCACTGCTCAATGAAATAAAAGAGGTTACAAAGAAGTGGAAGAACATTCCATGCTCATGGGTAGGAAGAATCAATATTGTGAAAATGGCCATCCTGCCCAAGGTAATTTATAGATTCAATGCCATCCGCATCAAGCTACCAATGACTTTCTTCACAGAATTGGAAAAAACTACTTTAAAGTTCATATGGAATCAAAAAAGAGCCCGCAATCCCAAGTCAATCCTAAGCCAAAAGAACAAAGCTGGAGGCATCACGCTACCTGACTTCAAACTATACTACAAGGCTACAGTAACAAAAACAGCATGGTACTGGTACCAAAACAGAGATATAGATCAATGGAACAAAACAGAGCCCTCAGAAATAACGCCACATATCTACAACTATCTGATCTTTGGCAAAGCTGAGCAAAACAAGCAATGGGGAAAGGATTCCCTATTTAATAAATGGTGCTGGGAAAACTGGCTAGCCATATGTAGAAAGCTGAAACTGGATCCCTTCCTTACACCTTATACAAAAATTAATTCAAGATGGATTAAAGACTTAAATGTTAGAACTAAAACCATAGAAACCCTAGAAGAAAACCCAGGCATTACCATTCAGGACATAGGCATGGGCAAGGACTTCATGTCTAAAACACCAAAAGCAATGGCAACAAAAGCCAAAATTGACAAATGGGATCTAATTAAACTAAAGAGCTTCTGCACAGCAAAAGAAACTACCATTAGAGTGAACAGGCAACCTATGAAATGGGAGAAAATTTTCACAACCTACTCATCTGACAAAGGGCTAATATCCAGAATCTACAATGAACTCAAACAAATTTACAAGAAAAAAAGAAACAACCCCATCAAAAAGTGGGCAAAGGATATGAACAGACACTTCTCAAAAGAAGACATTTATGCAGCCAAAAGACATATGAAAAAATGCTCATCATCACTGGCCATCAGAGAAATGCAAATCAAAACCACAATGAGATAACATCTCACGCCAGTTAGAATGGCAATCATTAAAAAGTCAGGAAACAACAGGTGCTGGAGAGGATGTGGAGAACTAGGAACACTTTTACACTGTTGGTGGGACTGTAAACTAGTTCAACCATTGTGGAAGTCAGTGTGGCGATTCCTCAGGGATCTAAAACTAGAAATACCATTTGACCCAGCCATCCCATTACTGGGTATATACCCAAAGGACTATAACTTATGCTGCTATAAAGACACATGCACACATATGTTTATTGCGGCATTATTCACAATAGCAAAGACTTGGAACCAACCCAAATGTCCAACAACGATAGACTGGATTAAGAAAATGTGGCACATATACACCATGGAATACTATGCAGCCATAAAAAATGATGAGTTCATGTCCTTTGTAGGGACATGGATGAAATTGGAAATCATCATTCTCAGTAAACTATCGCAAGGACAAAAAACCAAACACCGCATGTTCTCACTCATAGATGGGAATTGAACAATGAGAACATATGGACACAGGAAGGGGAACATCACACTCTGGGGACTGTTGTGGGGTGGGGGGAGGGGAGAGGGATAGCTTTGGGAGATATACCTAATGCTAAATGACGAGTTAATGGGTGCAGCACACCAGCATGGCACATATATACATATGTAACTAACCTGCACATTGTGCACGTGTACCCTAAAACTTAAAGTATAATAATAAAAAAAAGAGTTCTTATTGATAATCCTACTGGTGTAGGATTAGTTTGAATAAGCATTTAAAAAACATACCATAAGTTTATTTTTCTAGTTATTGCATATAACAGTACATTCTCTTGTTGCAATCAGATTGCAAAGCTGATTATTCTTTTCTGTAACCTTTTAATAGAATATTTCAAACAAGTTTTTATTTAAAAAGAGATGGCAATACAGAAAATGTTTTCTCATGTTATACATGAATATAACCTTTTTTTCTGATCAGATTGCAAAACTGATTATTCTTTTCCGTAACCTTTTAATAGAATATTTCAAACAAGTTTTTATTTGAAAAGAGATGGCAATACAGAAAACGTTTTCTCATGATGTACATGAATATAACCTTTTTTTTCTGATAGCATGATTGTAATTAGATCCATTGTGGACAGTGCTTTACATTTATTATATTATTAGTGATAAAAATCGTGATTGGGAACTGAAATAGAAGCTGTGCCTCTGATAAATATCAGAACTTTGGAGGGCTTTAATCTGTTCTAATTTACTCATAAGTGTGTAGACTTAGTTATAAATCAAAACAGCATGTTATTCTACACCTCTGTAGGTTATTTTGGACAACTCTGAATTTCCATTACATTTGAAAAATAGTCAAGAGTCAGGTTATTTTTAAAAATCACCTAAGGCGGCCGAGTGCGGTGGCTCACAGCTGTAATCCCAGCACTTTGGGAGGCCGAGGCGGGTGGTCACGAGGTCAGGAGATTGAGACCATCCTGGCTAACACAGCGAAACCCCGTCTCTACTAAAAATACAAAAAATTAGCCGGGCGTGGTGGCGGGTGCCTGTAGTCCCAGCTACTCGGAGGCTGAGGCAGGAGAAAGATGTGAACCCAGGAGACGGAGGTTGCAGTGAGCTGAGATGGCCTGGGCGACAGAGTGAGACTCCGTCTCCAAAAAAAAAAAAAGAAAAGGAAAAAAAAAATCACCTAAGGCACCACCTTTTTTTTTTTTGAGACGGAGTCTCACTCTGTTGCCAGGTTGGAGTGCAGTGGCGCGATCTCGGCTCACTGCAATCTCAGACTTTCTGG
This sequence comes from Homo sapiens, assembly GCF_000001405.40. Lineage (NCBI taxonomy): Eukaryota > Metazoa > Chordata > Mammalia > Primates > Hominidae > Homo > Homo sapiens. Next base: position 44,299,649 of record NC_000004.12, on the reverse strand, counting down.
TTCAAGCAATTCTCCTGCCTCAGCCTCCAGAGTAGCTGAGAATACAGGCACTTGCCACCACGTCCAGCTAATTTTTGTATGTTTAGAAAGATGGAGTTTCACCATGTTGGCCAGGATGTTCTGGATCTCCTGACCTTGTGATCCGCCTGCCTTGGCCTCCCAAAGTGCTGGGATTACAGGCGTGAGCCACCGCGCCCGGCAGGCACCCCATTTTTATGCAAGAAGAAAGAAATACACAACAGTTTCCCATCTCACCTTAAACTTTTGGTAAAAATATCTTGGATTTTCATTATGTTAGAATGTTGCTACATGGAAGAAGGCTTGGTGGGTGGGTAGAAAAATATGATGGCATACCTGCTTTTTAGAAAGAAATGAGGAAGAGTGTTCTTTGAAAAATGAGGCAGAGAGGACCCTTACAAACAAATGAGATTTTACATATGTATTTTAGCAATGCTTACCTTTGGGTGATGGAGTTACCTATGTAATACTATCTTTCTTACTTTTATGTTTCTAATAGATTTCCACAAGCATGTATTCACTTCTATAATTGGGATACATGATACTCAACTAATGTACTTGAAAGTAAGTTTTAGCAATATTTCTAACCTAGCTACATTGTGATTTTTCAAAGAAGCTTGTAATAATAAGTAAATTATTTATATTTTATTGCCATTGAAAACTTGGAACTTTTTTTTACAACTGTATGCATTTTGTCTTACTTTCATCTTTGTAGATTGTCCATTTTTATGTGAATAGCTTTTTTCAAAAGGTCTGTTCATTTGTTACTTTATTTACTATCTTTCAATCAATATTTTATATCTAACTTCTGTGCTATGTTCTGTTCTTTTGGATCCAGTGTGGGTTATTGAGACCAGAAATGTTGTCACCTGTCTTTAAGATGGTAACATTTTGTCACTTTAGTACAGAGCCAGTGGGTGTGAACTCTAAGCTGGTAGCTATTCCCAGTACTTTTTTAAAAAGTTCAATGAGTCAAGGGAGTGTGTTTCATATTGAGACTGTAAGGAAGCAAGTTTTAGGGACCTTCTCCAGGGAGCTATTTCTTATTGTTTCTGGGGAGCTGTCAGCTCTTCCCCTCAGGTGATTTTGAAATACATTTATATATCTTATTGCTGCTACAACTAAAAATGTAGGAAACTGTGGTGGTGATGGTGCTTTCTTCTCCTTTTCCCCCAGTTCATCTTAGTTAATTTTATTATACAGAAAAATAAAGAGGTGGGGGGGGCAGATCATTAGTGTGAAGGAGTTTTGTGAGGAAAAGTCAGAGACTTTGCCACTTCCCTGTAGAAATATCGATCCATTTCAAGTGGTATATGTAACTGAAACATATCATCTCCCAATTCCGAAACAGAAGACTGACAGACTATTTATGGGAAAGGAAGGGGTCTGAGCCTCAGTATGTCTGGGAAGTTTGCTGTAAATCCTTATCTGAGCACAGAGAGAAAAAGATAAACTTTAGTCCTAGTGTCTTTCTGTTATTCTTGCAGCATCTTCTTGTGGTGTATATTTTTCATTACAATTATCATTCTATACACATTTTCTTGAGTACTGACAAACTCTGCATCAGATACTGTGCTTCTTGTGAGCGACAGAGAGATAACTAAGGTAATTCTTGACTCAAATGAGTTCATAGTCTAATGGCAGTCTCAAAAATAGATGCAGCAATTATTACAAGTACAATGAAAAGGATGTTGATCCTATTGTGTGCTTTAAAAGCAAGGACTGGCCGCTAATTACAAGAGGTAAAATATTCCATGGAGAACCATAGATTTTGGCCACATGGAATTACTCAGAAGGTGTTAGAAAGGTATCACACAAGTGCTGTGTTCATGTAAGTTGCAAATTCATTGTGGAGTAGTAGACATTTCTAATGTTTTACATATGTAAGATAAACCTATTCCCTTGGACATAAAGAATCTAAGACCTACCATATCTCTATTTGGGATTTTGAAATGCTTTGCCTTGGGAGAAGCAGACATGGTATTTCATTTATACATTATTAATATTCACAGCCTCTACTCAAGATGCCTCTGTGGTAGCGTAAATAGCAGGGACATTATTTTTCAAAGATGTATTAAAGTGCAAGTTAATGGTAGTGTTTGCCTTAAAAATAGAAAAGATGCACATATACTATATTTCATTGATTGTAAGATGCTATTTTATTAATAGGTTACCAGAGAAAAAAGATCTCATAAGACTATGTTAAATGTAGATATCTATTTATATGTGAAAAAAATATACATCTGAGAAACAGGGGACCATGTTATGTCAAAAAAGTAAGCTTTTTGGATGAAAAACAGTCCAAAATGTGATTTAATTTGCAAAGCAATTACAATTTTAGATGATGTTTTATTTTTACATGTTTGTTGGCAATGCTATTCTAATCTGTTTTGATTTAATTTGTTCCAATTATTGGGCTTACCTATTTATGGAATACTTTTTCCCTATCTTATGTTGAATATATTTTTTTAACTTAGTATTTTGCAGTGGTGGCAGGCTTTATGTGTTGGTGTCTTAATTATTGAAATATTTGGTTTTTTATTGTCAACCCAGTGCTTGGCATATAGATATGTGAAGAACAGATGTGAAAGTACTCTGCTTCTATAGCATTAAATATGCTTTTTAAAATATAGAGTGTTAATATTGGAAATTTATTATAATATATCTTACTGATGTAAAAGAAAATGAAAATGAGCCATTTTTTATTATCTAATGGAGTGTTTCAGATTAGACCTCACGTAACATGGACTCTGTGACCCTGAGGATAGTATAATCTTTGGGGTGTCATTCTTGAGGTTTTTCAGAGGCAGTGTGTATTTTAGATTGTTGCTGTGGGAAATACTCAAAAAAACTTTCAAAAAAAATCACAGAAACTAAAGATTTAAAAATAAAACACATAATTAGATGAATCATTACTAGAATTTAGGGAACAAATATTAGTGAAGCCCACATGATACCATTCATCACTGTGTTAGTAGAGGAATAGAGTAATTTTATGAACTTATTAAAGAGCAGCAAAATAGTCTACTAATTATATTGGTGTTTCAGTGTCTGAGATATCCTTATTTTTTACAAAAATAACAGAACAGATATGTAAATTATAATTTTTCATAAGCCATTAATATATCAATTTAAAACATATTAGAATAACATTATAAATTATTGTTGGATCCCCAATTCTGCTCATAAATGCCTAATTAACACATGTGACACTGTTACGATACCATTTATACCATTGATTGTATGGGAAGGTCATTTCCAAGGCCAATTACAGGTCTTCTCTTAAAGGGATTTAATTTCCATAGCCTCTTCTTATATTGGCTATTTTGGCTAGAAAGGAATTCAGTGTGGTTAGAATGGAAAGAAAGGCAGAGAAATAGGGGTTACTAAGGATCAGAAAAAAAAGGGAGGACTTATCTCTTGCTTGAGGGTGAGGAAACTAAATTATTTCATGCTGTATGTGTCTAGATTTCAAAACAAAATACATTCATGATCTCTGTTTGCACTATGCTGCCATTTCTTAAATAACAAATCTTAGCATTCCTTTTCTGCTGCAAAATTACGTTAAAAACAAATATGATCCTATAAGAATTGGAAATATTTAAACCAAGGGAAACCATTATTAATGGCTAGGCAATTAAGGCCAGTTGGGTAGAGTAGTTTCAAGTATCTTGGGTCTTACAAGTTTTTATCTACCAAATGACCAGGTTAACTATTTTACAAAGAGAAGCTACTGAAAGTGAATTAATATGTAATAAATTACCAATATTAATAATTGCATATTGCTACAGTCAGAATGTGTTCCCTAAAATCCATTTGTTAGAAACTTGATTCCCAGTCCTGCAGTGTTGGGAGATGGAGCCTCTGGGAGGTGTTTTGTTCATGAATGGATTTATGCAACTATAAAAAGATGCTGGCACCTTGATCTTGGACTTCTAAGCCTCTAGAACTATGAGAAACTTCTTTACAAATTAACCAGTCTGTGCTATTCTGTTATAGCAACACAAAATAGCCTGACGCATATCAAAATAAATGACAGGTAATACTTATCAAATTTTAAAGAAATATAAATATACTCAGGTACAAATAAAATGTTTATCTTAAATATTTAAAATTTTTACATTTTTTTCTTTGCTTTCCCTCCCTTTCCCAGAAACTGACAATTAAATAAGGACAAGATAAAAGAGCCTGAAAAAGGGGCTCTCTTGGGTCTTAGATTTAAGAGCTATTAAGCCCAGGAACAAACCAAACATTGCCAGCATTTTAGTTCTAAAAGGCCCCATCAGAGGATGCACTAATAGTCGTCTAGTTTTTCTGTCTTTTTATTTTTATTTTTTGAGACGGGGTTCATTCTGTCACCTGGGCTGGAGTGCAGTGGCACAGTCATAGCTCACTGAGGCCTCTAATTCCTGGACTCAAGCAATCCTCCCACCTCAGACCCCAGAGTAGCTGGAACTACAATCGTGTGCCAGCATGTCTGGCTAATTATTATTTTTTAAAATATGGAGACAGGGTCTCCCCACATTACCCAGCCTGATCTCAAACTCCTGGGCTCAAGGGATCCCCCTGCCTCAGGCTCCCAAAGTGCTGAGATTACAGGCATCAGCCACCCTGCGGGACCTAGTTTCTCTGTTTTTGACAGCCTTTTATCTCCTTTTGCCTTAGAACATTTTGTTACCTTCTTCTAGTTCATTGGTGTTTTAACTGAATTCACCTTGTCCTTAAAATTCAATAGATATGCCTCAGGATTTTACTAGATAAAAGTGGGACCTTAAACATGAAGGGTGCTCATCTCTCACTCTGCTTTTAGCAAATCAACTCTACCTTAATCTGTTCTGTATACTGGGCTCTGCATAATATTCACTTAAGAAAGCAAGTCCAACAGTTGAAAATGTGACTTTGAAAACCTGTCCACAAAATGGATATATAGGATGCTATAGAGAGTTAACATTCTTCTGTTCTATTGATGATAATGGTCTTTGGTGAGAATCCAAGTGAAGCCTTAGGGGACAAGCTATCATGAAAATCAGGTTTCATAAGGAAATTTTTTTCAGTTTTCATGAATAGACACTCTATTTCAAAGTGAGCCAATGCTTTTGTAAGTCAAACCAGATAATCTTACTGGTTGCAATGGTGCTGGACGGTAATGAGGAAATGGTTTTGAACTTGATGGCATGAGAAATGCATAGATATTCTTTTAAACATATGTTTTTCCATTACAATGAGAAAATCTGGTTTCAATTTATGAAATCTTTGGGCAGAATGTGTTTTTATGTACCTATCTTAAGAGTGCTTTGGTGGCTCATAGGCACCAGCGGGCAAAGGAGTCTTAACAAAATCTTTTACGTTTCTAAGTGTCAGACTGGCTTCCATTTTTCTGCGTTACCACAGGACAACAGGGACCAGATAGTACTAAGAGGAAGGATGTATTTACAGTAGTAATGTGATTGTTTATCTTCCCCTTTGTATATTTATAGAGAACGTGCATGTGTCAAATCATTTCTATGATTTAGATTCATCATAATAAATTATCACTTATACTTTTGTTATTGTCAATTTCGTTAAACCTTTGGCAAAATGAACATTATCCTTTTCCTATCCTTTGTAAATTTTTAAGCAAAATGGCATGCATTGCATTAATTTACATTTTTATTATTAGTGATGTTAAATCTTTGTGATATAAAATAAAATGCTCAAGAAAATTGTTAAACAAATGATAAATGGAATTATCTCATTCTCTATGCAATAATTCTATTTATATTTCTGATAAATCATCCTTTTTTTGATTGGCTTTCCACAGGTTCTCTGACGATGTCTTTGTGCTCAATCTTACGTAAGTTCAAAATGCTAAAATAATTTTCAAGTGGCTATGTTTCAATATTTTCAACAACTTTTTCCATTTTTTGGCCAGTGTTTACAAGGTTCTTGGGTTTTAAAAAATTTCCCTCATGTCATCATACAATTGATTAAAATACTAACCAACCTAACTCACCAGATTCCTAGAAAAAAAAAATTAAAGACTAGAAATCTAGCATCTAAAATAATAAATATAATTTGCTTTTCCCTGACCTTTTCTTATATAAATTCAATTTCTTTGTGTCCTCTGTGTGCTGCTTCTACCAATTACACCTTTGCTACCTCTAGGTTTGAATATATGGCTATTTATGATTGCTTGCCAGATCAAGCATGAATCAAGATGCAGAACCAGGGCCAGATGCTTGGCAGCAGGTAAGGTTAATACTCTCCATTAAGTATGGCAGATAAATTAATCTGGTTTTAAATTTGGGCAAGTTGAACATTTCCTTTTGAAAAGCATTTGGACTCAGTAATTTGGTTGACTATATTTGATAACTCTAACTGTAAGGGAAAAGGTCATCAACTAAGAAGAAAAAACCTCTTAAAATAGGTTTCAAAAGACAACTGCAGCTTATGGGCATGGAAAATTATCAGATTGAAAAAAATTGAGGTGTTACTTTCCATAATAATCCTTAGATAAGATTTCCATCTGTTCAGATTCTGGATTTTGTTTAAGTAGCCTAATATTTATTTATATTTTATTTGAGCATTTTATCAACATCTCTTAATGATCTGAAAAAATTATCTACAAGCCCTTATCTACAAAGAGTCTTGTAGAAATTTGTTTACAAGGAGGCTTGAAAAGGACTTCAAACAAAATAGGGGGTGTAGAAAAATATGTCCTACAGTCTCTATGTAAACAAACAATAGAAATTAGTTGGACACATTTAGAATTCAAAGTTATAATTAAAACAAGTTTTAGGCATAATTACTGGTACTTATGAGATAAAATTTAATCTCATAGGAAATTCTATAATGATTAGGAAAATATAGGCCCTTTCAAGCTGAGGAATTATTAATGGAGACTAAATCTTACTTGATACTTCCTAGACTTTTTTCCCTCAACATACCTAGTTGTAATAACTAGTCACTCAAGAAAAAAAATTGCACCACCACCTAATTATATTTTTTACAAAAATAATTTCAACTTTTATTTTAGATTCAGAGGGTAAAGGTGCAGGTTTGTTACATGGGTACATAGTGTGATGCTGAGATTTGAGGTACAGATGATCCCATCACTCAGGTAGAGAGCATAGTACCCTATAGGTAATTTTTCAGACCACGCCTTCCTCCCTCTCTACTTCTAGTAATCCTCAGTGTCTATTGTTTCCATCTTTATGTCCATGTGTAGTCAGGGTTTCACTCCCATTTATAAGTGAGAACATGTGGTATTTAGTTTTCTGATCCTGCATTAATTCTCTTAGGATGATAACTTCCAGCTGCATCCATGTTGCTACTAAGGGCATGATTTTATTCTTTTTATGGTTGCATAGTATTCCATAGTGTATATGTACCACATTTTCTTTATGCAGTCCACTGTCGATGGGCACGTAGGTCAATTCCATGTCTTGACAATTATGAATAGTGCAGTGATTAACATACAGGTACACGTGTATTTTGGGTAGAATGATTCATTTTCCTTTGGGTATGTACCTAGTAATGGGATTGCTGGGTTGAATGGGACTTCACGTTCTTCACTAAATCTGCGTACTGCTTTCCGCAGTGGATGAATAACTTATATTCCCACCAAGAGTGTATAAGTGTTCTTTCTCCACAGCCTTACTGACACCTGTTTTTTTTTTTTTTTTTTTTTTTCATAATAGCCAATCTGACTGGTGTGAAATGGTATTTCATTGTGGCTTTCATTTGCATTTCTCTGATGATCAGTGATGTTGAGCCTGTTTTTCATACATTTGTTGGCCACTGGCATGTCCTTGTTTGAGAAATGTCTGTTCTTGTTCTTTGCCCATTTTTTAATGAAATTATTTCTTTTTTTGTTTGTTGATTTCTTTAGCTTCCTTATAGATTCTGGATATTGGACCTTTCTCAGATGCATAGTTTGTGAATTGTTTCACCCATTCTGTAGGTTGTCTGCTCACACTGTTGATCATTTCTCTTGCTGTATAGAAGCTCTTTTCATTTAATTAGGTATTACTTGTCAATTTTTGTTTTTGTTGTAATTGTTTTTGGGGACTTAGCCGTAAATTCTTAGCCAAGATCAATGTCGGGAAGGGTATTTCCTAGCTTTTCTTCTACAATTTTTATAATTTAAATCTTGTATTCATCTTGAGTTAATTTTTGTATAACATGACAGGAAGAGGTCTAGTTTCATTCTTCTGCATATGGCTAGCCAGTTATCTCAGCACCATTTATTGAGTGGGGAGTCCTTTCTCCATTGCTTATTTTTGACAATTTTTTGGAAAATCAAATCGTTGTAGGTTTCTGGCTTTATTTCTGGGTCCTCTTTTCTGTTCCAGTGGTCTATTTGTTTGGTCTGTTCATGTTTTCACTTTCTTCTTGGTTCAGACTTAGAAGATTTTGTGTTTCCAGGAATGTATCTATTTCCTCTAGACTTCCTAATTAGTGTTCATATAGGTGTTCATAATAGTCTCTGAATATATATTGTGTCTGTGGGATCAATTGTAATGCTATCTCTGTCATTTCTGATTGTGCTTATTTGGATCTTCTCTTTCTTTCTTTGTTAATCTATCTAATGGTCTAATAATTTTGTCTATTCTTTTGAAAAACCAACTCTAGGTTTCATTGATCTTTTGTGTAGACTTTTGCTTCTCAATATCATTCAATTCTTCTCTGATATTAGTTATTTCTGTTCTTCTTCTAACTTTGTGGTTGGTTTGTTCTTTTTTCCCCTGGTTCCTCTAGGTGTAGTATTAGATTGTTAATTTGAGATCTTTCTAACTTCTTGATGAAGGCGTTTATTTCTATAAACTTTCCCCTTAATACTCCTTTAGCTGCATCCCAAACCTTTTGGTAAGATGTGTCTCTAATTTTTTTAATTTCATAGAATTTTTTAATCTCGGCTTTAATTTTGTTGCTCACCCAAGAGTTACTCAGGAGCAAGTTGTTAAATTTCCATGTATTTGTGTAGTTTTGAGCGTTCTTCTTGGTATAGATTTCTATTTTTATTGCACTGTGGTCCAAGAGAGTGCTTGATATGGTTTCAAGTTTTTTAATTTCTTGAGACTTTCTTTATGACCCAGCATGTATTCAATCTTTGGACATGTTCTGGGTGCAGATGAGAAGAATATATAATCTGTGATTTTTGAGTGGTGCATTCTGTAGACATCTGTTAGGTATAATTGCTCAATTGTGGAGTTTAAATCAAAAACTTGTTAGCTTTCTTACTGGATGATTTGTCTAATGCTCTCAGTGGTGTGCTGAAGTCTCCTACTATTATTGTGTGGCTATCTGTGTGTTTTTGTGAGTCAAGAAGAACTTGTTTTATGAATCTGGGTGCACTAATGTTGGGTGCATACATAATCAGGATAGTTAAGCCTTTTTGTTGCATTGTATCCTTTCTTATTATATAATGCCCTTTTTTGTCCTTCTTGATTGTTGTTGCTTTAAAGTCTGTTTTATGTGATATAAGAATTGTGATTCCTGCACTTTATTGTTTTTCATTTGTATGGTAGATCTTTCTCCATCCCTTTACTTTGATCTTGTGCATGTCATTACATGTGAGGTGGGTCTTTTGAAGACAGAAGACAATTGGGTCTTGTCTTCTGATCCAACTTCCCACTCTATGCCTTTTTATTGCGGCATTTGGACCATTTACTTTCAGGGTTAGTACTGATATGTGAGATTTTGATATTGTTATCATATTGTTAGCTTTTATTTTGTAGACTTGAATGTATAATTTCTTGCAAAATTTGGCCCTGCAGTCTCTTGACCCTACAGTCAACTGGGGTTAGAGCAACTTGGGGAAGATTGAGAGCCTTGGGATATGGGCACCTGTGGCCACGTTCCACTGCAGCTGCCCTGTGTGCAAAATCCCCCAGGCTCCATGCAGGCTGGAGCTCTGTCTCTCTCTACTCTCTGTGTACTCTCTGGTCAGACCCCCCACACACCCCCACCAGTTAAAATGTCTATGGGGGTTGTGGGATCTCGTGTAGCTAGGATCCCAACATTTCACAGCAAGAGTGGGTTGCCTCACCATCTCTTCACTCAGCCCTTCCCCAGGAGCCGTTCTAGGATGGAACTAGCACTGGCATTTGACAACCCTGTACAGGGTTTCCAGCTTCCTTTCTCTTTACCCTCAGGGTCTGCATTGCCTCTGTATCAACTCTTGGTGTTTTCTCTCCATGGATCTATTCAAAGTATGTTCCCTTATTGTACTTTAATAATAGATAAGTAAGACTTATTTTGCTCTATCCCTAGATATGTCACTTTGTATTTATACCACTTTATATTTTGTCTTTGTATTTAAATTTCTTATACTTTTGTTTCTTTGAATATATTGTGAGATTTTATTGGTAATATGATATAGTATTCTATATAATATTAATAGTATAGCATTTTAATAATATGTAATGTTATGCAATTATATAATACATAATATTAACATTACATGAGTAATGAATTACATACATATGAAACACTTGATAGTTTAGTAAGAATTTTACATGTATCAGTTTCTTTAAAGCTCATAGTCATCCTGTGAGGTAGATAGTATCTCTATTTTAAAGATAAGAATTCTCAAAATATGCAGATAAATAAAACTAAATAAAAAAGATGAAAATTAATAAGACTAAATTTTTATATATATATTTTAACCTGTATCATTTTTAAAAAATTGAATCCTTTATTGTTTTTATAGAAAAAAATGATATATACTGATTAGAAAAGTTCAAATAAGAATAAAAATCTGACACTTTAACAAGGATTGTTACCTGCCTTTTCTGACCATATTCCATACATACACTTCTCAGTATATATGCAGAAAGGAAGAGGGTAGGTGAGATAGGTAGTCAGAAAGAAATTAATTTTGAAAATGGGATACTTTTTCATATAAAAACAGAAAACTTTGATTTAATTTTTACTTTTGTATATCTGAGATAGAAGAACAGATGTAAAATTGAAGGCATAGTTGACCTTGAAATGAGTGTTTCTTCATGAAAAGAAAAAGTTACCTGTAAATTTAAGAAAATAACTGTCATACAGAATAGGCATCCAATGTTTTTGATTGTTTCAACTATGCAAAGTATCTACTACTTCCTTGCTTTGAAAGAGCAGAAATTATAACCATGTCAAACTCAAAGTTGTTTAATTTCTATATTTAAATAGATTCACTACTCAACATTATATATTTTTGATGTATCACTATTTTTCTGTTAATTGAGCTATTCTAATTAATCTCTTGGTTAGCTAGATTTCATTGTCAGTTTTATGTATCCATGTTTTTAAAGAAAGTTTTTATGTACTAATCACCCAATCTCTTGCATAGTTGTCAATGACTTTCTATTCATTATAGAAGAAATGCTTGGATGAGTGTACAATTCTTGATTTATACCTTCACATTAGAACTCTACAGCCATTTCTCAACTTCTTCTAATGTTAATTATGTTCAAGTCTTAAGTGCCTTTTATATAGAAAAAGACAAGAAATACCTTCCCTAATATGCCTTAACATTCTCCTCTAGCACACAAGCTTGAAGATACTAAGGGCACTAAGAATGGAGAAAAGAAAATTTGACATATATTTAATGTCTGTTCAACTAAAGGACTGTTAGCAAGAAGGCAACTCTTCCTTATTCTGTTTAATCTGGTCCAGATACCCATTTTTTTCCTGACCTTGCATATACTCTATACTTCTTATAATATTTATGAGATTATTGTATAACCATCTACATACAAGTCGACTGTGGATTCCTTGAATGAATGCAGAAACATAATAAACACTCAATAATTTTTCTTGAAGGGATTAGTTTTATCTTCTATTGATTTGTAGTGGCTGCCAAGAATACTGTGTTAAGTCTGATTAGGAACCCTGCTAGATCAGCAAGAAAAGTTACAGTGGTAAATTAGTAATGCCTGCTGTGAGCCAGAGAATTAAAAGTGGTGCCAAAGGTGACAAATGTTGTTTATCTTAGATTAGGTGCTATTTATTTGCCACAGATGGCAGAATCAGGACTATTAGATAAATACTCCAGGAGGTAGATTTTGGCCTAATGTAAGGAAGAGTGTTTCAATTATTAGATAGGTTTAAAAATTGAGTTTGGTGCTAGAGTCCTTGAGATAGATAAATTTCCTTTTCCTGGAATTGTTACCACATAGGTTAGCCAAATATTTGTGAAATGTTTAACATTATAGACACTTTCAATTCTATTACTTTAAGTTTGTAAACATGATCTTTAAACATAATCAACATACGCTTAAATAATTTACTTTAAACATGATCAAGATATGCTTAAATAATTCATTTTATAGCACAGAAACAGTATTGTATGTATGAAAATAATTCCTAAGTTATCAAATTAATTTAATGTTTATTTATTTATTTATTTTGAGATAAGGTTTCGCTATTTTTGTCCAGGCTGGTCTTGAACTCATGGGCTCAAGCATTCCTCCTCCTTCGGTCTCCCAAAGTGCTGGGATTATAGGCATGAGCCACCACACCCAGCCTCTAAATTCTCAATTTTAATGAGCTCATGCAAGTTTATGTGGTTTATATCTATAGGATGTTTAAATTAGAAAAGTGTTTCTGCTATATACTTGAAAATGCTATGAAACTATAGTTAATGAATCTCCTTAACTTAGTAAATAATAACACCATCTGCTAGGTTGCTTAACCTAAAAACCCAATAGTTACATTAATTTCTCTTTCTTTCATTTTACCTCAGTCACTCAATCAACAAGTCCTCTGTTACCTACTTCTATCCTGAATCTGCTCTCCATATCCACTCTCACCATCATCTTTCTCTGATCTGTTGCAATACCTCCTATTCAATCCCTCTATTTTTTTACCCTTACCCCTAAACCATCCATCCTCTTTCCAGGAGCAAAGTTATTTTTTCTTAAAACACAGAGAAGATCATGTCACTTCCCTATGTAAAACACTCCAGTAGGTTCCTTATCCCAGTGGCATAAAATCAAGCTTCTTACCTTTATCTAGAAAGCTTTAAACGTATCTGTTATTGGCCCTTTTCTTCGATATTACCTCTTCCCCTTCATCCACATGCCCAGCTACATTGGGCTTTCTTATCTGTTAGGAGACTATTGCATTTGTATAAGTGAGAAACAAGGTGGTGGTAGTGCTGGAGATGGGGAAAAGTAGTCAGTTATGGATCCATTTTGAAGGTAGAGGCAACAGCAATTCCTGGCAAATATATTGTGTTATAAAGGGTTTAAACAGTACTCCAGCGTTTTTCTCCTGAGCAATTAGAAAATGTTGCCATGAATTAAAATGAGAGACATTAAATTTGGGGTCGATTTAGAAGGGAACATTAGGAATGTATTTTCAGAGATACTGAATTTATGATATCTAAGTATTGGATATATGAGCCTGGAGTTCAGCAGACTGAGCCTAGATAAAATTTTGTGAGTTGTTGAAATATACTCGGTATTTAAAGTCATGAAACTCCCTACAGTTACCAATAAAGTGAATATGGATAAAAATGAGAAGTGCCCAAGAACTGAGAGAAAACACTAGAATATTAAGAAGGTTTTGGAGTAAAGAGAAAGAATCTGCAAAGGAGACTGAGATGTGACCATTGAGATAAGATAAGGGTTGGAATCAGCTTCTTCCAAACTCCTGTTAATCTTTTAATTTAACTCGTTAATTTAATCTATTTAAATTTATTTAATCTTTTAATATTAACTCCTGTTAATATTTTGTTCTTCTCCCATGAATAACAAATATTCCTAATGGCATATAGAATGTAGAATCTCTTCCAAGTTTTCAGTTTACTTTACCATCAGAGGAATCCATCAGAGGAATCACTATCTTTAGCAGCCGTTAATCTTATGAAAAGTATTTCTTAAATAAGAAGACTTGAAAATCAGAATTACTCCTTGATCTATGGGCTACAGAATAGATGTTGTGTTAGCAGGCGGGAAAACAACACCAATCTTACACACCTCAATCAGAGCTCTTGAGTAACTAAGTGCAATGTCAATAAGCAGTAATATATCTTTTTATTATACTTTAAGTTCTGGGTTACATGTGCAGAATGTGAAGTTTTGTTACATAAGTATACATACGCCATGGTGGTTTGCTGCACCCATCATCCCATCACCTACATTTGGTATTTCTCCTAATGTTATCCCTCCCCTACACCCCGACCCCCTACAGGCCCCAGTGTGTGATGTTCCCCTCCCTGTGTCCATGTGTTCTTGTTGTTCGACTCCCACTTATGAGTGAGAACATATGGTGTTTGGTTTTCTGAACTTGTGATAGTTTGCTGAGAATGATGGTTTCCAGCTTCATCCATGTCCCTGCAAAGGACATGAACTCATTCTGTTTTATGGGTGCATAGTATTCCATGGTGTATATGTGCCACATTTTCTTAGTCCAGTCTACCATTGATGGACAATTGGGTTGGTTCCAAGTCCTTGCTATTGTGAATAAAGCTGCAATACACATATGTGTACATGTGTCTTTATCATAGAATGATTTATAATCCTTTGGGTATATGCCCAGTAATGGGATTGCTGGGTCAAATGGTATTTCTGGTTCTAGATCCTTGAGAAATCACCACACTGTCTTCCACAATGGTTGAACTAATTTACACTCCCACCAACAGTGTAAAAGCTTTCCTATTTTTCCACAACCTCTGCAGAATCTGTTGTTTCCTGACTTTTTAATGATCACCATTCTAACTGGCATGAGATGGTATCTCATTGTGGTTTTGGTTTGCATTTCTCTAATGACCAGTGATGATGAGCATTTTTTCATATATCTTTTGGCTGCATAAATGTCTTCTTTTGAGAAGTGTCTGTTCATAACCTTTGCCCATTTTTTGATGGGGCTGTTTGCTTTTTTCTTGTAAATTTGTTTAAGTTCTTTGCAGATTCTGGATATTAGCCCTTTGTCAGATGGATAGATTGCAAAAATGTATTCCCACTCTGTAGGTTGCCTGTTCACTCTGATGATAGTTTCTTTTGCTGTGCAGAAGCTCTTTAGTTTAATTAGATCCCATTTGTCAATTTTTGCTTTGTTGCCATTCCTTTTGGTGTTTTAGACATGAAGTCTTTGCCCATGCCTACATCCTGAATGGTATTGCCCAGGTTTTCTTCTAGGATTTTTGTGATCCTAGATCTTACATTTAAGTCTTTGATCCATCTTGAGTTGATTTTTGTATAAGGTGTAAGAAAGGGGTCCAGTTTCAGTTTTCTGCATGTGGTTAGCCAGTTTTCCCAACACCATTTATTAAATAGGGAATCTTTTCCCCATTGCTTGTGTGTGTTGGGTTTGTCAAAGATCAGATGGTATGTGGTGTTATTTCTGAGGCTTCTGTTCTGTTCCGTTGGTCTATGTATTTGTTTTGGTACCAGTACCATGCTGTTTGGTTACTGTACCCTTGTAGTAAACTTTGAAGTCAGGTAACATGATGCGTTCAGCTTTGTTCTTCTTGCCCAGGATTGTCTTGGCTATGTGGGCTCTTTTTTGGTTCCATATGAAGTTTAAAGTAGTTTTTTTTCGAATTCTGTGAAGAAAGTCAGTTGTAGCTTGATGGGGATAGCATTGAATCTATAAATTACTTTGGGCAGTAAGGTCATTTTCACCATATTGATTCTTTCTATCCATGAGCATGGAATGTTTTTCCAAATGTCTGTGTCCTCTTTTATTTCCTTGAGCAGTGGTCTGTACTTCTCCTTGAAGAGGTCCTTCACATTCTTCGTAAGTTGTATTCCTAGGTATTTTATTCTCTTAGTAGCAATTGTGAATGGGAGTTCACTCATGATTTGGCTCTCTGTTTGTCTGTTATTGATGTACAGGAATGCTTGTGATTTTTGCACATTGATTTTGTATCCTGAGACTTTGCTGAATTTGCTTATCAGCTTAAGGAGATTTTGGGCTGAGACGATGGAGTTTTCTAAATATAAAATAATGTCATCAAGCAGTAATATTTTGAAAGGAATCTTTTTTCTATGTAGTAGGTCTCAATAGTGGGCTTAAAATAGTAAACCATGCTGTAAACAGATGTGCTGTCATCTAGGACTTCTTGTTCCATTTATAGATCACAGGCAAAGTAGACTTAGAATAATTATTAAGGGCCCTAGAAGGTCCATAGGACTTCTGGAATATGACTGTTGGCTTTAACTTAAAATCATAAGCTGCATTAGACCCTAACAAGAGAGTCAACCTGTCCTTTAATGATTGGAAGCCAGTCATTGACTTCACCTCTCTAGCTATGAAAATGTCAGATGACATCTTCTTCCACCGTTTTATTCACATTGAAAATCTGGGCCAGGCATGGTGTCTCATGCTTGTAATCCAAGCACTTTGGGAGGCCACAGTGGGCAGATCACCTGAGGTCAGGAGTTTGAGACCAGTCTGGCCAACATGGCAAAACCTTGTCTCTACTAAAAATACAAAAATTAGCCGGGCATGGTGGCATATGCCCGTAATCCCAACTACTTGGGAGGCTGAAGCGGGAGAATATCTTGGACCTGGGAGGCGGAGGTTGCAGTGAGCTGAGATTGCACTCCAGCCTGGGTGACAGAGCAAGACTCTGTCTCAATAATAATAATAATAATAATAATAATAATAATAATAATAATAATAATAAAATGTGTTGTTTTTGTAGCCACTTTCCTCAATTATCTTAGCTGGATATTCTGAATGACTTGCTGCAGCTTCTACGTTAGCATTTGCTGCCTCACTTTGGCTTTTTCTGTTATAGAAATAGTTTCTTTCCTTAAACCTCATGCACCAAACTCTGCTAGCTTCAGACTTTTCTTCTGCAGCTTTCTCACCTCTCTCAGCCTTCATAGAATAGAAGAGATTTAGGGCCTTTCTGTGGATTAGACTTTGGCTAAATGGAATGTTGTGACTGGTTTCATCTTCTATCTAGATCATTAAAACTGCCATCATATCAAAAATAAGGCTCTTTTTCTTTCTTTTCACTCATGTGTTCACTGGCTTAGCACTTTTACTTTCCTTCAAGAACTTTTCCTTTGCATTCACAACTTGGGCTGTTTGGTGCAAGAGGTTCAGATTTTGGCCTGTCTCACCTTTCAACATGTTTTCTTATTAAGCTTAATCATTTCTAGCTTTTGATTTGAAGTGAGAGACACATGACTTCCTTTCACTTGTACACTTAGAGGACATTGTAGGTTTATTAATGAGCCTAATTTCAGTATTGTTGTACCTCAGGAATGGGGAGGCTCATGGGGAGGGAGAGAGATGGAGAACACACATAATATCTAGCAATTAAGTTTATCATCTTTGATGGGTGTGGTTGGTGATGCCTCAAAAACAATTACAATAGTAACATCAAAGGTCACTGAGCAAAGATCATTATAACAGGTATAATATTAATAAGAACATTTGGAATAATGTGAGAATGACGAACATGTGACACAGAGACACAAAGTGAGGATGTGCTACTGGGAAAATGACCCCAATAGTCTTGCTTGATGCAAGGTTGCCACAAACCTTCAATGTTTAAAAAAAAACACAACATCTGTGAAGTGCAATAAAGTAAAGCACAGTAAGACAAGGTATGCCTGTACTTTGTTGAATGCATCGAGCTGTTACTGGCCATATGTAGTTAATCAAGCTAGATTTTCTTTTTTGTTTTAGGATAACTTTACATTTATTTTAGAATATTTATTAACAGGATATTTATCCTCAGGGCCACTCATTTAGGTCATCATTTTGGGAATGAAATAGAGTCCTAGAACTAGAAATAATATTTCAAATATACTAGACCTGCCTCTTCATTACATGGATAGGGAATACAAGCCTCAAAAAGCTGAGGGCCTCTGGTTTTAATTATTTTATGAGAAAGGATTACTCCTATTATTGATAGTGTTTAATACCAGTGCCATGCTATTAAAGTTGTCTCGTCTTGGTACAAAGTTCTACATAGCTGCTCTCAATCTTCTCTCTGCTGGTACATTTTCAAGACTAATTTCTACTAGGATTGCTTGGCTAATTAAATGATAGTGGAAAAACATTTTCCATCATTATGGTTGGAACGGCAACAGTAAATCACCACAAGTACAAATTGGGAACTCTGTCTTAATGTCATTAGGCAAAAGGCTCACAGAAAATTCTTATCAGTCAGACCCCAGTATTTAATGAGTGTACACATCAGCTTGTTCAGAGTAGTGTCCAGAAGAATTTGTTGGAAGCAAGTATCTCTGATACTTTAGTCATGTATGACTTAATATGTGCCAAGGAGAAAGCAGGACATGTATTTCTTCTAAATCTGTGTAGGAAAATATGTACACTTTATGAAATGGAAGCCATTAAGGTGCATTCCATATTTAAAAAGTGATCCATAAATTTTACTCTTTTGCAATCAGTAAATGAGACTCAACAACCAGGAATGTGAATGTGATCAGCATTATTTTAGTTGGGTACAGATAAATGGAGATTATTTTACAAGTGACAGAGTTTTGCATAGTTTTGAAGGATTTGGGGCATGTAATGTAGTGACTTCAGACTGGCTCTCGTGCTAATCCTCACCAGCCTTGATTAAGTCATACCACTTTCAGCAAATTCCTTCACTTCTCTTGTCCTCAACTTACTCATTTTTAAAGTCAGATAGCTGGATCCAGGAATTTTTAATCTCCTAGCTCTGAAACTCTTATCATCTTTATAAAAATGGCGCTTGTCTTATAGACATCAAAGAATATGTATCTCTCCTCTAAGCTACCTCTAGCTATACCAGCTCACATTTCATGTCACTACTAATGAAAAATTACCTTCGTACTTACTTTTTCTCCCAATTTAAACTCATTCTGAAGTGATACACATAAAGCATAGAAACCCAAGCAGACAACCAAGAATACCATCTCAATAGTGGGTTGCAAGAATTTTATCTAGCTTTGCCAAGTGCTATAGGATCATAATGAAAAGAGTGTATATGGTACAGAGAAACTTCTAGAGTGAAAAAAGAGAACCATCACTATTATACTGTTTGGCTAGGAGGAGAGCTGCATAGAAATGCATCTGTCCCCTTCCACAATTTGATTCGCTGTGATAGTATCCTTAGCCTAGGGGAGTTGTGAGGGAGAGCATACAATGGAGGCATAAAGTCCTTCTTCACTCTGGAGCAGCTTATTTGTTTTCTCAAGCCTTAGTAGTGAAATTAATAATTGCCATCCCTGAAGTTCGAGTGTTTGAATGGTCTTAAATTTGAGAAAAGGATGCAGCTCTCGACGGTGATAGAAAAGCTGAGTGTTTGAGGAGAGGGAAAAATAATACCAATTACTCTAAAACTTGAATCTGCTGATTGAAAAGATACCCAGAGGGTAGCAGTATGAATCATATATTGTCCAGTGGCTCCTACCTGTTTCAAAAAGCTTCTAGGGCTTTTATTTTTATCATTTGATTGGAAAAAAAGTTAGATGATTCTCTCTGTTTAATTCAGGCCTAATACAGGTGTGCTTTGGCCTTGGCATGCTCTTTGTAATTTCTTAGTTCTTCGAAAGGTAAGAGAAAGCTTTTCCCTACCATTTTCTCTCTACTATAAATTACCTAGATTAGGAATTATATAAATTTCATAGTGTCTTCTCCAAGATGACTGAAAATTTCCAAGATCTCTGTCATTCCTTGGTTAAATGAGAAGCCAAGGATTTAGGCTATAACTTGATCATAAAAAAATAAAGGAAAAATACTAAAGTAAACATTTTTGTTTGGTTGGTTTTTAATTCATTAATACCTGTATGAATGAGATCAAAATAGAAAAGTTGCATTTCATCTTAGTGAATCTATCTAATCTTTAAAGATGAGACACAAGCCAACATATCAAAGTTAAGAAAAGCATGTATATATATGTTGTGGTGTGAGCAAAGAAGATATAAATAAGTAATTATTTAGTATGTGTTCAAAATCTGGCTGGCACCATAAAGACCCTGCACCCTGCATATGTGTTTACTTACTTGATCCTCACACTAATCCTTTTGGTAGGCAGAATTCTGTTCCCCATGACGTTTGTTTCCTGGAGATCATGCTCATGAATATGCTGTGTATGTGGGAACAAGGGAATTTCTAGATGTAATTAAAGTTACTAATGAATTGACTATATAATAGAAAGATTATCTTGGATTATCCTGGTGGACCCAGTGTAATCATATAAGCACTTAAGAGCACATCTTTCTCTCTGCTGAGGGCAGAAGAAGAAATCAGAGAGACTTGAAGCATTGGGACTCCAAGCACCATGGCTGGCTTGAAGATAGAAGGGAGCAAGTTGAAAGCATGGACAGGAACTGAATTCTGTTAGCCTCCTGAATGAACTGGGAAGCAGGTCTCCCCCAGCTTCCAATACAGAATACAGGATATGCAACACCTTGGTTTCATCCTTGTGAGACTTTACACAGATAACCTTGTTGAGCCACACTGCGCCTGAACTTTTGACTCACTGAAACTGTGAGATAATAAATGAATTTTATTGAAGTTGCTAAGTTTATGGTGATTGTTATGGCAACTATAGATAATGCACACACCTTTATGCAAATATGACTATCTCCATTTTACACATAAAAATGAAATGTAAAGGTATAGCCAATTTATCCCAAGCCACAAAGCTGACATGTAATGGGAACTAAGATCCAGAATTATTTGATTCCAAAGCTTGTGCTGTTTCCACTAAGTGCCTCTCCTAACAGACCGTAAGAGAAAAGCCTTCCCCAATTTAAGAGTGCAAGAAATAAAAATAGATAGGAGATAGCCTGGCAGTCACAGCATATCAATAAAGAAAATATTGGGGAAAGCATGCAGAAGGTTTTTGTTGCCAGTGGAGTCTGTTCTCTCCATATCTGAGAAATAATGGAGACTGGGAGTTCAACTCTTTGAGTCATGGTTGAGAGGTCAGAAAGGATGAGAACGGAGATGAGGTATGGGCCTGGCTGTGAAACAGGTCATTGATACTCTCATCATTTCTGATTTTAGATACCATTCATTAAAATTTGAATACTGTTGATCAATGTGAATGTGATGCGTTTTCCAAGTCTACAAAATTTTAAAGTATGTCTGTATGACTTGCCAGAATAAGGCCGGAGAGTCAATGACTATTGGCTCTTTCTTCTACAGTTTCTAAACTATTTCATCATCACCTCTACAAATGTGCTGCTCCCTTCATTTTTCACCATTGCCCTTTTAAGCAATATGAAAGTAATTACCATTCTACTATATTAATATTCTAACTTTTAATAGGCATTGCTATCCTATTAAGAGCACTTGATAGCTGTTTTTCTTTTCCTGCCACAGGAATAGACAGAAAGTGGGGTTAGGAAAGGATAAGTGGAAAAAAGCAAGAAACCCTGACATCTATTGGGGACATATTGTGTAGAGAATAATTTGGTTACATAATACAGTATTATGAGTGAAAGTTTCATGTTGATACATATAGTTACTATATATTTGGATTTCTTTCCTAAGGTTTCCAGCTATTGCCTCTTCAGTGGATTTGGCCTAATTTATATGTCTGTGTAAAAGACTCTTGATAAATCAAACATTTAAACAAAGATAGAAGAGGAAACCAAAAGTGATGAAAAACAGAGAGTAGGTAACTGTGTCAGGAACTCAAGACTAAAAGAAACTATTAAACCAATCACATTCCTTAGCCCTGAGCCTTCCAGAAGGCAAGGCAACAAGAGAAAATTTAGTACAATCCTTGTAACTTTCTGCATAAACTTATTGTTATTTCCAGACAGTAAGCTTCTTTAGGAATGGAGTAAAATTTACTTAAGAATGTAGTAGTGTAGTCAGAACCCAGATTTTGGTATCAGGAATATCTTGGTCCAAAGTCCAATTCCACAACTTACTGGTTGGATGATTACAAACCTCAGATTCTTTATCTTTAAAAATGGTTCTTACTATTTCTACATAGGATTGAAGTAAGAGTTAAAAAATAATGATGCACGTAAAATGTTTAGGAAACATTTATGTAAGTAAGTGCTCCATAATGTGCATTACTAATTAATTATTAATTAATTAATTATCGAGGAAAAACAGGGGTCTAGTTCCCCTATGGACTGTTTATAGCCTGATATAATTGTTCTTTGATTGTTTAGTAAGCTTTTATTGAATGAATGAATGAATGAATGAATGATTTACTCCGTGTAGCTGTTTTTTGCAGCGTACCAACAGTGTACTGTTTCTTTTCTAACACTGTTAGTTACTATTTCTTTTCTAACAGTGTTAGTGTACTGTTAGTGTACTGTTTCTTTTCAAGAAATACTCCTGAAAGCGGATCTTATGGCCTAGATAAGCGAAAAATAAGATTAAACAAAATTAAAAGATTTCCTTGCCATGGAGTCCTTTATATGCTAATATAAATTATAATTATCAAAGCTTGAGATATTCATATAAAGGTATTTTTCTTTTTATTTGTTTTGTCTTATTTGGGATTTTTACTATAATCTTCTTTCCTTTAATATTTCATAGGCTTATTAATTTGAGGTACTCATTTTAGGAGTTGATGGTCTGTCATGTCTTCTAGCATGAATATTAATAACTTTAATGTTTATCAGTTAGTTAATATTTTCCAGGTGCTGTTCTAACTACCTGTACTAATTCATTTAATTTTCAGAATAATCCAATTAAATAAGAATGTTTTATTTCCAAATTACAGATAGAGAAACTTCATCTCTTGCCCAATGTCACAGAGTTAAGTAGCTAGGCTGGGATTTGGACCAAAGTTCTCTTAGTGGTGTACATAGAGTACTTAAAACATTGATGAAGATCATTTTTTAAACACTCCCATTCTTTGTCTGAAAAAATTATTTTCAGTAAGTAAGTCTCATGAAATAATAATGATACTTGCTCAATTCATTCTTTAATTTTAGAACAAATATTTTGAGAGAATATTAAATGTGAACTTTATTTAAGCTGAGTAAAATAGCTAATGTATGAGATAAAATTTGCACTTACCAAACAAAAATATGACTTCTTGCAGTTCTCACTTGGCTTTACTGTTTAAAAAATTTTAAAACACATACACACAAAATACCAACTAGTTATATAGAATGATAGAGTTCAGGTGATTCAAGATTGGTTACTTTCTTTTCATAATTATTGTGCCATTATTATTTATTTGGAATCTACTGTTTAGACTAAAGAATATTTATTACCACAAGGGATAAAGCCCAAAATAATGTCCTCAGCAAATTTAAACAATTTTGAATCCTTAGATAATTATTTAAAAAAGGAATACATATAGCTGCATCCAAACGAATAAGAGGCCAACTATATAACTTAGAATTCTCTGTATTAATTTCCACCTAGAATACATTATTAAAGGATATATAACATAAATGTATTAATTTGAAGCATACATATAATTAATAAAACTTGGTGAAACCTGTAGCAACTGTTTAAAACTTAGTTGAATGAAAAGTGTTTTCAGGGAGGAGTATCTTATTATGGAAATTGTTTAGAATAATCCATACATGGGGATACATTAATAAAAAGACCAACTTTTATATGGTTTTCTTACTGTTTTAGATTGTCTGCAGACAATGTGTCTGCCTTTTTGCCTGCACCAGGTCAGATGGCTTCTACCACACCACCCTTGGGATGCCACTCTTTTGGGACCATGGAAGTAACCACCCTGAAATTTTTACTGACTCTCATGAAATAAGAAACCATATTTTAATCAAGTTCAGTTATATTTTAATACAGACCTTTACTAAATATTTGCTACACTGATGCAAATTTGTTAATTAATGTCTTATGAAAAGTTCTTTTTTTCTGTTGGAAGCTTTACGTGGCAGCATCATTCCTATTTTCTTCCCATCACTCTCTTTATACTACCATACCTTTTGCTGAGAGCATTCTCCCTAGGCTGGCATTTGAACCTCTCTGAATATTGCCCCTCACATGGGCATGCAAAATGTAACAGCGTGCCACTTCCTAGAACCAGTTTGTCCCACCACGATGTACAAGAAATAAAAAGCTGGTAAAGGACATCATAAAGAAGCTGTTGCATTTACATTTTAAGATTATACTTTGTAGTTTAGTAGATTCTTAGCTTTGATTAAACCTTATTTCAACTTCTTCTAGTTTAGATATGTAAGCCTGAAGTCAGTTTGTGTCCTCATTTGTACAGTTTATAGATGACTAAAAACTTTCTCCTCCTAAAGCTTTAGAAATTCTCAAAAACTTTTGATCACTTCTGTTTCCATGCTTTTATGCCTGCTATGTGTACATTACATTGTCTCTTTTTTGATTCTCATATGGTAAAATAAAAGGGAGAGAGGGCGGGAGGGACAGAGGGTGGAAAGGAGGAAGAAAGGAGGGAGAAGACAGAAAGAGAGAAATTAAAAAGTATTTTCTCATAAAGATGATTTACCCAAATGTTAGGAACAAGCACAGGAAAGGCTTATATTCACACCCCACTGTGTGTAACATTAAGAACCAATCTTTTATATGCCTATTATCTCTAGTCACATGTGCACTTACATCTTCCATATGATCCCTGTCTCATTTCTACACTCCATTTTTAGGATACCTTCTCCAACTTTCCATACACTTTAAGGAGCAGTATAATCTTTATCCTGTCTCATATGTAGACGTTTTATTTTCTTTTATTCTAAGTTACCATCAAGACATATATTCTTAGAAAGTCACTTCACTTTCTAAAAGCCATTCTGGGTAGTAAAAAAGACTTTACAACTTTGTGTATATGTAGAACATTTTAATCAGCATGAATGATAAAGCAGCATTAATAGATTGCAGTGGACCACATTCTAGTCTCTAAGTTAATTAAACTTCATTCAGAAGGCAAAATAGTGGATTTTTTTTTTTGCTTTATAGCAATTTGCCTGGCCAATCTAATCTGGGTTTGAGGATGTTTTAGAAAGAAGATACAATGTATTAGGGTGAGGATATTTTAGAAAGATGATAAAATGTATTAGGGATATACTTTCCAGTCTAGACTTTAAACTCTCATTATGAATGATACAAGTAAATTTCAACCAAATTTTTGACATGGGCCAAGAAATGACTATATAAATTTTAACATAATTAAGTTTAGGTACTCAAAACCAATACAATTTGATAATTCAATATAGTAGAAATAGTGTGAAAATCAGAAGAATGACTCATAAGAACTGAGATTCAACTGCAGTATAATGTGATGTTTCACTTTATGTCTGACATGGAAGAGCTTCAGACTTTATCAGTTCATGGAAAAACTGAAAGTTTTTAGGTAGTGATTATGGAGACTAAAAAGTGAAAATATTAGGTTGTTGCATTAAAAGTAATGGCAAAAACTGCAATTACTTTTGCACCATTATAATATCAAATTAAGTTGATTACCTTTAAACAGAAATGATTGAGTAGTTTTGCTGGAAACCACATGACACCATTCAGTAGACTCATTTAACATTCTTGGTCTTTGCTAAAGTTAGAAAGTTAAATCTCCCTAAATTATTCCAAGGAGGGAAGCAGGGATTTGAAATTATTTATCAAGCCCATGAGATGTCTCTGTCTAAACCAATATTATAAAATCTTTTTTACTTTATCTAAATTTGGCCAAATGTTCAATTTTATTAAAACTATCTGTAGAGTTAAAGAATACAGGGAGAGGTTATAATCTTTTTTAAATTTAGAAAAGTAAACTTAACAGGACTTTTTTTCTGCTATTGAATATTTACATGATTTCAAACAACAGTTAGATTTTTTAAAAGAAATAGAAGTTTTAGATAATAACAATCTATGTTTTTGTCCTCAGACTTGAGTGTGGATTTTAACAAACCTAACTATGACAATCCAACTTAACATCTGCTCATATTGACAAGATAATTATAATGTACATTATCATTATAGTGTTTTGGGTTTATCAGTCATTTTTATTATTTCACAGACATCCAGATTATTTGGCTTAACTGACATGTTGGGTTTGCCCTGTCACATGTGTTTTTTGTTTTTAACAATGTTATTTTGTGAAATACATATTTCTCTAAAGAATTCTCCAATTGTCAGTGGGAAAAATTAGGAAATGACCATTTATAAAGTATTCTGGCAATTTAATTTAGGAAAATTTTTCTTTTGAATTTAGGAAAATTGACTCCTTTCCCCATCTTCATCTTTTTTCCCAGTGGTTCAATGATTGGAATGAGAGACATTTTCAACCTTTTATAAGACTTCTAATTTGTATTCCAAGCCTCTGCAGTCTTTCAGTCATAAAAAATTCATTAAGGTTTTATGATGCTAACATTGAAAATGTCATAGTTGTTTTCTTTTAGAAAATTTTTATGTACAGCTTTGTTAATGTACATATGACATACGTACACATATGCATTTTTGGCTGTAAATTTGATCCTGGGAGAGCAGCTTTTTAAATTCAAATAGATAGTCAAATGCCTTTCAATATACTTGTTCTTTACCTGTATTATGGTCACATAGAGAAAATGATGAATTATATATGTCACATGGAGTGAATATCATCTTTTTAATTTTTATCAATGTTTGATTTTTTTTACTTTGGAAACCTTATTGTGGAATAAGCTGCTAAAAAGTTAGCTGTTATATAATAGAATTATTTAAGTAGATTTGTGATTCACCTTTTATTCTTCCATTTTCCAATCTTGTTAGTTATCTAACTCTTCAAGTCAAGTGAGAATTTTTTTGGTTGCTGATATGTGATGTGACTCATAAATGAAGAGGGATACTCTTCCCCATAAGAACTATTTATACCCTCTTTTTGGAACTATCAACAACCCTGGCCCTATTAAATGCTCATTCGATTGAGAAAAAGAATTTATGTTTTCGTATTTGAGGAATTTTCAATTCTCTGTGTTGGTGGCATTGCAGTAATAAGTGGATTTCAGTAGTTCCAGTGATATGTGTGTTTGAGAGCAGAGACCCTCCCTGTCTCACTCATCATTGTCTCCCTAGGGTCTGACATCATGCCTGATTCATGACTAACATAAAAATAGATCTGTTGAATCAATCTTTTAATCAAAATGCACAATTCAATAACCTCTGTTACCATTAATACAATCTACATGCACCTACTCCACGGATGTGTGAGAGTTTATTGTTACCAAAAATTCTTTAAGAATGCTTAGTGTTAAAATATTTTCCTGAATAGATTATAATTTTTTCAAAAACTTAAGTACAAGAGAAAGCACTTCATTCTACACATATTTTAAATATCTGATGGTTTACAGTTCATCAAATTCATAAAGTGCCTCATAATGAATTTTATTGTATATTACTTTATAATTAAGTATGAGCGATGGGACAAGTCTGTGCGGATTCCATAATATATACAGTAGAAGTACTTTTTTAAAAAAATTTTTTTGCTTATTTGTTCATCATTTATCTTTCTGAAAAAGGTTCTGTGAAAAAAAATGTTCCTGTTGCTAATTTTTGTATAGTTACTTTGGAATCCCTATAGATTCACTGTGTATGTTTTGATTGAATGGAAACTTATTAAATTGACAATACTTGATGGATATTGAAAAACAGCAGTTACTTATGGTTCAGCATTTATATATATATATATATATAATATAATACCATGGGTATTTATTGATGGACCTCTACTATGTGTTGACACTCAATGTATGTCTTCTCATTTCATGATGCCCTCAACTCCCTGAGATATAGGTACTTTCTCATTTTCATTTGATAGAGGAACTAACAGGATCACATGCCAAGACTAGCTTGGTTGGGGAGACCCTAACCCAGCGGCACTAGAGGATTAAAGACACACACACAGAAATATAGCTTGTGGAGTGGGAAATCAGGGGACTCACAGCCTTCAGAGCTGAGAGCCCCAAACAGAGATTTACCCACATACTTATTGACAGCAAGCCAGTGATAAACATTGTTTCTATAGATTATAGATTAACTAAAAGTATTCCTTATGGGAAACAAAGGGATGGGCCGAAACAAAGGGATGGGCTCTGGCTAGTTATATGCAACAGGAACATGTCCTTAAGGCACAGATCGCTCATGCTATTGTTTGTGGCTTAAGAATGCCTTTAAGCAGTTTTCTGCCCTGGGTGGGCCAGGTGTTCCTTGCCCTCATTCCTGTAAACCCACAACCTTCAGTGTGGGCATCATGGCCATCACAAACATGTCACAATGCTGCAGAGATTTTGTTTATGGCCAGTTTTGGGACCAGTTTATGGGCAGATTTGGGGGCCTATCCCCAGCAGTCACACACTCAGTAAACTGTGACATTGAGATTTGAACACTAGAAGTCTGAGTCCAGAGCCCGCAGGCTGTTAGCCATTATGCTATTCTGTCTCTCATAATGAAGTAATTATTAGCAAATTAATTATCTGGCATACTCAATATATCTCTATCATGATTGATTACTATTCATTAGGGTGAATATACCTTCTAGAGGATTTGTATTCTATGTAAATATTGATTGAGGATGAAGCCTAACTGAAAAGATTTTAAAGTGCATTATCTCTTCTGATAGGAAATAACACTGTAATATATTAGGATTTTAATCAATAATGTAAGTGTAAACATGACATTGATTTATTTGTTAATGGTTATCCTTTCCTCATGGATTTTTAGCCTCAAATTGGCTCCTAAATTCACGCCTCTTTGTGATATGTGGAGAGGGTATACAGTGTATACCTTCATTTTCCTCTCTAAAAATTTATTTAATAATCCATGTAGTCAACTTGTAGGATACCTCTTTTCATACTCTTAAAATATGAAACGAATGTAGGAATGAAAGAAGAAAAAATGTTGGGTAGGGACTTTGGTAAAAAGAAATGCTAGTCTGAGAATAAATAGATTTCAAAGGACCTCTTCTCCCTATTTAAATGTAGTACAAGACTAAAGAGAAAATTGTAATCATCTTGACATGAAAATCAAATGAACAAATAAGCATCAATAACGTATATCTAAATACATTTCGTAAAGTAAAGTTATTGGGGATAGCATGGTTGCCAACGACCCATTTGTGCTTTCAGCAGTTTCTCATTATATGGAATACATCACCTATATTTTTTGCAACAGAATTATCCAAAGCCTTTTTCAAACCCAACTGTTTGGTCTTAATAAATATACATGAAAATTTCTAAGAAAAGGCCTAAGGTCACCTTCTTTTTTTTATTATTATTATTATACTTTAAGTTTTAGGGTACATGTGCACAATGTGCAGGTTAGTTACACATGTATATATCTGCCATGCTGGTGTGCTGCACCCATTAACTCATCATTTAGCATTAGGTATATCTCCTAATGCTATCCCTCCTCCCTCCCCCCACCCCACAACAGTCCCCAGAGTATGATGTTCCCCTTCGTGTGTCCATGTGTTCTCATTGTTCAATTCCCATCTATGAGTGAGAACATGCAGTGTTTGGTTTTTTGTCCTTGTGATAGTTTGCTGAGAATGATGATTTCCAATTTCATCCATGTCCCTACAAAGGACATGAACTCATCATTTTTTATGGTTGCATAGCATTCCATGGTGTATATGTGCCACATTTTCTTAATCCAGTCTATCATTGTTGGACATTTGGGTTGGTTCCAAGACTTTGCTATTGTGAATAGTGCCACAATAAACATATGTGTGCATGTGTCTTTATAGCAGCATAATTTATAGTCCTTTGGGTATATACCCAGTAACGGGATGGCTGGGTCAAATGGTATTTCTAGTTCTAGATCCCTGAGGAATCACCACACTGACTTCCACAATGGTTGAACTAGTTTACAGTCCCACCAACAGTGTAAAAGTGTTCCTATTTCTCCACATCCTCTCCAGCATGTGTTGTTTCCTGACTTTTTAATGATTGCCATCCTAACTGGTGTGAGATGGTATCTCATTGTGGTTTTGATTTGCATTTCTCTGATGGCCAGTGATGGTGAGCATTTTTTCATGTGTCTGTTGGCTGCATAAATGTCTTCTTTTGAGAAGTGTCTGTTCATATCCTTTGCCCACTTTTTGATGGGGTTGTTTGCTTTTTTCTTGTAAATTTGTTTGAGTTCATTGTAGATTCTGGATATTAGCCCTTTTTCAGATGAGTAGGTTGCGAAAATTTTCTCCCATTTTGTAGGTTACCTGTTCACTCTGATGGTAGTTTCTTTTGCTGTGCAGAAGCTCTTTAGTTTAATTAGATCCCATTTGTCAATTTTGGCTTTTGTTGCCATTGCTTTTGGTGTTTTAGACATGAAGTCCTTGCCCATGCCTATGTCCTGAATGGTAATGCCTAGGTTTTCTTCTAGGGTTTTTATGGTTTTAGGTCTAACATTTAAGTCTTTAATCCATCTTGAATTAATTTTTGTATAAGGTATAAGGAAGGGATCCAGTTTCAGCTTTCTACGTATGGCTAGCCAGTTTTCCCAGCACCATTTATTAAATAGGAAATCCTTTCCCCATTGCTTGTTTTTCTCAGGTTTGTCAAATATCAGATAGTTGTAGATATGTGGCATTATTTCTGAGGGCTCTGTTCTGTTCCATTGATCATATCTCTGTTTTGGTATCAGTACCATGCTGTTTTGGTTACTGCAGCCTTGTAGTATAGTTTGAAGTCAGGTAGCATGATGCCTCCAGCTTTGTTCTTTTGGCTTAGGATTGACTTGGCAATGAGGGCTCTTTTTTGGTTCCATATGAACTTTAAAGTAGTTTTTTCCAATTCTGTGAAGAAAGTCATTGGTAGCTTGATGGGGATGGCATTGAATCTATAAATTACCTTGGGCAGGATGGCCGTTTTCACAATATTGATTCTTCCTACCCATGAGCATGGAATGTTCTTCCATTTCTTTGTATCCTCTTTTATTTCATTGAGCAGTGGTTTGTAGTTCTCCTTGAAGAGGTCCTTCACATCCCTTGTAAGTTGGATTCCTAGGTATTTTATTCTCTTTGAAGCAATTGTGAATGGGAGTTCACTCATGATTTGGCTCTCTGTCTGTTATTGGTGTATAAGAACGTTTGTGATTTTTGTACATTGGTTTTGTATCCTGAGACTTTGCTGAAGTTGCTTATCAGCTTAAGGAGTTTTTGGGCTGAGACAATGGGGTTTTCTAGATATACAATCATGTCGTCTGCAAACAGGGACAATTTGACTTCCTCTTTTCCTAATTGAATACCCTTTATTTCCTTCTCCTGCCTAATTGCCCTGGCCAGAACTTCCAATACTGTGTTGAATAGGAGTGGTGAGAGAGGGCATCCCTGTCTTGTGCCAGTTTTCAAAGGGAATGCTTCCAGTTTTTGCCCATTCAGTATGATATTGGCTGTGGGTTTGTCCTAGATAGCTCTTATTATTTTGAGATACATCCCATCAATACCTAATTTCTTGAGAGTTTTTAGCATGAAGGGTTGTTGAATTTTGTCAAAGGCCTTTTCTGCATCTATTGAGATAATCATGTGGTTTTTGTCTTTGGTTCTGTTTATATGCTGGATTACATTTATTGATTTGCATATATTGAACCAGCCTTGCATCCCAGGGATGAAGCCCACTTGATTATGGTGGATAAGCTTTTTGATGTGTTGCTGGATTCGGTTTGCCAGTATTTTATTGAGGATTTTTGCATCAATGTTCATCAAGGAAATTGGTCTGAAATTCTCTTTTTTGGTTGTGTCTCTGCCAGGCTTTGGAATCAGGATGATGCTGGCTTCATAAAATGAGTTAGGGAGGATTCCCTCTTTTTCTATTGATTGGAATAGTTTCAGAAGGAATGGTACCAGTTCCTCCTTGTACCTCTGGTGGAATTCTGCTGTGAATCCATCTGGTCCTGGACTCTTTTTGGTTGGTAAGCTATTGATAATTGCCACAATTTAAGAGCCTGTTATTGGTCTATTCAGAGATTCAACTTCTTCCTGGTTTAGTCTTGGGAGAATGTATGTGTCGAGGGATTTACCATTTCTTCTAGATTTTCTAGTTTATTTGCGTAGAGGTGTTTGTAGTATTCTCTGATGGTAATTTGTATTTCTGTGGGATCAGTGGTGATATCCCCTTTATCATTTTTTATTGCATCTATTTGATTCTTCTCTCTTTTTTCTTTATTAGTCTTGCTAGCGGTCTATCAATTTTGTTGATCCTTTCAAAAAACCAGCTCCTGGATTCATTAATTTTTTGAGGGTTTTTATTTGTCTCTATTTCCTTCAGTTCTGCTCTCATTTTAGTCATTTCTTGCCTTCTGCTAGCTTTTGAATGTGTTTGCTCTTGCTTTTCCAGTTCTTTTAATTGTGATGTTAGGGTGTCAATTTTGGATCTTTCCTGCTTTCTCTTGTGGGCATTTAGTGCTATAAATTTCCCTCTACACACTGCCTTGAATGCGTCCCAGAGATTCTGGTATGTTGTGTCTTTGTTCTCATTGGTTTCAAAGAACATCTTTATTTCTGCCTTCATTTCTTTATGTACCCAGTAGTCATTCAGGAGCAGGTTGTTCAGTTTCCATGTAGTTCAGCGGTTTTGAGTGAGTTTCTTAATCCTGAGTTCTAGTTTGATTGCACTGTGGTCTGAGAGACAATTTGTTATAATTTCTGTTCTTTTACATTTGCTGAGGAGAGCTTTACTTCCAAGTATGTGGTCAATTTTGGAATAGGTGTGGTGTGGTGCTGAAAAAAATGTATATTCTGTTGATTTGGGGTGGAGAGTTCTATAGATGTCTATTAGGTCTGCTTGGTGCAGAGCTGAGTTCAATTCCTGGGTATCCTTGTTAACTTTTTGTCTCGTTGATCTGTCTAATGTTGACAGTGGGGTGTTAAAGTCTCCCATTATTATTGTGTGGGAGTCTAAGTCTCTTTGTAGGTCACTCAGGACTTGCTTTATGAATCTGGGTGCTCCTGTATTGGGTGCCTATATATTTAGGATAGTTAGCTCTTCTTGTTGAATTGATCCCTTTACCATTATGTAATGGCCTTCTTTGTCTCTGTTGATCTTTGTTGGTTTAAAGCCTGTTTTATCAGAGACTAGGATTGCAACCCCTGCCTTTTTTTGTTTTCCATTTGCTTGGTAGATCTTCCTCCATCCTTTTATTTTGAGCCTATGTGTGTCTCTGCACGTGAGATGGGTTTCCTGAATACAGCACACTGATGGGTCTTGACTCTTTATCCAATTTGCCAGTCTGTGTCTTTTAATTGGAGCATTTAGTCCATTTACATTTAAAGTTAATATTGTTATGTGTGAATTTCATCCTGTCATTATGTTGTTAGCTGGTTATTTTGCTCGTTAGTTGATGCAGTTTCTTCCTAGACTCGATGATCTTTACATTTTGGCATGTTTTTGCAGTGGCTGGTACCAGTTGTTCCTTTCCATGTTTACTGCTTCCTTCAGGAGCTCTTGTAAGGCAGGCCTGGTGGTGACAAAATCTCTCAGCATTTGCTTGTCTGTAAAGTATTTTATTTCTCCTTCACTTATGAAGCTTAGTTTGGCTGGATATGAAATTCTGGGTTGAAAATTCTTTTCTTTAAGAATGTTGAATATTGGCCCCCACTCTCTTCTGGCTTGTAGAGTTTCTGCTGAGAGATCCGCTGTTAGTCTGATGGGCTTCCCTTTGTGGGTAACCCAACCTTTCTCTCTGGCTGCTCTTAACATTTTTTCCTTCATTTCAACTTTGGTGAATCTGACAATTATGTGTCTTGGAGTTGCTCTTCTCGAGGAGTATCTTGGTGGCGTTCTCTGTATTTCCTGAATCTGAATGTTGGCCTGCCTTGCTAGATTGGAGAAGTTCTCCTGGATAATATCCTGCAGAGTGTTTTCCAACTTGGTTCCATTCTCCCTGTCACTTTCAGGTACACCAATCAGATGTAGATTTGGTCTTTTCACATAGTCCCATATTTCTTGGAGGCTTTGTTCATTTCTTTTTATTCTTTTTTCTCTAAACTTCCCTTCTCACTTCATTTCATTCATTTCATCTTCCATGGCTGATACCCTTTCTTCCAGTTGATTGCGTCGGCTCCTGAGGCTTCTGCATTCTTCACGTAGTTCTCGAGCCTTGGCTTTCAGCTCCATCAGCTCCTTTAAGCACTTCTCTGTATTGGTTATTCTAGTTATACATTTGTCTACATTTTTTTCAAAGTTTTTAACTTCTTTGCCTTTGGTTTGAATTTCCTCCTGTAGCTCGGAGTAGTTTGATCATCTGAAGCCCTCTTCTCTCAACTCGTCAAAGTCATTCTCCATCCAGCTTTGTTCCATTGCTGGTGAGGAACTACATTCCTTTGGAGGAGGAGAGGTGCTCTGCTTTTTAGAGTTTCCGGTTTTTCTGCTCTGTTTTTTCCCCATCTTTGTGGTTTTATCTACTTTTGGTCTTTGATGATGGTGATGTACAGATGGGTTTTTGGTGTGGATGTCCTTTCTGTTTGTTAGTTTTCCTTCTAACATACAGTACCCTCAGCTGCAGTTCTGTTGGAGTTTGCTAGAGGTCCACTCCAGACCCTGTTTGCCTGGGTGTCAGCAGCGGTGTCTGCAGAACAGCGGATTTTCGTGAACCGTGAATGCTGCTGTCTGATCGTTCCTCTGGAAGTTTTGTCTCAGAGGAGTACCCGGCCGTGTGAGGTGTCAGTCTGCCCCTACTGGGGGGTGCCTCCTAGTTAGTCTGCTCAGGGGTCAGGAGTCAGGGACCCACTTGAGGAGGCAGTCTGCCCGTTCTCAGATCTCCAGCTGCGTGCTGGGAGAACCACTGCTCTCTTCAAAGCTGTCAGACAGGGACATTTAAATCTGCAGAGGTTACTCCTATCTTTTTGTTTGTCTGTGCCCTGCCCCCAGAGGTGGAGCCTACAGAGGCAGGCAGGCCTCCTTGAGCTGTGGTGGGCTCCACCCAGTTCAAGCTTCCCAGCTGCTTTGTTTACCTAAGCAAGCCTGGGCAATGGCATGCACCCCTCCCCCAGCCTCGCTGCTGCCTTGCAGTTTGATCTCAGACTGCTGTGCTAGCTAGCAATCAGCAAGACTCCATGGGTGTAGGACCCTCCGAGCCATGTGCGGGATATAATCTCCTGGTGTGCCATTTCCTAAGCCCATCGGAAAAGAGCAGTATTCGGGGGGGAGTGACCCGATTTTCCAGGTGCCCTCTGTCACCCCTTTCCTTGACCAGGAAAGGGAACTCCCTGACCCCTTGCGCTTCCCGAGTGAGGCAATGCCTCGCCTTGCTTCGGCTCACACACGGTGCACTGCACCCGCTGTCCTGCGCCCACTGTCTGGCACTCCCTAGTGAGATGAACCCGTTACCTCAGATGGAAATGAAGAAATCTCCTGTCTTCTTAGGTTGCCTTCTGGGACTTTATAATGTAATGCTGACACTCTGATGAGCCTAGAAAACTGCCCTAATGTGAAACAAATAAGAAAATACAATTCCAACTCTAGTTGCTCTATTAAGTGATTTAAATTGTATAATGGTTAAGTCATAAAAAAGTACTAAATTCTGACCCAAATATTAGGGTAAGCTAATATTTTTAAAAAATTCTATAAAGAATAGCTAATATTCAAAGTTTCAATTTTGAACTTAAAGATTACAGGAAGAGGTGGTTCTTCTTTATTATTTAGGACTAATAACAATTATTTGTTGAGTTCTTAATGTGTGCTTGATACAATTTAAAGCACCTTTTCATTGCTAATTAATCTAATCTCTGTAATTATTCCTTGAGATAGAAGCTGATATTATGTGAATCTTACAGATGAGAAAATTTAGGCAAAAGGAGATAACTTACTTTGAGTTATTAAGTTATTGAGGCACAGTCAAATGTGACCACATATCCCTGTCACTGGGGAACAGTGGGAGATTGGAGGTAGTTCCTGGCAAGGAAAATAAATTTTAATTTATGTCATACCTGCAGGAACAACATGGAGAGCTTTCTTTGGAATTCCTTAGGGTCCTTCTAAGGAAAGAGTACAGCTGCCTTTGGATATTTGAATTGGTTGGATGTTGGAAGCATGTTGATGAATAAATGTTTCTACTTCCTATCTCAGTGGCAAATTCAGCTTCATGTGTCACTTGAAGACTGTTGACTAGGGATGCATTTTAAGCCATCACTAATCCTAATAACAGCTTTCCATATTTTAAAACCATTTTTTTCCAAAATTGGTATTGTTCTGCCACCTGTAGCTCTCCTATTCTTTCCTGTTCTTTCCTGTATTTCCATTTATTTCCCTTCTACTCTTAACTATTCTCT
The DNA here is from genome assembly GCF_000001405.40 of Homo sapiens. Classification (NCBI taxonomy): domain Eukaryota; kingdom Metazoa; phylum Chordata; class Mammalia; order Primates; family Hominidae; genus Homo; species Homo sapiens. The sequence continues at coordinate 44,263,552 of NC_000004.12, read as the reverse complement.
TCTTTCTAACATCAAACAAAATACTAAATTGTATAATAATCCATCTGTAGACAATACAAATGCAGTGTTTAAATCTGGGTTTAAAAGGCTTAATGCAACAGCAAACGATTAAGAAGTAGCCATTTTTAGGCCTAAAACATCAGTCTTTTCTCCCAGAGGCAACCTCATTAAGTATTGATTCAATGTCATGACAACATTGGTGTTCCTTTTATTCTCTTTGAAAGAACCCAGAGATATGATCATGGTTTGTGTAACCAGTATTCTTTGAAAAACAAAACAGATTAGTTCCTTCATCTACCTAGATTTTCAACACAGAAATCCATGTTAACTAGAAAAGAGAAAGTTTTTAGGCATAAACTTGCTGTTATGCCTATAATGTGACAAAATGAAGATTATAAAAATATAAAAAGAAAAAGAAAAAATACCATATGCTTTCCGTTGCTGCAGTGGGAGAGGAAAGAATATGTGAGAGTGAAATTTAGACTTGTCATGGGCAGAGGGAAAACATTTACACAAAATTCTCATATAGGAAGCAGCCCCCTGCCCTAAGCTGATCTTCTATTATGATAATTCAACATATGTTTCATTTCATAATACTAGCGATTCTACTTTGCTCTAGTTTTCATACCAATTACAATAACATCAGAAAGTCTCATTTTGAAATTTGAAAGATACCCTTGAGAGTACAGAATATTAATTTTTGAATATGCTGTTACATTATTCAATGGGGAGTAAATTTCTGGGCCATGTTTCATTATTCTACCTGTGTGCAGCTATCTTTAGTAACAAGGCATCCCACTTAATTAAATATTTTTTAAAACCCAATGAGGGAGAAACATAACCATTTTGGAAATTAATTTTCTAGAACTATAACAGTTATTTTATTCCCCTTAAGACATTAACAAAAAGATAATTCAAATGAAATTTAATGCATACTTTTAGAGGTTTTCTCATTAAAGGCAAAATAACAAATTCTACTTGTCATTGGTTTAGTTTTAAATAAATATAATGCTTTTTTTCCCTCACTCCAAGGTACAGGTGACTTATACGAAGAATATATTCTATCTTAAGTAATTGATATGTCCTTATATATTTTTAATGTCTTTTATTGCCTTTTCAGAGATTTTGCTCATGTCGTTATTTTCTCATTTTTCTTTGTCAACAATTTTCTCTCTTGGATCATTACCATGGAGAGAGTAGGGTAGTGGGGCTTATATCTCTCTCACAATGGGTCCATTTGTTTTGGTTGAGAAAATACTTTGAAATATCTATTTCCTCATCTCTCATTCACTCTTGGACCCACTGTAATCAAGCATCCTTCCCCATCCCTCTACTGAAAACTCTAGTCACAGTCTTGTCAAAGTGACCTGTGACTTTCTTATTGTGAAACCCAGTGGATAATTGTTCATATGTTAATCTTGAGAAACCGTTTGACAGAACTGTTCACTTCTTTTTCTTGAATTACTTTCTTCCCTTGGTCTCTAGGTCTCTTGTTCTTCTATTTCAATATTACTTCAGCTCAGTCTCCATTATTGGGTCCTCCTCATCTTTCTAACATTGAAATTTGAAGTGCCCCAGGGCTTGGGACTCAATTCTGAGGCCTCTCCTCTCTTATTTTATTTTTAATTGACAACTAAAAATTATATATATTCAAGATGTACAATGTGATTATTTGATATGCATATGCATTGTGAAATGGTCACCACATTCAAATCAATTAACACATTCACTGTCATATACAATTCCTATTTTCTTATAATGAAATATTATTCAGCCATAAAAAAGAAAGAAATCCTGCCATTTGTGATAGGATTGAACCTGGAGGATATTATGTTAAGTAAAATAAGCCAGACACAGAATGACACATACTGTATGATCTCACTTATTTATGGAATCTATAAAAGTCAAACTATAAAAGCAGAGAGTAGAACAGTGTTTGCCAGGGGTTGGGGGTATGAGAAATGTGGAAATGTTGGTCAAAATTTACAAACTTTCAATTATAGGAAGAATAAGTTCTGGGAATCTAATGTATAGCATGATGACTATAGTTAGTAGTACTATATTGTTTATGTGAAATATTCTGAAAATAGATGTCGATACCTCTTCTCCTCTATTTACACTAACTTCCTAGGTGACCAAATCTATCCCCATGAGGTTATATAACATATATACTCTGATTATGGCTAAATTTTGATTTTCAGAACCAAACTTGCTGCTGAAATTAAGACTTGAGTTTTCAACTCCGTACTGAAATCTTCACTGGATATCTCACAGGAATTTAACACTTAATGCATCCAAGGCCAAACACTTCATTTTTTCCTCCCAAATCTCTTCCTCCTCCAGTTTACCCCAACTTAGTGAACACTACCATTAGTTCACCAGTTTCTCAGGACAAAAATCTTGCCACCGTCCTTCATTCTTGTGCTTTTGTCTCTTACATCTCATATGCAAACCATTAGAAATTCTACTAACTGTACCTTCAAAGTAGAGCTGAAGTCTTACCACTTCTAATCCCCACCACGAAGACCATAGTTTAAATGACTTTCATCTTTTACACACATTTATTACGTTACTTTCATCTTTTACATCTTTTTAACTCAATAGGTTCTAGCTCATCTCCCTGCTTTAAGTCTTACTTCACTGAAGTCTGTTTATCACACAGCAACCGGAGTAATATTTTTAAGAACCAAACTCATACCATACCACTCCCTTGCTCTTAACTTTCCAATGATTTCCATCTCACTTAGAATTTAACCCTAAATTTTTGTTGTGGCTGCTGTGATCCAACCCCTGGATAGCTCTCATGAATTGTTTTCCATTACTCTTCTCCTTATTGACTTAACTCCAGCCACCTTGATCTTTTTGTTGTTTTTGAAAATTCTAAACGTGATGACATTGCAGGCTCTTTGCTCTTTGGGGTTGTTGAGATGGAGAACTTTTCTTGCAGATATTTGCATGGCTTAACTCTCATTTCGTTCATGCCTTTGCTAAAATGACTGCACCTCAAAGAACATTCTGTGACCACCCTATCTTAAGTGATATCTCTCCCCACTCTGTTCCCTTACTCTGACTTATTTTTTCTTCAATGTTTTTATCAAGTACCTAACATTATATTTTATATACTTTTGTTTATTATTTTGTTGTTCTCAACTTTTTTTGCCTGGAAGGTAAATCCCTTGAAAGCACTTTTCCTGTTTTGCTCGTTGCTCAATCTCCAGTACCTAGAACATAGTAGGTGATCAGTTCACATATGTTGAATAAATTATTATTATCACTTTCATATTCCTCCTCCTTTCCTATCCTAGAATATTTCCTAGAAAATATCACATATATTTCCTAGAAGATATTCAAGATATTTTCTGATTGTACCCTACTTACTTTCTATTAATTTTAATAATTGTTTTTTTTTCATTTTAGCATAAAATACTTCCATTTGATGTTCTCATTTTGCTTGTGACAAGTTTAGCATTTTTGAAGTTCAAAGACTAGTATACAATTCATTGTTTTCATTTTCTGCCTGCCTTCCTAACACCTAAATGACTTGTGGAAAGCAGAATTATATGTAAAAAATAGTCTCCCTGTCACATTTAAACCTATGATATATAATTGAACATGTAATCATATTTTCAAAATGTTCAATTTGTAGCAATTGGAGTACATATTTAAGGATTGTTTTTTGGGAGGGGTAAGAGAAATCATGAAAAACCCAATATACCTCAAATAACAGATGCATAAAGAACAATTTGCCTTTAGACCTTTTGCTCACTCACATCAACACTTCTTGCACTAATGGATTTGAATATTTCTTATAAGTGGTGATAAAATTAAGACAACTTATATGGAAGAAAAATATCACGTACAGAGAAAGAACCAGAAATAGAAATGTTGTTGAATATTTCACTCCTGTACTTGCGTTAGCAAAAAGCTACTTTACTATACAGACTATAAGAAATTAGAATAGGTTGCCAAGGAAAATTACATTTTCACCTTGAGAGATTTTGAGAATAAAACAGATTTACTTTTTGGGATGGTTTAGGTGCTTGGATGTAGGAGGATGAACTAAATGGATCTTACTATTTTTTTCCTGTTCCATTGACTCTGTTTTTGTAATCCTATGGCCATATGTACTTGAAAGGGGAAGTATTACAGAAACTTTCTATTTGCCAGATCCAAAGTATTAGTGTGGCAGGTTTACACTTCGTTTAAAAGAGAAACCGGCTGATTATATTTGAAGGATAAATTATTTCCTCATGATGGAGGAAAGAAACATGTATTAATAATTACACTCTTTATTTGACTTGCATGTGGAAGATCATGTATTGCCACTCTGAAAAAAAAACCACAAAGCAAACAATGATCAAAACAGACGAAAGGAAAGAAACTGCTTGGAGATAGTGGGAAGAATGGAGTCTTTAGCTGAAGTGTAAGTGCTTTTGTCATTTGGGAATTTTTAAAAGGCTGCTTTGCCTTCCAAGACAAGTTTCCTAACCCAGTTAATTAATTGTGGAAATTATATATTTAGAAATTATTTAGAAATTATTGACCCTAAATGGTATAATAACAGTTAACATTGATGAATGCTTACTATGTGCCAGGTATTTACACCAATTTTATGAGGTAGGGGTCATTATTATTCCCATTTTACAGATGAAGAAACTGAGACATAGGGAGGGAGGTTAAGCAACTTGCTCAAGAGCTCATAGTTCTTAAGTGGTGGTTTTTTATTACAATCCAAGCAATCTAGCCTGAGAGCCCCCATTTTAAACCACTTGACTCATATGTTAATATAAGTAGCAAATACTTTCTGCAGAATCAATTTGGATTTTAAAAAGTGGAACCAGTAATGGAAAGTTTGGTGAGGTGTTATCTAAGGAAATGTATTAAATATCATATTTAAATGTTAAGGAAAACAGTCTTAGATTATTTAAAGTTTAGGATGTTTAATAGTAAGCAAATATACCACATTAAAGGAGTTGAATCACCTCCATTTGCAAATATACAAATAGGTACACAACCAGAAATTATGAGCACTCATAAACACTTCAGGTGGGATGTAGAAAGATGAAACATAGTTCATTTCTGTTCTTTACCTCCCTTCTCCCCAGATACATGAATTAGTTAAACTCTTTTCTAGCACTCTATTTTTAAAACATCTTTATTGAGATGTAATTTTCATATCATAAAATTCACCCATTTAAATAATATAATTTAATTTTTTCTAGTATATAGACAGAGCTGTGCAACCATCACCACAATCTGTTTCAAATATATATTCTGAATGTACTGAATACTTAGTGTTTCAACTCCTAGTTCAAGTCCTCATATTTGGAATATTTAGATATTGCCTTAAACTTAAACCTCAAAATGAGTTGGAGAAATATCATAGTAATTCATTTGTGACAATTAACCATGACTTGTCTTTCCTATTAGCATCTGATTTCCTAATAGTATCTTATTTCATTCTGTGTTACCTTCCCTCAGTTTCCTAAAACAGCATTTTATACACAATAGGCAACTCAAAATATATTTTGTTTAACTAAAATGTAGAAAGGAATTAATGAACTGGAACGAAGTTAGGAAGCCACAATTTAATCAATGTTCCTATTGAAGAATGAGGCTGTCCATGAATATCATCAGCCTGTCTAGGTACTTCAATCTTATATTAATAAAATGGGAATTCAAGTCAACGGATGAAGACTTGTGCCCTGACAGTGGGCTGCCTTTTCTTTCTGTAGAGGTAAAGAGGAAAGGCAGGGGCCTTATCCATTACTTTCAACTCATTTTTAAAAGTTGAACTATGGCTGCCTTGCATCCTCATTCTTTTACTCTCTAAGCAGAGAGCAGCTGGCACCGATGACATCAGTGTGCCTATTAAGCAATAGTACAAAAGACTTGTTAAAAATGGAAAGACGTCTAACTAGAAGTGACTATAGCTAAAAGTACTATATTAAGGTTGTAGTCTCAATAGGGACATAGGGAAAAATAATTAGAAAGAAAAACATTGTCATTGTTTTAGCCTTGAGGGGATGTTTTTCTATGTATATTTAAATTAACTGTTTAATTAAATATGCATGGCATGAAAACAGTGCCCTAAGGGACAGTCCTAGCCTTTGGCTAGGCCCTTGGGCCTTGAGAGAACAATTCAGTCTTTTAAATAAGACCTCGAAAAGACCTTAGTTAATATTTTCGATTAACTTATCCAAAGTGAATTTCTAAATCATTTTAATTTAAAACAATGTTTTAAATATCCCACATATTTTAATTTTCCCTGTTATCAATCAATATACATTCAGGGTCACATTTTAAATTTATATTTTAACCTATTATTGAAGTATAAAATACATACATTAAACTGATGGATTTTCACAAAGTGAACATTTTCATATAACCATAACCCAAACTAAAGATCAGACATTAACAGCACCTCTTTTTCTCCCTTACAGGCTCTAATCTTCCCCTAAGGGTAATGACTATTTACATTTTCTATAATCACAGTTTTTGTTTAAAATGTTATGTAAATTAGATCATACAGTATTTACCATTTTTACATCGAACCTCTTTCTTTCAACATTATTTTGGGGACATTTATGAAAAAAGAAACTGTTAGGTCATAGAGGATATTTGTTTTCTATTGCTCCTATAACAAATAACCACAGATTCAGTGGCTTCAACAATACAAATTTAATATCTTAACAGTTCTGGAAGTCAGCAATCTAAAATGAGTTGTCAGGGCTGCCTTTCTCCTTGAAGTTCTTGCCTTTTCCAGCTTCCAGAGGCCACCTGCATTCTTTGGCTCATGACTTCTTACTCAAAGCATTCTGATCTCTGCTTTCAACTGCTCATCTCCTCACTAACTGTTCCTCCTGCCTCCTGCTTACAAAGGCCCTTGAAATTACACCAGGCTCGCTCAGATTATACAGGATAAGTACCCCATCTTGTGACCCTTAATTTAATCACACCAACAAAATCTCTTATTTCCCAAAGAAGTTGTATCAGTTCACATTCCCACCAGTAGTGTATGAAACTTCCTTCCATATCCTCATCAACTGGTGGAATAATTTAAACACCTTTCATATATTTACTATATATTTGGATATCTTTTTTCTCGAAGTATCTATTCAAGTCACTAGCCAATTTTCTATAAGCTTTTTATATTTTATGTTTTTACAAATATATGTATATATCAAATACAAATTCTTTGTCATATGCATGAATTGAGAGCGTCTGCTACTCTGTGGGTTGTTGTTTCATGCTTTCTCATTTTCCTTTGATGAACAGAATATCTTATTTTAACCTGGTTGATATGGTTTGGCTGCGTCCCCACCTAAATCTTATCTTGACTTGTAGCTCTCATAATTCTCACGTCGTGGGAGGGACTGGTGGGAGGTAATTGAATAATGTGGATGGGTCTTTCCCCTGCTGTTCTCATGGTAGTAAGTCTCACAAGATCTGATGTGCAGTTCCCCTCCACATGCTCTCTTGCCTGCCACCATGTAACAAGCGCCTTTGCTTTCCCTTTGACTTCTACCATGATTGTGAGACCTCCCCAGCCATGTGGAACTGTGAGTCCATTAAACCTCTTCCTTTATAAATAACCTAGTCTGAGGTATGTCTTTATTAGCAGCGTGAGAACAGACTAATACAATAGTCAAATATTAATTTGTAATTTGTATTATTTTATAATGAACACTTTCCTGTGTGTCCTGTTTAAGATATATTTGCTGATGTCAAAGTAATAGAGATGTTATCTTATGTTTTTACTAAAATATTCATTATTCTTCTATTATGTTTACATCTAGAATTCATCTGTAATGGATTTTTGTGTATAACATCAGGCAGGGATACAAGATTATTTTTTACATGGAAGTCCAATTGAAACAATTTTTTTAAATGGGAAAAATTCTAGATCAAAAGACTCATTTTCTTCTTAAAAAGAGCTCTAAACAGTGAGATTGAATTACTGACATAGGGACATGGAAAGGGTTGGGATAAAAAGTTTTTTCTATTAAGACAATAGAGATCTGTGAAATATTTAAATATTAAAATGATGCACCTGGAGACATGATTAAGATAACTTAGACAACAGAAATTTTGAATAAAATTTAACAAAATTTTTTAAATGCTTAGATAATGTATAAGGAAACAAAAGAGAAAAAATCTTCAGGTTTCAGAAACAAGAGAATGAAAAAATTATAACTATATTGAGACATGATATTACTGGCTCCTTGAGGAAAGAATAAGATGGTTGGTGACTGAGAGATATTTCAGCCCTAGGGGCTTAGATGGGTTTTAGCAACCACAGAAGAACTGAAAGAAAGGCATAGATTCTGCTTAAGTTGAGATATTGGAGCTACAAGTTCTCCATTAGCCAAGAAAGCCAGCATCATAGTGAAGGGATGGTTTTGAAAAAAAGACGTTTATCATCATAGGCAGGGTGCACTTATCTGTTTGTTCCTGGACACTGAGTATAGCAAGAAGAAAACAAACCAAAAATACCTTATATACTCATCTAAGTTTTGAAACTTGCATCCTCAATAAGAAAATTATTTCTGGGGTGTGGAAACCCCTAGGACACTGGCAGAGACAAGTATAAAATTGCTCAGGGGAGAGAGTGAATTTCCCTCAGCCAAATTATAAATAAAATGTTCCCACAAAAATAAGCCCAGATAGATATATGCTTATAACACTTATGCCTCCAATCATGACTAAATAAATGATACCAGACTGTCCTCCTACTGTAAACAACTACATACTGCATAAAATATTTAAAGCAACTGGAAGACATTGGAAAATAGGTAGAGCATCTGAGACTTTTGAGATAGGGGAATATATGAAGTCTCACCCTGATAGTCACCCAGGCATTGTGAATGGGAGGGCTTTTCTTACCATAGTGCAGAGAAGAAACTCCTAAATTGAAAAGTGATCTTGTGAGGCTAAAAAGGCATAGATCAGAATTGAGGGCTACAGAAGTGACTGAGATTTACAGAAAATAACTGGAGAAAAGAAATCTTTGTGAGGGTGGGGGTGGTGGGATAATAAGTCTGTGTTGGTATACAGCAAAGACCTTTGGTCAAGGGCTACGCTTTGCACTTGTAGTTAAGACCCTATAAGACTTAGCAGAGATTGCCTCCTACAAGCCTGAGAATCAGTTGCAGTGCAAGGTGTCATTGGCATTGTGACCTTAAAAACGTGTTTTCCTGTAAAAAACTATATTTGATCTTTGCCCTGGACCCAATACTTTCTTTGAAAATAGTTTGCTGGATAGTGGTTGGGAATTAGAAACAGTTTTGTATTTGAATCTGGTAATTCCTAGCTTGGAAATGTTTCCTCTAGATTCTGCTTAATAACTAAACAGTTCACTTTTTTTAACTAATCTCTCTCTGAACACATTCTTGTACACAGCTAAAAGAAACCAGTTAGTGTTTTCAATATTCTGCATGGAAATCTTCTTAGCCAAATCCACAGATTCAATAAATATATCTTCTATTTTCCTTATGGTTGCAGGTGACTGTGTTGCCACATTTTCCACCACATATAACACAGGTTGCCTTTTTTACTGTCCCTAATAAAATGCCTTCACTGTCCTTCCACTTTGCGCCAATAGTTTCCTCAAGCTTCTTGGCTTCTGCTCACTATCAGTACACATATTTTAGGGTTTGGTTACAGCAGCACCCCACTTGCAGGATCAATTTCTGTTTTAGCTACTTATTGCTATGTAACAAAAATTCTAAAACTTACTGACAAAATAAAAAATATTATTTATTATCTCATGGAACCTCCAGTTTGACCAAATAGTTATTCTGCTGGTCTCACTTGGGATCTTTCATATGTCTGCGATCAGAGGACAGCTAGGACTAAAAAAGCCACATGGACATTTGGAGAGTTGGAAAGGACCAGTATAGAAAGACTGGGATCTCTCTATATCCATTTGTGCTTGCCATGAAGGTGGCTTCTTTATATGGTATCTGGATTCCAAGAGCAAGAATATAAGAGACGGAAAGTAAGCCCTCTTAAAGGCTAGGGCTAGAACTGGCATGGTGTCATTCCTGCAATGTTCTATTGGATTCCATTTTGCAAAACCAGCCCAGATATAAAGAAGAGGACACAAACTCCACCATCAGTGAGATAGCCACAAGAATCTGTGGCCATTTTTAATCCACCAGAGACAAATGCTTTCAAAATTGTAATTTATTAAAAGTGGGCAAATAAAAATTATAAATCTGAATAGCCAATATCTACTAAAAACTTGAATTTGTGATTAAAAAGAAAAAAAAACTGTCTCATGAACATGGCCCCAGGCCCAGATGGCATGACTCATAAAATTTATTAAACAAGAAATAAGGAGAGCAACAAAACTAAAACTGATTTTATGGAAAGACTAATGAACGGTAAACCTCTAGTGAAGTTGAACAAGAAAAAAGGAGAAAACTTATATTTTAAAATATGGGGATATTAAAAATAAACAAAACACATAATGAATAACTTAGTTACAATATGTATGGAACTTTGATAATCTCCTTCAGGAAAAAAAATTGAATAATTTTCAGCCATTCAGTGAATGGAATCAATACATTAAAGGCTACCCTCAAAAACAAATCTAAACATTAGGCCAAGGAGGTTTTTAAGTTATGATGAACCTTCAAACTGTCACTCCATATATTATTCGAGCTGTTGCAAAAAGTAAGGAAGTGCCTCTTTTCAATTTGTGAGACTGATATATAATTCAGTGAATTTTAAAGTACCTTTTGTAAAAAGAAAAGCATAAGACATTTATGTGTGATTGTAGATGTAAAATATTCAATAAAATATTAGCAACATCAATCCAAGAGTGTAATTAAAAATTACACTAGGGCAAGGCAGAATTTATTTCAGGAAAGAAAGAATAGTTTAATATTAGAAAAGTCATTTACTAAAATTTTTACAGTAAAAAATAAAGAGGAAATAACCTCTCAACACATACAAAAAAGCTTTTGATGCGATACCATTTTACTACTGCAACAATGCCCATAATCAAAAAATAAAAAAATAACAGATGTTGGCCTGGATATAGTGAAAAGGGAACACTTCTACATTGATGGTGGGAATGTAAACTAGTACAACTACTATGGAAAACAATGTGGAGATTCCTTAAAGAACTAAAAGTAGAATTACCGTTTGATCCAGCAATCCCACTACTGGGTATCTACCCACAGGAAAAGAAGTCATTATATGAAAAAATATACTTACACACACGTTTATAGCAGCACAATTTGTGATTGCAAAAAATATGGAACTAGCCCATCAATCAATGAGTAGATAAATAAATTGTGATATATGCATACAATGGATACAATGGAATACCACTCAGCCATAAAAAGGAATGAAGTAATGGCATTCACAGCAACCTGGGTAAAATTGGAGAGCATTATTCTAAGTGACGTAACTCAGGAATGGAAATCCAAACATTGTATGTTCTTACTTACAGGTAGGAGCTAAGCTATAAGGATGTAAAGGCATAAGAATCATACAGTGGACTTTGGGATTGGAGGAAAGGGTGAGTGAGGGTGAAGGATAAAAGACTACACATTAGGTATAGTGTACACTGCTTGGGTGACGGGTACACCAGAATCTCAGAAGTCACCACTAAAGAACTTATTCATGTAAGTAAAAACCACCTTTTCCCCCAAAACCTATTGAAATAATAATTAAAAAAATTAACACAGGAACAGAAAAAAAAGCATATCAAAAGTTCTATGCCTAATCATGATTTTTTTTTCAATCCTGTTAGTAAACTGGGAATAGAAAAGTCTCTCCTTAACTCAATAAAGGTTACCTTCCAAGACCTATAAGATGCATAATTCTTAATGGAGAAATGTTAGAGACATTCTATTTTAAAGGAAGAACAAAATAAGGAACCCTATTAACATAAAAATTTGTAGCTTTCACAAATGCCAGCAATACATAATTAGAAAATGTAACTTTAAGACAAATATTATTTATAATAACAAAAAAGAAGGTACCTGTGAATAAATGTAATAAAAGTTATATAGACATTTCATGGAAAAAATATAAAATTTCAAAGAAAGACATGAAAAGACACAAATAAGTTGAGAGATTTACAATGCTTATGTTTATAAAGACTCAATTAAATAAAGATGTCAGTTCTTCATATGTTTATATATTCAAATTATTTCGAATCTACCAGTTGGTTTCTGTTTGTTTGAATTTGTCAAATAGATCCTGAAAGTTACATGAGAAGCTGAAGGGACAAAAATAGACAAGTCCTGAATTTTTATGAATATAAGAGAAAATTCACCTTACTAACTGGTAAGACTTACTAAAAGGTGTGACAATTAAAATATTTTGATATCTGTGAAGACATAAATATCTCAGTGGAAATGAAAAAAGAGCCCCAAAATAACTCTCTGTAGGAAGACTAGTAAGTGTTGCAAGTGGCATTATAATACAGTGGAGCAAAGGACAGACTTTTCCATAAATAATGCTGGTAAAATTGGCTATCCATATGGAAAACTGAAATAAATGTAAAGAAGAAATCACGAATATCTTCATGATCTTGAAATGTAAAATAATTTCTTAAATAACTATTTAAAAACGCAGCCATGAAGGAAAAGAATGAAGAATGTTACATTTGCGTACATGAAATTAAAGACAAAACTCAAAATGACTCAAGACACACTAAGTAAATGAAAAGCCAAGTTTTGAATTGGAGGAAATGTTTGCACCCTATATAAATTAAATACTATTTACTTCTCAGAATACATAAAGAAACCTCTGCAAATGAATAAGAACAAAAAGCACAATTAAATAACAATGGGACAATGACTTTATGAGCCAAGGGTACATCCAGAAAATTCACAAAAGAGAAAAATCTGTTTAATAATATATAAAATGATCATCAACTTTACTCACAGGGTAAAGCCAAGTCAAACCTAGAGAGAGAATTGTAAGTTTCATGCGTAAACAACATGGACTTCAGAATCAGACCCCGTGGGTGCAGATTCTGGTTCTATCTCTGACTACCTGAGTGACCTGAACCTGGGAAAGTGATTTTACATCTTTGGGTCTGCTCTTTCACCTGTAAAGTGGAGACAAAAATAATACTTTCCTACATGATTAAGTAAGCTTTAGAATATATTAGCTGTTTAGAACCATGCTTAACATAGTAAACACTCCCTAAACCTAAGCAATTAGTATTAAAACAACAATGGGATTTCATTAGACTCTCATCAAATTGGAAAAAATCACTAACTCAGATAACACCATATATGGCAAGATATGAGGACACAGAAACTAGTATATTTCTGGTGAAAACATAACATTCGATTTGAAAAGCAATTTGGCAACAGTAAAATTGGAGATACACATACTATAAATATTCACTTCTAAGAGCCTAAAAAAACTCACCCATGAACATGTATAATCTTACACATGTGCATTTTCACAAGTATACAAAGATGTCCAGAGCCATGCTGTTAGAATTTTTTTAAAAAGCACAAATGATGTTGAGTGATAAACCTGACTGCAAAAGATGTCTACAAAATCGACACCATTTGTGTAATTTTAAAACCAAAAATGTTACTTCACATCATTTATAGATACAGGTACATGTAAGGGAATGATAGACACCAATTTCAGAATAGTGGTTACTTCTGGAGGGAATGAAAGGGAAAAAGATCTAAGGATAGGATAGGAAGAGTGACTTTTGCTGTATCTGTAATATACTAGTAGAGAAAGAAAAGAAGGGAAGGAAAGAGGAGGGGAAGGGGGCAGGAAGGGAAGGAAAGAGAGAGAAGGAAAGGGAGAAGGAGACATGGAAGGAGAGAATATGACAAAATACTAATAATTTATTTATAATTTCTGTGGTGTTTATACAGGTACTGTACATAGTTGGATAGAGATTACATGATTTACAAAGTATGATCTGTGAACCCAATCTTCCTTGCCACCTGTTTGTGTAAATAAAATTTTATTGAAACGAAACCATGCTTATTTATTTGTCATCTATGACTGCTTTTACATTTTAATGGCAGAATTCAATAATTGTGACTGAGACCTTATGGCCTGAAAATTCTAAATTATTTATTATTTCACTCTTTACAGGAAAAAATGCCAATGCTTGGTATAGAGTACAATATGTACTTTTCCTAAAAATTAAAATATTTTATAATTTTAAAAATATGCATTAGAATGTAATGACTTGTAAAGGAAATTGATTTTTTGAGTGATTTTATTCAAAGGCCTTGTTAATAATAACTTGTTAACCTCCAATTTCTTTGAAATGTGAAAGTCAGGAAAACATATATTTAATCATGAGAAAAAATTCATTAACCTATATTTCTTTGTTCATAAGAAATAATGAGGATTTCGTTTCTTACTTTATAATTCATGCCCCAAATAAAATTTAATGAAAGTCCTAGTTTTCTCACTGCAGCTCATAATCCTCAGGATCATTAAACCTTCTTCGTTTACTGTTACCTCCTTCTGTAATCTAGTATTTGGGAGGCATAGTAGGTGATATTTTCATAGTTAACATTTCCATAATAGGTAATATTTATTTAGCTGAGACCAGAAAATGAGAGAGGATAGTGAATTAGGAAGATAGGCTAATTAGACCCTGAATGCAATGGTTCCGGCACAAGAGAGTTTTTGTTTTTGTTATTTCTCACTAAACAGTTTGAGGCAGGTTCTCCAGAGGGGAGGAGGGAATCTGCTCCAGGTTGTTTTTCAAGAACCCAGGCTGATGGCAACTTGGTCATCATTTATATGTGCATTCAAGGTCTCTCTCAGTGTCATCATCCCAAAGAACATTGAGGGGCACTGTTTGGAGGCTTTTTGAAACAGGATTAGATTATGGCACAGATAACATTTGCTTCCATTTCACTGGAGATAATTTGGTCTTATGGCCACACCTAACTGCAAGTCCATTTGAGAAATGAGATATTGATTCATGCTTGTGCAACCACAGGCACAGTTATTATGGAGAAGAGGCACCCCAGACAGGGAGAAAATGTTGCAGGCAGAAAGGTTAATATTTTAAGAGACTAGAAAGAAGAGTAAAGTAGGCCAGTAAGTTTTTCTTTCTTTCTTTCTTTTTTTTTTTGGTTGGGTAGGGCAGGATGGAGGTTAGATAATAATGTTTAGAGTTTGGGAGTAGAATTATGGGTGAAGCACAGGAAGAGATGAACCTAGAGGATAAGCAAGTCTCCTGTTGTTGGGATTGCCAGAAAAAAAAAATACAGGATTTCTGATTAAGTTTAAATTTCAGGTAAATTATAAACATAATTTTAGTATGGGTATTTCCTAAATAATAATTTTATTTAATCACTCTAGTAATGTTAGATATCATTGAATTGTTTCATGTCATACTAAAAAGCTTACACTCGTTCAGGTGGGAAATATTAATGAAAAGTTTTGAAAGAGCATATGAAAATTATTGTCATGTAAGTGTTAAAAAAGTCATGCTGAAAGCACAAAGGAACATAGATTTGAACAGGGCAAGACCAGAGGCAGGAAAACAAACAGTAAAAGAACTATTGTATCTCTGCAAGATTCTAATTTCAATTCTTTTGGATATATAGCCAGAAATGAGATTGTTGGATCATATAGTAGTTCTATTTTTAATTTTTTGAGGAACTGTCATATTCATTGCAGCATTATTCACAAAGCCAAGGAAACAACCTAAACATCCGTTGATCGATGAATGGATGAAAATGTGAGATATATATGCCTATATATATATGCCTTAAAAATGAAGGAAATCCTACCATATGTGACAACATGAATGAACTTGGAGGACAAGTTCATTCTAAGTGAAGTAAGCCTATCACAGAAGAACTGATAGTACATGATTCCACTTATATGAGATACCTAAAATAGTCAAATCCACAGAAACAGAGGGTACAATGGTGATTGCCAAGAGCTGGAAGAATAGGTAAAAAGTTGCTGTTCAATGGGTACACTGTTTCAGTTATACAAAATAAATAAAGTCTAGAGATATGCTTATTGACATTGTGCCTACAGTTAATACTGTACTGTGCACTTAAAAAATTGTTAACAGGGTAGATCTCATGTTAAATGTTCCACACACACACGCACACACACACATACACACACTAATTGTAATAGCCCGTAAAGAGGTTTTAGGGGGGTGAATGAACAGTGGCAAAAACAGTGTTGATAGTGGAGAAGAAAAATAATTAGGAAATAATTCAAAGCTGGAACTATTAGGAGTGATTAATTGCATGGGGAAAATGTGGATCACCAAAAATGGTTCTAAGATGCTTTTTTTTCCCTTTTGGAACAATTGGTACCATAAACAGAGATAAGGAATACAGAAATAAAAAGCAGATTTAGGGAGGTGCTAGGCAGAAGTATTGGAAGAGGCATAGCATGGTACATTTTGAACTGCTTGATTTCAGTAATGTGTGATCCGCTTAGGTGGTGACAATGACCAGCTGGCAGGTGTAATGTCCTATTTTGGAATTTCTGTAAGATGTCTGGACTATGGATATAAATTGGAAATGATAACTCTACAAATAATACTACAAATAATGGGAGTTGTTTAGTTAAAACAAAACAAAACAATGTGACACAATCCTGTGGAACATCGTTATTTAAGGGCAGGCAGAGCAAGAAGATCCAGTTATGGGCAGAATGGAATAGCAAAGAAGAGAAGAACATAGAGCAGAAGATTTCAGGAAGACCAGATATGTGCTCTACATCTCAAAGGTCACAGGGAAAGATGAAAAGGATTAGGAATAACTACTGGATTTGGCAGCAGTCTTCATAGTTGATTTTAGTAAGAGTATTTTCAGGTAAGGCGTGAAGGTAGAAATGGGGGAATGAAATAAGTCATGTGATTGAGAATGAATGTGACGTGAAGAATTAAAGGCATCAAGGATTGATGGCTCTTTAAGGAAGCTTATAAAGGAAAATTGAGAAAGAGAAAAACAGTGGCTAGAAAGTGAATCCGAGCCAAAGAAAAGTTTTTAATTTTCAGAATAGGAGAAAATTAAACCTACTTCCTCCGAAAGAAGTCTACTTCCTTTCCTTTATCTTGAAAGAGGATATTTGTAGGTAAAAATTTAGGAGAAATTAGGTATGAGCAATGGAGCATATTCCTTGAAGAGATGGAAAACAGTGGGTTAAAAACCGTACATAAAAGGACTAATAGGAAACAAGAAGAAAAATACCTCATGCTCAGAGGTAGAGAGAAATACGGGCTAAAATATAGATAGGTTTAATTGATTGGAGAGTTAGAGTTCAAACCTAATGACTTCAATTCATTTTAAACTAGGAGATAGTCATTTGGCAGGAATTAAAAGCATTTGAGGTTGGCTTATTTTGAAGCTTCTTGCAAAAGTTGGGGTTAGATTTCTAGATACTTTGAACTAATGGAATGTTAGGATAGATTAGAAGGATTTCCCATGTAACAGAAATAAATACATTGTTCAGACATCTTTACATATTGGAATCTGTTATAACTCTAGCTCAGTAATTTTGGGGGTCAGACATTATATTATTTTTTCTAATACCACTGCTAACTAATAGAAGATTGTTTCTTGCTTGTTTGTTTTATTGTTTACTATCACTATTTAAAGAAACTATGAAAAACTAAAGTATCAGAAACTTATAAAAAAATTGAGAGTATTATACAGGTGGTATATTTTGTTCTGAATCTCTATTCAAATTGTTTCAAGTTTTTCTGATCTGTCTGGAGGAATCTTAGTTTTAGAAAACGAATGTTAGAATGTTTCATAAGAGTTAGCTGCTTTTTCTGCAATCAGTCTTCTACTTGATTTATTGCTTGATAGGAAAAAAATGCTAATTATGTTAAATTTACTGCTGGCATATGGTTATTGGAATATTAACATTTTAACACTGATTAGACTACACTTTTAATCTCATTTTCTTGATAGTCTCCTTTATCACTTTCTTGGATTATGAGAAAAATATTAAAAAATATTATCTTTCTACTTATAGCTTAAATTTTTTCCCTGCAAATAAAATTAAAGAAAAAATTTATACACCATTAATGCTTACTATAAAAGCAAAAACACATAAAAGAATCTACATGTATGTTAACACAGGCACTGTGTATATTTGCTAGCTAAATATAAGAGTAGACAGATTGCTAGCTGTCAGATTATTTTCTGAGGTTTACAAACATAATAGATATGTGCATTTTGATAGCTGCCAATTTTAGTCTCTTTTGAGTATGGTGTTTTCTGCTTTTTTTATCAGTCTTAGTGCTCTGGCTAATATTTTATATATTTTAAAACATGCTGAGGACTATTAGATTCATTCCCTGTCTCCCTATTCCCTCTCTTACCCCAAAAGAAAGCTGTCTTTACTATTTGCTATTTTCATTATCCCACCTGTAATGCTTCTTTCTGGATGTGTTTTATAGACTTTGAAAGTCACAAATCCAAAAGTTTGTACTTGTTTTTCCCTCATGTTAGAGAATTGCTAGAGGAAAGAGAGAATGGTTGAGTATGTTTACTTTACTCTTTAAACAAACTGAAATAAAGTATGTGCTTAAAAATGTGTTGTGCAGTTGTAGTGGCAAAAGGGTACGATGTCTTTCCTTACCCATCATAAAGGCTTCAGCCAACACTCAAATGTTAAAAGACAGATTAACAAGAGAAAAGCAGAACAAATTCATTTAATCATGGGAGCCTTCAAAATGAAGACCCCCCCCCCCCCACAACTACAGGGAAAATTACTGATGATTGAACACAAAGGGTATGAATTGATGCTGGTAGACTGAGGTGAGGAAACCAAGCAAGGAATGCCTGTTTAGATACTTCCTGGTCTCTCTGTGTAGCATCTTTTCCTCCTGGGTATGGAACAGGACCCCTTTGGAATGAGGGTTATGACCTAGTATCAGACAACATATGTCAGAGAATTTCTTTATGACCAGTTCCTACATAGCAAATCATTGGGAGAGGAGGATATTTAGGTAATCATTCTGGATTTTTGTCTGACTTTGGGGAAAAGAGCCTCTAGTTTCCATGAACCACCTTGGGGAAGAAGAATTCTAATTGCAATGCCCTGCTTCGATAGAGAATAAAGGATGAAAGGCAGGAGGGCAGGAGAATGTTAGAGCAACCTTGATTCTGAAGCCTCCTCTGAGGTCTCCTCTGAGACCTTCCAATGTCCTCTAGTTCAAAGTACTCAGCATGGCAAAGCACCATACTTTGGGGTATCATTGCCTGAGCCTCAACACAGTCCAATTCCAGAATTACAAGAAGATAAAAAATTGGGCTCTATAAATATCTATGCTTGAATATGGAGATGAAGCCTAAGAAAAAGAAAAAAAGGAAGAAAACCTGTTTAGGGTACTGAAGAGGAAAAGCATGAATAACAGAATGTGTGCAGTTTGATTTGGTTAATGTCTCCTCGGAATAGGGTTGCCAGGTTTAGCAAATAAAAATACAAATGCCCAGTCAAATTGGAATGATCTGTAGTATAAGAATGTCACAATATTGTGTGGACATTTTGTATTTTATCTGGCAACCCTACCTGAGAATAGTCAGGATGTGGGTGAGGGGAGTAAAGTGAAGCCATCTTCCGAAGTCCATTACTGCAAGGCTGGAGGAATTAGTAGGCTCTTTGGGAGTGGAAGCATGTAGTAAAAAGCTGTGGCACAGAAGATTGTTTTTGCATAATGAGAATAACCTATGGGAAGATATTTAGAAGGATGAAGCAAAGTAATGGACAAAAATGTTTCTATCACCAGCCATTCTCCTTCTCTTCCTTTTCTTTTGCTTTTTCTCTTCCTATTATTTTGCTGACAAGGCAGCTGTCTGGCTTTGGAACTAGACAGATTTAGGTTTTGATCTCATCAATGTCACTTTTTACAAGGTGATAGTCCTTAGGTTAATTAACATCTCTGAGTCACATTTGTTTCATCCCATGAAATGAATGGGTTGTTGTGAACACCAAATGACTTTATAAAGCACCTGAGTGCTAGGTGAAAGGACCAATGACTGGAATTCCAGAAGGGCCACTTTTCCAGGCCTTGCCTTTATTTATGAAGAGCCCTGCCCTTACACTGTGGAAATTATCTCTAAAAGAGTGTATGCATATAGTCTCAGAGGTAGAGGAATTAATGGAAGTATTCATCTTACAACTTTAAACACATGGTTTGTATATGGTGTACTGTAAGTTGGTGAATATAAACTGCAGTAGAAATATATTTACAGTAAATATAACATTTGTAACCATACTTGAAGTAGCAACAGGATAACCTTGTCAGAACACATGGGTAATTGGGTTTTAATTTAATAACAACAACAAAAAATTGTAACTACTGTTTTAGCATATCTCCATTTTTAACTTCGCTGGAACCCATGAACAAAGGAAGTTGCCTCTTTTGACTTTAAAATTATTCCTTTCTGTCTTTCATCATTTCCTGGTGGTTATCTGTCTTCATGGTTCAACCAATTTCATATATTATTTTTTCTCTAAAACAGCTATGTTTCTCACTTTCTACTGGTGACTTTGGACAAGTGTATTAGGTGATTCTTACGCTGCTATAAATACCTGAGGCTGGGTGCTTTGTAAGGAAAAGAGATTTAGTTGGGTCCTAGTTCTTCAGGTTGTACAAGCATGACATTGTCATCTGCTTGGCTTCTGGGACAGTCTCAGGGAGCTTTTACTCATGGTGAAAGACAGAGAGGGAGCAGAAGCATCATTTGGCCAGAGCAGGAGCAAGAGGAAGAGGGGGAAGATGCCACCCACTTTTAAAGACCCAGATCTTATGAGAACTCACCCAGTATTAAGAGGACAGCACCAAGGGGAGGGTGCTAAACCATTCATGAGAAATCTACCCCCATGATCCAATCACCTCCCACCAGGCCCCATCTCCAATACTGGGGAATTAAATTTCACTATGGGGGAGAGGACATATAGTCAAACTATATCAACAAGTTTTTTTTTTGTTTTGTTTGTTTGTTTGTTTGTTTGTTTTTGAGACGGAATCCCGCCCTTTCGCCCAGTCCAGACTGCAGTGGTGCTATCTCGGCTCACTGCAAGCTCCGCCTCCCGGGTTCACGCCATTCTCCTGCCTCAGCCTCCCAAGTAGCTGGGACTACAGGAGCCAGCCACCGCGCCCAGCTAATTTTTTGTATTTTTAGTAGAGACGGGATTTCACCGTGTTAGCCAGGATGGTCTCGATCTCCTGACCTCGTGATCCGCCTGCGTCGGCCTCCCAAAGTGCTGGGATTACAGGCGTGAGCCACCGCGCCCGGCCTATCAACAAGTTTTTTAACTTCTTTGCTTTGATATCCTCATATGAGAAATGAGTAAAATAATTGTACCCATCACATAGGATTGATGTGAGAATTAAATAATATAATACAGTTAATACATTTAAAATAGTATCTTGTACATAGTAAGCCCTTGTTGTTCCATAAATAATAGTTTTGCTTCATGAGGAAATGAGCCTTTCACTTTCCAGATTTTTTGCACACTGAGTAGTCAGTGATCTGAAGATTGGCAGCTGGAGTGATCACAAAAAGCAGCCTAAGATTAGGCCAAAGCTCTGACTGATTTAGAAATTAACAATAACATCCCCTTGGGGAGAAACCTAACTATGTGATGGAAAAAAAACACTTTTTTATTTATTATTATAGCAATATTTATTATTATAGCAATAAAGAGCAGGCAGGTATTTTGTGTCCATTCCTTAGTAACTCTGAAACAATCTTCATTACCAGGTTACTTTATATGGACTGGACTGTGCAGGCCTGTACTCTCAGAGGGTTGGTGACATTTTACTAGGGATCTGGTTAACCGTGCCTGCTATTCAAAAGATGAGATACTGGGTGACTGGGACCTGTGATTCCAATCTACTTCATTGAACTGAGAATTTAATATAAGATAGTTATTAGGTTTCATAGAGGTAGAGTGTTTTAAATAAAAAAGATTAAATAAATAGTATTCATCTTTGTATCCTGCCCTGTGCATATGTACTGTTGAATTAGTTTTGGAACCAGACCACCTGGTCCAAACCTGACTTTGCCATTTATTTAGCTGCTTAACTTTTGGAAGCTATTTAATTACCCTATTCAACACTTTCCACATTCTGTGAAATAGAGATAATCGTAAAGAATTTTGTGAGGTCTGAACGAATGTGCGTGTGTTCAGGTGTGTGTTTGTAATCTTAGAGAAGTACCTAACCACCAAGTTATTTTCAATAGATGTTATATGTCAGCTATTTGATTTTTGATTGCATATTGTCCAGAAAAACCGAATTTTCTTTTACAATTGTAATATTCACAAGATAAATCTCTTTTTCAAATTTTTATGAAGTGTACCAGAGTTGTAAATGTGATATTGTTTTCTTTTTTGTTTAGAGTAAAAGAAGAAATGCATGCAAAACTCACAACCACTGCTTGCAAGCTGGCCTAGGAGAAAGTCATGGAAATATAGATTAGGAATTTAGTAGTTAGCAAAAATGAGGACAGACAGTGTGACACTGAGTTTTGAAACCAAGGGTTAAAAGAATTGGTATCATGGGAGTTATGCAAAAATGAAGTGTGGGTTTTGGTCTCAAAACCATCTGTGATTCTGCCTGAGATCATGGAGAAGGAAACAAAGGTTGAGGACCTTATGTCACGTTTTCCTCTTAGCACCTTCTGACAGATTAGGGAAGATAACAGAAATTCCCATTTATTTTATACAGTTGCACAATAGCCACTGGTGCTATGTAAACTCTGCGCAGCCCTAAATGTGTTATTTTGATCATGGTCAGTTGATCTTTAGAGTTGTAACAATTTCAGTCTGAGGAGCATTTTAAAGCTGTTTTAAGGATGGGTCTGGCCCTGTACTCCTGAAGATACTTGATTCCTGTCACAGCCCTTGATTGGAGCAAGAAATCATCCATGAACACAAACAAGAATAAAAACATGCGGGGCATGGTGACTTGAACCTGTCGTCCCAGCTACTCTGGAGGCTTAGGTGGGAGAATTCGTTGAGCCCAGGATTTTGAGATCAGCCTGGGCAACAACATATCGAGACCTCGTCCCTAATAAATAAATAAACAAACAAATAAAATCCCGGGACTACTAACAATTCTGATTCATGGGTGGAATTAAAGATGTACATTGAAAACATGCCTAGAGCAAGACAAGATGAAAGTGACTAAAGTACAACACAACAAGCCTCTGGCAATCACTGATTCTCAGAAATCCCTTTAATCACTTCAAAGTAAGGGGACAGGGAAAGGAGTTGCCAGCATCCAGAGGAGGAAACAAATGTAAGCCGTGAAGTCTGTGAGTTTCTTAACAACAAATCATGTAAAACTCACTTGATTGCTGTTTTGACAGAGAAACACCATTTATGGCTGCCAAAAAGGCAATAGTTGTATCTCAATTTCAGTAAATCATCTGTTAGTATCTCAAGCAGTTTTACAAATTGATTCAAACAGGCTTCAAAGTGAATCTTCTTCCCATAATGGAGACTGGCAGTGGGTCCCGATAAATGACATTATGCAAAATTGTAATGATTCCTGCAGGAGTCAGTATTAGGTTGCATCTCTGATTTCTTTATCACTAAATCCATCCAGGGAGGTAATTGGCATGAAATGTACAAGAAGGCTTATCAAATCTTCAAGTGGAGTATTCTCAAGACCAAGAGAACACAGGTATTAAGATTAAAGACAAACCACTTTGAAAATTTAGAGGACTGGTCTGAGAGATGAAGTTACAAGCTAATCAAAAGAACTGGGCACACATTGCATTGGGCAAGAAGAGAGAACCACAGTAAACGTGAGACAAAAAGATGGTAAAGATGAGTTATAAATGAGGAATGATGAATCTCTATTAATTAAATTCTAATTGGCAAAGTTATATTCCCTTTGATAAAATATCTTTGAAGTGTCAAATGGGTAGGGATTTTTTCTCTCCATCAAAGACTACAGAATCATATGGTGAACAACTTAATAAATTGTCACCATCCATACTATTCCATATACGCAATTAATAAATCAAGCAGTGAAGTCTTACACAGCACCCTGCCTATGAATAATTGTTAATTTTTAATTGATGCTTACTCTTTTCTTTGGCCTTTCCATATGCTACCTCATTTCATCAACTTGATAACACTATGAGATCTATGCTATTATTATCTTCATGTTACTACCGTGGAAACATAGGCAGAGAGGTTAAGTATCTTGCCTGAGGTTGCACAGCCAGTAAGTGGGCAAGCTGGAATTTGAGACTAGTAGTCTGGTTCCAGAGGCTGTGTTCTTAGCCCCAACACGTCCCAGTTTTGGAACAGTGTGATGTAGCTTCAGAGTCCACGACAACATCAAAATTTTCTTTGAAATTTTACAGCATCAGGATAGACTAAGACTATCTTAGATTTGAATTGTGCTTTCGATTTTACAGAGAGATGAGACCACATTATATTTTATGTGATCCTCATCTAGTGAAGGGACAGAGCAGGCATCATTACCCTAAATCATACAGATGTCCAGGCTATTTAACTTTACCCCTGCACGTGACTAGCAATTTGTAGAATTTGTTAGAACTGAGGTGCTGTGTTTTTTGTTTCCTTAGAGAAACCAACTTCTATTATTCTACTTCCAGCATCTTATGATTTTATTTTATAAATAAAAACTATTATAAGACTTTTGGATGTGCAACATTTATTTTGGGAATAATTTATAATTTAGAAAACTTATTAGATCATCTTGATAGTTAAAGTAAAATATAATAATGCTACTATGTTAATTCCTGTGTAAAGAAATCCCTTAGTAAAGAAATAAGTATATTGAACCACAGCAGATATGACTTTTTAAAAACTTAAGGCCACTAGAATGAAATGAACATTTTTGAGAAACAGAAAATAAACTATGAAAATCTAATGTAGAAATGAATTTGTTTTTCAGTTTGGAATATTTTCTTGAGTTACACTAAAATTCTGTATCCTAAGACCGATAAAATCTATTTAGTCAGTATTTTTGCATAGATATATGTGGTACGTTAACACTTGGGTAACTATTTTTTCATTAATTTTAACTGATTCTTTTATTCATTGATTCCACATATAATCATTAAGACTCCACTAAACTCTGTTGCAAATAGTAGGTGAGCAAAATTACATGTAGTCTCTACTTTCATGAAGCTACAGTCTGGATTAAAATAGTCATTAAACAAACAATCCCATCCATGAATACATCACAACCAGGATAAGTTTATATAGAGAGAGAGACAGAAAGAGAGATGGAACCATGAGAAAATATAACACCATCCACAACCTAAATTGAAGGGCCAAGGCAGCTTCCCTTAGGGAGTAAAGCTCAAGCTGAAAGAGGACTCATGAGTAGCAGTTGACTAGTGTAGGGCGGGGAGAACTTTGCAAGTAGAGGGAACAGCACATACAAAGGTCCTGTGGCAGGAGGGAGAATATTGGTTGGTTTGAGTAACCGAAGAGCATAGAGAGTAAGGGGGATTATGGTACAAGATGAATCCATAATAGAAGAAAAGTTTAGATATCCTGTCAGAGATTTCAGACTTCATCCTGAGAGCAGTGAAATATAGTGGAAGTTTGCTTCTTTGTTTATTTCTTATTTTTAATAGGTTGTTTTGGGGGGAATTAATGACAGGAGCAGATTTGGGTATGTACACATTAATGGAAACTGAAATTTGAACCTCAGCTGTGTCACTGGTTTCTGTTTAATCTCTCAGCAGTACCTCTGTCCTCCAACACCTGAGATTTATTTAATGAGTCATCTCACTCCTATGATGTGCCTCCTCAAACCAAGTGGGCAGATTAAAGTTGTTACAAAATGTGCATATGCTTAGAGTTAAATAAAGGATCAGGAGGACTATATTTCTTATATTATTTTATTATTCAAGAAAGCTGTGGTTGGACTTCTTTTTAGAGTATGGTAATAACATAATTCCTCTTTTCTCCTCTCAAGTTGCAAACCAGTTGAAATGATATGTGAGTTAAACAGATGGAGATCAAAACATTTGCTTTATTATTGGTCTATCCAAGTTGGAGAGTATGGCTAACATGTAGGTCACCTTGGTCTTCCTGACAGTTTTCTGAATTGATAATTTTACTCACTCAGAACTACAGGCCACTCAACTCCATTCCACCCATTCCCAACTCCCAAATAATAACCCATAGGGTCATGGTCTGTTCTAAGAGGTTCTTCCCACAGAGGAGCAGGAACTGCTGTGTATCTGAAAATGGGAAGAAAGAGAGAGGAAGGGAGGGAGAGATACTATCCAGAATCACTCACCAGTCAGATGTCATTCCTCCTCCCTGGGAGAGAAGTGAAAAGGTATTAAAAAAAAAAGGGAGCATAAAGGATTCCTCCCATATTGCTCCTTTTAGGAGTGCAGTGGGAAATTCCTTCCATACTGTAGAAACAAGGGATGTGGTGAATGTCCCACCACAGCTTTTTAGCTTTAGTTTCATTTTTTCATTTTATTTTGTGCATTGGTCTGTTCTCATGCTGCTAATAAAGACATACCCAAGACTGGGTGATTTAAAAAGAAAAACAGGTTTAATGGACTCACAGTTCCATGTGGCTTGGGAGGCCTCACAATCATGGTGGAAGGCGAAGGCACATCTTACGTGGTGGCAGACAAAAGAGAACGAAAGCCAAGCAAAAGGGGAAACCCCTTATAAAATCATCAGATCTCGTGAGACTTACTACCATGAGAACAGTATGGGGGAAACTGCCCCCACGATTCAGTTCTCTCCCATCTGTTCCCTCCCACAACATGTGGTAATTATGGGAGTGACAATTCAAGATGAGATTTGAGTAAGGACACAGCCAAACCATGTCATTCTGTTTCTTCAGTATCTTCTCAATACCAGAGTCTGAGTTCATCCTCTTGGTCCTCCATGTAGACACACTCATATATCAATATGTATCAATATGTACCTTTCAGGCAGATTTAAACATATTATCTCAAGTGGAGAAGAGTTTCCACTTTTTTTTTTGTTTTATGTAAAAAGCTTCAAAATTACATGTTTATATAGGCAATAATTAAATACAGACAACTCACAATTATTTAAAGACCTAAACAGAATGGGAATAAATAAATACACCTTCCAAAACTGAACTCATTTTAAAGTGAATAGACTTATTTCAAAAATGAACTCCTCATCTGACTCTTGTTGCTTTTTTGAGTGCATGCCACAACCACTATGCACTGGATGGCCAGAAACCATGGACCCATCCTGGAACCCTGCATCTGTCTCCTTCTTCCAGCCTCTAGAAGGCTGCCCTTGTGTGCAATATCAACTATGCTCCATTTCCCCCTAGCTTTTGGTAGGATTTGGGTAGTGGAAGACACCAAAAGATATTGGGAGCATGGGAGAATGATGAGGTGAGGGTATTTCTTCCCTGGCTCCCTCTCTCATGGCTGCAGTTGGGCAGTGGCTGAGTTGCTGGAGCTGTGACCGGTGCCCCTGCTGGGCAACCTTATCCTCAGTTGCAGGCACTCTCTCCAAGTCAGGGTAACTGCTGTCTTCCCTTGCCTTCCAGGTGGGGAGATAGTAAGGATTCTTCCCTGTTACCGGCCTTGTAGTGTTTCATCATCTCTTGTTGGGTTCATTTTATCCCGGCTCACACTTTGTCAATATTCCCTTAATTAACCTCTACTCAATCAAGAACTTTGAGTGTCTGTGTCTTGCCATGACCTTGACTGATACAGGGACTCATTGTAATCAAGGTGAAAGCTGTGCATAAAACTGAAGCCTGCAATGTTTTGTAGTATGTTTGGGGGAAGATTGACTCATCACTCTTTAAACAAAAAGATGTGCTATATAATTGAGAGATATATGATATTATTTCTCTGTTAAATCCTATGTACTACTTAAAATAAGTTGGTCATGAATAAGATATTAAAATAAAACTATTATTAGTAGACTGAAAGCTGCTTTGTCAGTTTCTGCAGACAGTGGATTTTACTCATACTCTCTCTCTCTCTCTCTCTCTCTCTAAATATATATATATATATATATATATATATATATATATATATATATATATATAATCCAGTGTCTCTCTTTCTGTATACATGGGTAAAATCCAGTCATCCAGTCTCTCTCTTGCTCTCTATCTGTATATATACAGATAGAGAGATGTTTATGTATGTATATACATCTCTGTGTATATATCTATATCTCTACCTATCTATATCTATTCTAGTCTCAATTATGTCCAAAAAGTATCATGACAAGTAACAATTTAAATCTCAATTTTGCTACTTTCTTGCTGGGTGACTGACCTTCAACTGTTTGCTTAACTCTTCCAGATCTGAAGTTTCTCATGTATAAAAAGTTTTGAGGGTTGGATGAGCTATTGTCTATAAAAAAAAAAAAAAAAACTCAGCACACTGTCACTGTCTGAAATATAAGTGCTTATTTTTCTACTATTACTAGTGTATAATCATCATCATCATTGTCATCATCATCATCATCATTGGTCAACGTGGTTAATGTTGATTACTTATGTTTTGACTTAATGGTTTTACCGTCTTGTCCTGTTAGATAAGACAAGAAGCAAGCTTTACCTTCTGCCTAATGATTCTTCATATGTTCTATTCATTCTTTATGCTGTGGTTCCAGAATAATTTCATCTGCCACTCCTGTCATTAAAGGAAATGTCAATTAGAAACAAATGAGCCTGGGCCTGCATTTTCTAGAATATTGTCTTAAAAATTGCTTTTCCTGTTTAAAAGTGATAATTTCAGTAGTTAAGTTTTTACTTTGGTTAGGCTCCCATAGGAATGTAAAGACCCTGAGGGTGGGAACCTTATCTATAATATTCGCTGCTGTTTCCTAGAAGGGCCTGGCTTATAGAGGCCTCTTACATGTTCATTAACTAAAAGGAAGCAAGAGGGAGGGCAAAAGAGAGTGACTTTCTGTTCTGCTCTCTAGCTGAGAGTCAAAGCAAAGAGGTACAATGCAATGGAGTTATACCCTGCTGTCTTCCCTTGACCAATGCTGCACTCCTCTCTGCTTATTTTCCCTGTTCAGTTGACATGTATTAATACTACTAGAGAAAAAGCAGCTCCTACTTTCCTGTATTCTTCCTGAAAAGCCTTTTCTTCAACTATCTCTTTTGATACTTATCTGTCAATGAACACCTATGGGACTGTGTGGTCATCTTCAGAACACAGGGAGCTCAGCTTTTATGACTTCATCTGCCCTGAGGTGTTTTACCTTACTCTCTAGAGTAGATTGGAGCCTCCTAGTGTCTCCTGCTGTCCCATCTCATAGATGCCCATAACCAAACACTAATCACACTTGATTTTATTGTTTATCTTCTATAGTCTATATAAGCTCTTTAAGAGTAGAAATCATGTCTGTCATAGATTCCATTGTATCTCAATTGCCCCACCTCAGTTTCCTAACTTGTAAAATGTAGACGTTGGTAAGAGTAACTCTCTGCAGGGTTGTTTTGAAAATTAAATAAGTATTACACGCAAGAGGCTTAAAACAGTGTCTGACACATGATAAGGGCTGTGCATAATTGTTAGCTTTATTATTAAATTGTTTAATCTTATTATATTGATAGTTTCATAAACCTCCTTTTACAGAAGAGAAAACTAAGGCACAGAGCTAAGCAGTTTTTTCATGGCCATGAAGCTAGTAGAAAATACTCAATATCTGGATGAATAGTAAATTGTTTAAAACCACCATATGTACAGACTGTTTCTTTATTAAAATAGTCTACATCGTTTATGTCAATAATGCACAATTTAAAAAAAATTCTTAGGAAAAAGCAGTTAAAATTCTCAAGGACTATATATAATGTATGGTTTTTCTTTTTCAGAGAATAATAGAATTCTTGTGGTAAATTATATTCATAATCTAAATGTTGGTAACCTTTGATATCCCTCTAAGATACAGAATTTCTATATAAAAATAAAACAAGGACAGAGCAACATAGTCCACTTGACAGTTCCACCTGACAGCAGGCCAGGTTCTGTCCTTCAGTTCATCATATCTAAACCTGGGGGCAACTATATTTGCCATGTTGAAGCAAATTTAATCTTAATGAAGTCAGGGATTGACAGATTCACATGCTGTATACAGATTGCTGACGTGGTAAACAAACCCCATGGAACTGGAACACCATGCATCATTGAGATGAATTAGGAAGCTACTTAAAAATGAACAAATTGTATTTGTGATTATTAGATTCACAGAAACGGAAACGCTCTAAATTGAAGTGAGAGACAAGAATGGTAAAAGAACTGATCTTTAATAAAATATTTTGAGGCTTTGAAAGATACTAAAAAGGCAGAAAATAGTCAGACAAAACTAAAAGCTCAAAAAGTAACCCAGATCAGAGTAGTCTAAAGATAACTAAAATGAAGAGTAAGGAAAACATACATTATTTTTGACTTTTTCTCTAGATAGTGTTCCATAATGTGAATATGTAAACTAAGTAGAAAACAACAAAACAAAAAATTTAAAAAGAAAAAAACCAAAAAATTAAAAATATTAGCAAAGTTATCAGTTTTAAAATTTTTATTGAAATTTTACATTTATCAAATAGTTCATTGTATACTGAACTATCAAAAAACGTTTTATGAAAAAAGTGAGTTTCTTGCATCTTTTTCCACTTTCCCACTCCAACTTTAGCTCCTCAAAGACAACAATTTTCTACTTATTCACTAGTTTGTTTCATCATTTATGTCCACATTTCTAGATAATAAGCATCTAATACTAGTTTATTTAAATAATTAATTTAAAATAAGTATAAATAATATTGTAATGTACTTATATCTCAACTTAGAAATAAAACATAGCAGCTACTGTTGGATTGCTGTTTCCCCAAAGGAAACTATTATTCTGTTTGTTGTTTATGATTTTTTATTAAGCTAGCATTGTAATAGCTCAATCTATTTATTTTGTCATATCTCAGAAGATAAAACTAATGCAAAGTTGATTCTTCTATTATGGAAGTACAAACACTGCTGAATTCCTTTTTTCTGTAATCAAGGATAAAGTAATGGCCCACATCATTCTTTAGGCTATGCAGCTACCTTGAAAACCGAAGTGCTCTAATGACTTGTATAGCCCTATTAGTTAGGCTCCATAGGCTGATTTAGGGTAAGTACACTGGGTCCTTAAGGGCACAGGGTGGTATTAGGGAAAGAGAGGACAGAAGAGTGAGTTTGAGTCTCTGCCCTGTTGCTGAGTTTTTTTGACAACTGCTTTAACCACTTTAATCATTAATAAGGAGGGGTAAGAATTTGGCTCTGGGAAGAATAAACACAGGATCTTGAAAAATTAACCATTAAGAGAGTTTGAGGCAGGACCATTTGAGGCAGAGAGAGAAAGGCAGGACTGTTTGAGCAATATGAAGGAGTCTTTTGGTCTAGAAATTATTGTTTCTGAAAATGCTGTTTCTGGATAATTTAGTTAAGACTCATTTTTGTGTTTTCAAATGAATCAAATTGAATCAGAATTTCTATGGTGAAGACCGAGAAATTTGCATATTATCAAACATCCCTTCTGCCCAAATCTTTCTGCCATATATATGTAAACTTGGGAACTAAAGATAGTGACAATAGTATCTAATTTCAAGCTGTTTACTCCATTATACAAACATCCAAAACTACTTAAGAAGTTTCTGTTTTGGTCCTCGAGTTTTTGAGTAGCCAGCCTGATTTAATTTCTGAAGTCATTGCTTAGAATCAACCTGAACTGATAAAAGCCTGTTATTCCATCAAAGAGAGAAAAAAGGAGAAAGAGAAAGAAAGGCAGAGAGAGAGAGAGAGACACAGTGAGATTTTAATTTACTCATTCCAGAAAAATTTCTTCATAGGAGCTTGAAATTAAAAGGACAGTGCAATTAATTTTTTGTAGTATGCCTTTCTGATACATGAAAACCATTAAAATTATTTCACATATGGGATACAAAATCAGATTTCCTACTGCTTCTAACATAGTGCTGAAAATGTTTAGACTACATATTCAAAGACAACATTCCATTTTGCTCCCATGTAACTTAGGTGAATATTCATAATCATTTTTGAGAAAATAGGATGAAGACTATCATGTGCTATCTCAAATAAATAAACTAAAAACCAAGATTGAATATGAACAAAGTCAGTATTGTTAAATGTCATAGGTAATTCTATACAAGTTTTATTATAGATAAATCCCTTCCTGGAGTTGAATGCTTTGCATCAACATTATTTCCAAGCTTACAGTGCTCGCTAATTATAGCATTCTGAATTGATTTTCCATAAATATCCACTTAATGTGTTATAGCATTGATTGAAGCAACTATAAAAAGACCTGAAAATCAGAGATAGGGCCTGGGGGGAGAAATGAGGTGAGATATATGATCTTTGCCTAGTCTACATGTGAAACAAGTCATATGGCAGCTGGAGGATAATTGAGATTATTGAATAGCAACCCACTCTTGGCGCAGGTGTTTGGAATCTAAAATAATTACCTAAATGTGCATATCTGAGTTTGTCATTACCACTTAGCATCTCTGCTGCCCAGTGGAGGAACACTAAACAAACTCATAGAATTTAGGACCAAATTTATAAATTTGCCAGCGAAATCGATTTTTTCAGGGTATTTGCTTGGAACTGTCCAGCACAGATGACCAGATGGGCTCAGAAATCACATTATTTTCCATCTATTATGCTTGAGAATCTGGATATTCCCAAATGATAGCTGTTGAAAATGGGATGTTCTCATAAGATCGCTAAATCCTAAAGACAATCTCTGGATATTAAAAAAATTTAATGGCAAAGCTGAACTGATAGTTTGGCTCAAGAATTACTCCATGAGAAACAACACTCAAGGGTATAAGCAGCATTTTGGTCCTACATTTTTAGGTGCTAGCTGAGAGGCCCTGAGCTGTCCTGTATACTGCTGTACATTTCTGCCTGTCACTTTGTCTCTTTACATCATTAAAGAACATTTTTAAGAAATGTTTTAGAAGTTAACATGTAATGGATCTCCAGTAAAATACCTTGTAAATAATACTACTTGTCACATGGCTTTGTAAAAAAGATGATGGGAAATGGTGAAATCAGTACTAGGCAGTACCATTCACTTGGGAATAACTATATGATGCACAATCATGTTAATTATCTTCATTTTCTTCATAAGTATTACTTTAAACATTTTATGCCTGTATAATGTTATTTGCCTTAAGTGGGTTAACTGAATTTTATGTGAATAATTTAACTTACATAGTTTCTTTAGCTATATAGTAAAGTTGTCGTGGGCAGAACAAATGGCCTTCATCTTTTTATCAACTATATAGGAATGAATACTTTACCTTCCATATCTTAAATAATAATATCAAATATTTATGTAGCATTTATCATGTACTAGGTGCATTACTGGTGGAAAGTATCCAAGTTACCAGCGGTGAATCCGTACAGGTCTGCAGCAACCTCAATTCTTGCCTCCTCAAAAGAAAGAATTTGACTGAGGGGCATAAGCCAGAAAAAGTGACCAAGGCAAGTTTCAGAGCAGGAGTGGAAGTTGATTTAATAAGGCCTTAGAACACATGGACACAGGGAGGGGAACATCCCACACCAGGGCCTGTCAGGGGGTGGGGGAGGGAGAGCATTAGGAGAAATACCTAATGTAGATGACGTGTTGATGGGTGCAGCAAACCACCATGGCACGTGTATACCTATGTAACAAACCTGCACGTTCTGCACATGTATCCCAGAAATTAAAGTATAATAAAAAAAAGAAAAAGAAAAAAAAATCCTTAAGGCAGTTGTTTGTAGAGTGTTTAGTAGATCCACCATCAAATCTTTTTCAGAGATATTTTTGTCTGTTTGTTTTCATTTAAAAGGGACATACCTTCCTGAAGAAGAAAAAAAAAGGCTTTAGAACAAGAGAACAGGAAAGAAGAAAAAGTATGCCTGGAAGAGACCCAAGCGGGCACCAAGGTCAAGTGCCCCATTTAACCATGATCCTAGGACTATATAGGCTGACCCACCTCTGGCATTTTGCATCCCTTTCCCATGATTCTTTCCTTAGGGTGGGCTGCCCACATGTGCAGTGCCCTCCTTACCCTTGGGAAGTGAGCAAGTGCAGTGTGTTTAGGAAGTTGTACCCATGCCCATCTGAGGCTTTTCTCCCCTTTGCCAGCGGAGTGCCCTGGAAGGTCATACTCTGCCATTTTTGCCTCTTAATGCACATGCCTGGGAAGTTGCTTCTCCCTGGCATCTGCATTTAATTAACACTTTAGCACGACAGGTGTGGACCACCAGGAAATAGCCTCTCCCTGGCACCTGCTGCCAATTAATCACTTTTAGAGAGGCAACGTGATAATTGCCAAACCATCAACCAACATTCCTGGTGGGTAGGGGAGAGCCCTCTCCTGCCTCACTCATGCCTGCCTAGCTACCTGAAACAGCTGTAGTTGTAAGTATTTTATATACACCTTCTTCAATCATGATAATAATCCAATGCCTTAGGTACAGATAATTATCTCCATTTTGCAAATGCGGAAATTGAATAACAAAGCATTTATTCAACTTGCCCTCAGTCAAAGTTATGAAGATTCAAGAGAGGGATTTAAACTGAGGAAGTCTGGTGAAAATGAAATAAAATGAAATATTTCATTTTAAAGGCAATGAGTGTTTGCACATTTTAAATACAAAAAAAGGTTAGAAAATATTTGATTATTTGAAATACTTTCCTACTTTATATAAAGCACAATTCATTCACCAATTCTTTATTGAAACTCTTTAATGTATAAGTCACTACACTAGGCACAGAGAGTCTAAAGCAAAAAATGAGTGAGGCAAATGCCCTGTTTTAATGGAGGTTATAAGGAAGGAAACAGAAAATAAACAAGCTAAACTGTGATAGAGGAATAATGGGGGGTAATAGTGTTTCAGATTGGTCAGGAAAGACCCCCCTTGAGGAGGTGGCAGTGAAAAAGAAAGATGAAAAGCCAGAGATGCAAAGAGCAGTTTTGCCTTTTGCAAAGGCAAAAGCAAGTGAATTCACTGAAGCAGGAAAAACTTGTGTTTGAGGAACAAATGGAAGCCATATGGCTTGCATATATTGAGTGAGAAGAAGTGTTGGGAGTTAATTGTGTTCCTCCCAAATTCATATGTTAAAGTCCTAATTTGCAGTACCTCAGAATATGACTGTCTTTTGAGATAGGGCTCTAAAAAGGTAACTAAGGTAAAATAAGTTCCTAAGGGCAGACCCTAATCCAATATGACTTACGTCCTAATAAGAGGAGATTAGGACAGGCACAGAGAGAAGACCATGAGAAGACAGAGGGAGAAGAAAGCCATTTACAAGCCAAGGAGAGAAGCCTCAGAAGAACCAATCCTGCTGACACCTTGATCTCAGAATTCTAGCCCGAGAATTGTGAGAAAATAATTTTCTGTTATTCTAAGTAACTTGGTTTGTGGAGCTTTGTTAAGGCAGCCCTAGCAAACTGATAAGGGGAGAGTGATGTGAGGTGGAGCTGGAAAGATAGATGAGGCCAAATCATGACTGCAATGGTAAGGAGTCTGAATATCATTTTAAAGACAATGAGAAGCCAATAATAGGTATTAAATAGAGTAGTAGCATTGTGTGATTTATGCTTTAAGAGGATCACTAACTGCTTTGTGCAGAAAAGTCTTTAGATAGACAAGAATGACAGGAGTATGAAATATATTAGAATAAATAGGACGGTGATTTGGATGAAGGGTGTAGGTGCTGGAATAAAAGATGTAAATATTTGATATATATTTTAAGAATAAAAGTGACAGTACTTGTAGGTGAATTGCATCTTAAGAGTGAGGGAAAGGAAAGAATCAACTCTGCCTCTTAGGCTCTGGTTTAATATGTTTATACCAAAATTGTGCTATTTGACAAATATTTCTAAATGGTATTTTTATGAGGTTCTAAATTATTTATCTCCACAGATAATGAGAATACTGATACACAATCAAAGAAAATGCTTACTGGGTTAGATTTCTAATTTAGTAGGTGGGTTTCACCAAATGCAACTACATACACTCTGTCACTTGATCCCACTTAAATCAATGGTTAAATGGTTGGATACATGGATCAATAGTTGAGGACTAAAAGAAAGATAAGATGTCCCTTGAGGATCATACTACCCTGATATGTCTAAAAGTCAGCATGGTACTGGTACCAAAACAGATATATAGACCAATGGAACAGAACAGAGACCTCAGAAATAATACCACACAGCTACAACCATCTGATCTTCAACAAACCTGACAAAAGCAAGTAATGGAGAAAGGATTCCCTATTTAATAAATGGTGCTGGGAAAACTGGCTAGCCATATGCAGAAAACAGAAACTGGATCCCTTCCTTATACCTTATACAAAAATTAACTCAAGATGGATTAAAGACTTAAATATAAAACCTAAAACCATAAAACCCCTAGAAGAAAACCTAGGCAATACCATTCAGCACATAGGCATGGGCAAGGACTTCATGACTAAAACACCAAAAGCAATGGCAACAAAAGCCAAAATTGACACATGGGATGTAATTAAACTAAAGAGCTTCTGCACAGCAAATGAAACTATCATCAGAGTGAACAGGCAACCTAAAGAATGGAAGAAAATGTTTGCAATCTATCCATCTGACAAAGGTGTAATATCCAGAATCTACAAGGAACTTAAACATATTTACAAGAAAAAAAAAACAACTCCATCTAAAAGTGGGCAAAGGATATGAACAGACACTTCTCAAAAGAAGACATTTATGTGGTCAAAAAACATACGAAAAAAGCTCATCATCACAGGTCATTAGAGAAATGCAAATCAAAACCACAATGAGATACCATCTCATGCCAGTTAGAAAGGCAGTCATTAAAAAGTCAGGAAACAAGGGATTTTGGCGAGGCTGTGGAGAAATAGGAACACTTTTACACTGTTGGTGGGAGTATAGATTAGTTCAACCATTGTGGAAAACAGTGTGGCTATTCCTCAAGGATCTAGAACCAGAAATACCATTTGACCCAGCAATCCCATTACTGTGTATGTACCCAAAGGATTATAAATTATTCTGCTATGAAGACACATGCACACATATGTTTATTGCAACACTATTTACAATAGCAAGACTTGGAACCAACCCAAATGACCATCAATGATAGACCAGATAAAGAAAATCTGGTACATATATAACATGGAATACTATGCAGCCATAACAATGGATGAGTTCATGTCCTTTACAGGGACATAGATGAAGCTGAAAGCCATCATTCTCAGCAAACTAACACAGTAACACAAAACCAAACACTGCATATTCTCACTTATAAGTGGGAATTGAACAATGAGAATGCATGGACACAGGGAGGGGAACATCACACACCGGGGCCTGTCAGGAGGTGGGGGCCAAAGGGAGGGAGAGCATTAGGACAAATACCTAATGCAAATGAGGCTTAAAACCTAGATGAGGAGGGCCGGGCGCAGTGGCTCACGCCTGTAATCCCAACACTTTGGGAGGCCGAGGTGGGCGGATCACAAGGTCCGGAGATGGAGACCATCCTGGCTAACACGGTGAAACCCCATCTCTACTAAAAATACAAAAAAACAAAAAATTAGCCAGGCGTGATGGCGGACACCTGTAGTCCCAGCTACTCGGGAGGCTGAGGCAGGAGAATGGCGTGAACCTGGGAGGTGGAGCTTGCAGTGAGCCGAGATCACACCACGGCACTCCAGCCTGGGCGACAGAGCAAGACTCCATCTCGAAAAAAAAAAAAAAAAAAAAAAGAGACAAAACCTAGGTGACGGGTTGATAGGTGCAGCAAACCACCATGGCACACGTATATGTACATAACAAATCTGCATGTTCTGCACATGTATCCCAAAACTTAAAGTAAAATTAAAAATATATATATTTCCTATACAAAAAATTCAAAATGAAATCCAACACAAGGGTTATTTTTTTTAATCATCACCATCGTGGATACAAAGGGTATTGTAAGTGATGGAAGCTTAATAAATGATATTTTCAGAAAAGTAAAAAAAGAAATCAAGTGAGAAAAAATCCAATATGATAAGTACCAAATCCGATATGAAATAAAAATATTTCAGGCTTATACTCCATAGTCTGTACCACAACTTCTCAACTCTGCCTTTGTAGTATGAAAGTAGTCATAAACAATATGTAATTGAATAGACATAACTGTGTTCCAATAAAACCTTATAAAAACAGGTGGCCAGCCTATGGGCTTAAGTTTGCTCCTGCTGCTCTACATGTAGCAGTAACAAGACTTCAGCTGTGGAAACAAAGCAGAAAGGAAAGTGACACATGTTTAGAAGCCAATCAAATAGAAATTGCCATGCCGGTGTAGCACTTTCCACATAGACTTTGTTAGAACTTAATGATAAATAAAAATGAAGTGTTACAAAGGTTGAATGTGGGATAGAGCTTATCTGATTAGGAAGGTAGTATGGAGATGTGCCATGAAAGGTTTGGTAGAGACCACTAACTGCCCGTCAAAGAGTCATGCTCCCTGCTGATAAGGTGGAGTTGCTGTTGGGGAGTAGATGCTTATACAGGGATCATATTTCTCAACCCCCCTTAAAATTGTATGGGGTCATATGACTAGTTCTTACCAATGAAATGTGGGCGGAAGCAATGAGTGTGACCTCCTTGGCTGAGGGGGTTAAGAAGTAGTGATGTCTCCTTCTCCAGTACCTCTTCCCCATTGGCTGGGTGGACATGGACCTGGTTGACCTTGGAAGACTTAGGTTGAAAATGGTAGTCCTGAATGACTGTGAAGCAGACCACCATACTCACTATCTCGCCCCACATCACTGACCAAGAGTAGCTGCAATGAACTATTATGTGGACAAGAAATATATTTTTATTATATTAAGTCACTGAAATTTTAGAGATTATCTGTTTTAGAAGCTGACATTATCCTAACAAACACAGATGGATATCACTGAAACTGCAAAGATGGGGGCAGAATGAAGGGCCCTGTGATAAAGATTGTATAATTAATAAGGCATTGAGGTGAGAAATTACACACACAAGAAATATATTTTTATTAAGTCATTGAAATTTTAGAGATTGTCTGACATTATCCTAACAAACGCAGATGGATATCACTGAAACTGCAAAGATGGAGGCAGAATGAAGGGCCCAGTGATAGAGATTGTATAATGAATAAGGCATTGAGGTGAGAAATTACACACACACACAAAAAGGAGTTTTCTGCATGTTGGTGGACAGTGAAAAAAAGTGACAAATAAATAAAGAGGAGGTCAGTTTGATAGAGCACTTCTGCTGAGGTGTAACTTGAAATAAGCAGTTAGGTCTTTGTCATATAATGGAGGCTTTTGAGTACCAGAATAAGTATGTATATTTTATTCATAAGGCAGTAGGGATCTGTCAAAATTGTGAGCTTGGATGTTATATATTCAAAGGAACTCATATAATGATTTTTAATATTTATTTAAGTATACCATTACTCATCGAAGAAGGGATCATAGCAGCTTTTGAGTTATTAATCTAGCAGTGATGTGTAGGAAGGATTGAATTGAAGAGAGAGAGGAAGCAAGAAACATTAAAGAATTTTGGAATATTTTAGTCTAAATTAGGTATCTGCAAACTTTTCTTAAGGGCCAGATAATAAATATTTCAGGCTTACAGTCCATAATCTGTATTGCAACTTCTCAACTCTGCCTTTGTAGTATGAAAGTAGTCATAAACCATATGTAATTAAATAAACATGACCGTGTTCCAATAAAACTTTATAAAAATGGGTGGCCAGCCTCTGGGCTTAAGTTTGCTCCTGCAGCTCTACATGTAGCAGTAACAAGACTTCAACTGTGGAAACAAAGAAGAAAGGAATTTGACACATGTTTAGAAGTCAATCAAATATAAATTGCCATGCCAGTGTAGTACTTTCCACATTGACCCTAATAATTGACATACCTTTTACTCTGCCACTAGACTAGGAACTCTGTGAAGTAAAAGTGTAACTGTATTCCCTTTTTATTGAAAAGATAGTAAATATTCAATGAAATATTTCTTTAACCAATTCGATAAGTTTTTACTGATTGAATATGGAGAGTGCAAAAGCATGAACAAAGTTCCCAAGCGTTTCAGAGTGTCTGTTAAGCTTTAATGAGTGGAAAATAGTCATGCTGTTATTAGAA
This sequence comes from Homo sapiens, assembly GCF_000001405.40. Lineage (NCBI taxonomy): Eukaryota > Metazoa > Chordata > Mammalia > Primates > Hominidae > Homo > Homo sapiens. The sequence goes on along the minus strand of NC_000004.12, from coordinate 44,223,415 downwards.
ATGTTTGTGACTCTGATAAACTTATTTAACCCTTCTACACCTACACGTCCCAAAGGTATCTCAAAGTTACCAGGTATAAAATGCTATATTAGTTTTCCCTTCCTTCTCCACCCCAAAATATGATCTTCCAGTGTTCTCTATCTTAATTGCCTGTCATCTATCCAGTCACTAGAAACAGAAATCCTGAGCCGCTCTTGTCCCCTTACTTGGAGGAATAAGGACAATACAATTTAGGGGGAAATCCAAGTCTTCAGACGTTTTTCTGGGGCCTACCTTCAAATTATATTTTTAAAAATCCATCTATTTCACTCTACTATCATTTTTCATCTGGATTACTGTAAAACATCCCTGCTTCCAATATTGCCCTTCTTGCATTCTCTACATAATGAAGCCAGTTACTTTTTTGGTTAGCACTATTCAATGATTTTCTATTGAATTGGAATAAATCTGTATTCCACATCATAACTTACAAGGACCATGATGGGTCTCTTAACCATATCTCTAACCTAGTTTCAGGGCCACTGTTTACCTTATCCAATACTAACCAGCTATTGTTACTGTTGTTTCCTAATAATAGTCAAGCTCGTTTTTGCTTCCAAGTATTTTTGTTTTCTCTTCTTCCTGCCCAGCTCTTTCCTAATCTCTTTGCATAGTAGGCAAGTGGAGTGTCTTTGCGCTTGGTCCAAAAACTAGAATTCCCAGAATTTCCTCTGTGTATAGTTCCAGACACAGCCTTAGACACAGGAAATAATTTGCCTGAGATTACAAAGGTGGACGTGAAGTTGCAGCCACATTGTTTTTACTCTCTGAAAGATGATGCAGGACAGCAGGCACTCAGGTACACCAGGTATCTTACTGATGTGGCAGCTCACATTTTGCAGTATGACAGCATCCCAATCCATGGATTCTCCAGCTCTGGCCAGATCTCCTTCATCTTCTCTGATTACTAATCCTACATATGCAACTGTGGAGAAGGTAGGTGCTAGCTACTCCTGCACAGAATCAAGGTTGGGGTTAATGAAAGACAAGACATGATTTCAGTAGTCTCTTTGGTTTCCAATTTGTCTCTGCTGATTTCAGTTTGTCCTTGAAGTTGTCCACATTGAGCTTTCCTTCCTGACTGCCAGTCTGGCTGATGTATGTCAACTTCAGGCTCAACTCAGCAAACAAAGATAGCAGGATGCCTACACTGTCCCATCAGCTTCCATACTTGCATAATGACTAACCTCTATAATAAATTCCTTATTCTGTGATCTCACAGCAATTCTGCTTCTCTGAGTGAATTCTACTTTAGGTTTTAATAAAAATGTAAATTATTTAAAGAGATCATTCCTGACCCCTCATCTTAAATAGATCCAGTACATTACATTTATTTTCCTTAGTGTGCCTATCACAGACATGGTTATTGATTTTATTGTTGAATACCTCTTTGCCCCTAGAAAGCAAACTCTTTGAGTGGAATAACATGTGTGATGGTTAATACTGAGTGTCAACTTGATTGGATTGAATGATGCAAAGTATTTGTTCCGGGGTGTGTCTGTGAGGGTGTCGCCGAAGGAGATTAACATTTGAGTCAGTGAATTGGGAGACACAGACACCCTCAATCTGGGTGGGCACCATCTAATCAGCTGCCAGTCTGGCTAGGATAAAAGCAGACAGAAGAACGGTGGAAAGAGTACACTGGCTAAGTCTTCTGGCATCCATCTTTCTCCCATGCTGGATGCTTGCTGCCCTCAAATATTGGACTTGAAGTTCTTCAGCTTTTGGACTCCTGGACATACGCCAGTGGTTTTCCGGGGACTTCTGGGCCTTCTGCCACAGACTGAAGGCTGCAGTTTTGGCTTCCCTACTTTTGAGGGTTTTGGACTTGGACTGGCTTCCTTGTTTCTCAGCTTGCAGATGGCCTATTGTGGGACTTCACCTTGTGATTCTGTGAGTCAGTACTCCTTAATAAACTCCCTTTCATATATACATCTATCCTATTAGTCCCGTCCCTCTAGAGAACCCTGACTAATACAACTTGTATGTCCACTGGATGCTCCTAAACACACACACACACACACACACATGCACACACACACACACCTGATGGACCCTGCAGCAGAAACAAGGAGAAGCAAAATGCAGCTCAATGGAACAAGAAATAGCCCCATCATTCCTCCTGCAATGTTCCACCATCCTGGGCTGTCAAAGCTTAACATAGTGCTTATTGTAAAGAAAAAATGTTTATTCCAGTCTAGTTTAGCAGAGAAGGTACTTAAGGGTGAATTTGGAGCTGAGAGACAATAAGTTGATAAATGCTACAGAGCCTGTTGATTGTTTAGTAGAATTCCAAGGATAACCATGGGTCCTGCTGACTCTGTTTTCCCCATTTGTCCAGCATTCAGCAGTGATGACGACATACAATGAGACCTCATATCAGGATGATGGATTTATTCAGATATATAGTAAAGTATTGATTCTTAGGTATAAAATTCATCACATGTATTCCAAAATTTAAGAAGTAGAAAGCCAGGATTCTCATGATTTAGGCTGAGAATTATGGTAAAAATAAATAAATAAATAAACCTTTCCACTGAAAACAATTTCTCAAAGACTATGGAGGGAGATAGAGAATTCATCCTAAATATTCTCTTTTCGTATTCAGTTCATTTCCCTCACATACCAGAGTAATTAATTCTTTACCCTAAATACCCCTAAACTTTCCACTTTTGCCCCCACCTCCACATAAGTGTTGTTCTTATGTCTTAATGTATTTGTCTCTGTTCAATACTAAGAAGCCCCAAAGAACGTAATGTGGCAAGATACATCTCTTTTTGGAGGGAGAAATACAGAGAGGTCAAAATCATAATGCTCCTTAGTGGATTGCAGAATTAAAATGTCTAGTAATACATACATTTAGATGATCATATCTTAATTAAAGGAATATGAAAGGGCAGTGACTAGTGTTTTGGATACGATCAGATTTAGAGGATGGTGTTCCTTCCACCACACCTTCCCCTCATCAAATATTGGTGAACTCTTCAAAGATATTTCTTATGTGTTTTCCACCCACTTCTGAAGATTTATCAATTCCTTTTTTATTACTACTTCATTCTAGTTGTTAGACAACATAAGTATATCCTTCCCAGACTTGCCTCTTTTACTGTAGAAAAGACAAGCAAATCTTTCATCATCACTGTGATTATCTATAGTCTATCCCCCACTCTATATCCCATCTTCCAAGAAACCCTGAGCTATCCCATTTTTCTGTAGACCTCTACATGGTAGTCACCTCTTGTAAGCACAACATTGGGATTAATATAAAGGAGGGCTTTATTCATATAAAGAAGGGCTCTGTCCTGCCTTTGAAGTTCATTTAACCTTTCCTGCTTTACTATTCAGATCCCCACCATTACTTCTAAAACAGAATGGGCATGCTTCAAATAATAGTTTTTGTTTACTAGAAATAAAAAACAACATTTTTATATTCATAAATTATACGTTAGTATTGCCTGAAGCTTACAGATAATTTGTCTTTGATAAAATGTTTAGATTATCCTAACTTCATTCTCGCTGATACAGGTCAGTCATTGGAACAGTTAGAATAAATGTTATTTTTATGCAGATAAGATGACCAAAAAATATCTCTAATAGCTTCCATCATTACAAATATTTAATTATAAAGTCATTAGTATCCTAGAGTTACTGTAACAAATCACCACAATTGGGCAGTTTAAAACAACAGACATTTATTCTCTCATAGTTCTGGAAAATAGAAGTTTAAAGTCAAGGAGTCATGCTTCCTCTACAACTAAGGGTAGAATCATCCCTAGCTTCATCCTTGATTCTGGTGGCAGCCGTCAGTCCTTGGCATTCCTTGACTTTCAGGTGTATAACTCCAGTCTCTGCTTCTATCTTCACATGGCATTCTTCCCTCTGTGTCTATGTTTGTGGGCCCCAAACTTCCCCCATCTTTAAGGAGACCAGTCATTGGATTAGAGCAATTAGGGCTCATCTTAGTCCAATATGATCACCTCTTAGCTATATTATACTGGCAAAGGCCGGATTTTCAAATAAGATCACATTGTCAGGTACAGGAAGTTAAGACTTCAACATACCTTTTGGGGATATACAATTCAATCCACAACATAAAGCAACTGAAAAGTAGAATTTGTTAGTTGGTTTTTGTTTCGTGTTGTCACTTCTATTTGCTCTAAATGAATAAAATTATACTTGCAGCATTTAAAAATATTATCTAGATAAATTAATTCTTAAAATAATGGATTGGGAATAAAATCAGAAAGCATATTGAAATGTATAATACCCACCAAGGATATTTTCAGATTTGGTTCCTTCAGAATACTTTTCGAGGTGAGTGAAGCAAACCTGTGTTATGATCTCATGGAGAGGTGGTGGAGGATAAGTCAGGAAAGGATGGTGCCATGCTTTGCAATGTGAAACATGTGAACAATGTGCTTTGAGTAGAAAAGAATGAAACTGCTTGTCTAAGAATGCTTAGGAAAACATAATTCCACTGTTACGAAAGTCAGTGTCATAGGAATCTGGTTACAGTTTCATGAAGCAGAGCAACATTTTATAATTTATTATAATCCATTATTTAGCTCAAAATCTTATTTTATATTGTGTTTCCCTAATTCTTGTATAACTAGGCTATACTGACCCAGGAATAGTAAGAGTATAGGGCTTTAGGAAGGAGAGTTGTGCAAGCCTTTGATTTTGCAGCAGTAACCAAACATGGATATTTTGGAACGCCACATTTTTAATTTTTTTTTCTTTATTTATTTTTTAATTTTTGTGAGTACATAGTAGATATATATCTATATATATTTATATATATAGATATATATTTATGGGTTACATGAGATGTTTTGATACAGGCATGCAATGTGAAATAAGCACATCACGGAGTATGGGGTATCCATCTCCTCAAGCATTTATCCTTTGAGTTACAATCTAATTACATTCTTTACGATATTTTAGACTGGGCACAGTGGCTCATGCCTGTACTCCCACCACTTTGGGAGGCCAAAGCGGACAGATCACCTGAGGTCAGGAGTTCGAGACCAGCCTGGCCAATGTGGCGAAACCCTGTCTCTACTAAAAATACAAAAATTAGCCGGGTGTGGTGGTGCATGCTTATAATCCCAGCTACTCAGGAAGCTGAGGCAGGAGAATTGCTTGAACTCAGGAGGTGGAGGTTTCAGTGAGCCGAGATTGCGCCACCGTACTCCAGCCTGGGTGACAGAGCAAGACGCCATCTCAAAAAAAAAAAAAAAAAAAAAAAAAAAGGACATTTTAAAATGTACAGTGTTACTATTGACTATAGTCACCCTGTTGTGCTATCAAATAGTAGGTCTTTGTTAGTCAGGGTCCTGCAGAGGGACAGAACTAATAGGATATACATGTATGTGAAAAGTAGTTTATTAAGGAGAATTGGCTTATGTGATCACAAGGTGAAGTCCCATGGTAAGCCATCTGAAAGCTGAGGGAGAAAGAAGCCAGTAGTGTCTCATAATGAGTCCAAAAGCCTCAAAAGTAGGGAAGCTGACTGTGCAGATTTCAGTCTGTGGCCAAAGGCCTGAGAGCCCCTGGCAAACCACTGGTATAAGTCCAGGAGTCTAAAAGCCAAAGAACCTGGAGTCCCATGTCCAAGGGCAGGAAGAATGGATGGAAGCATCCAGCACAGGAGAAAGAGGAAAGCCAGAAGACTCAGCAAGCTAGCTTATCCCACCTTCTTCTGCCTGTTTTGTTCTAGCCGCACTGGCAACCAGTTGGTTGGTGCCCACTCACACTGAGGGTGGGTCTTCCTTCCGCAGTCCACTGACTCAAATGTTAATCTTCTCTGGCAGCACCCTCACAGACACACCCGGAAACAATACTTCACCAGCTATCTAGGCGTCCTTCAATCTAATCAAGTTGACACCTAATATTTTTAACCATCACAGTCTTATTCATTCTATTTTCTTACCTTTTGGAGACTTCTGTGTGGAGTGCTAATGTTTCTTTCTTTCTCTTTTAGCCAATAAAATCTTCCTACAGACCACTTTGACAGTCTCCACACTTCCCCAGTTCCACCCTTAATTTTGGGTCAAGAAAACTTATTTCTATGGCCTGTTAATACAAGAGATTCCTTTATTTTTATCCCAAGCGTCTTAGATATTCTTTTTAAAATGATTTTGGGGGTGTGTGAAGAGAATTTGCCAACTGGAATTTCTAATTTTTACTGTAGTCCATAAGGCTATCACATAGTGGGCTCTCAACAAATGAAAGCCCTGGTGAGAACTACTCACTTTACTCTGCATAGTAGGATGACCCTTGATTCCAGCTTGACTTTTCTTGAATCCTCTATCATTCATAGAGTTCTAAAGGTTAGGTTTTTAAAAAAATTGTTCATTGCTACCTGGTATGAGAAAGAGACACATAGGTGCATGTTTGCATTTAGCAATTATTTCTAGATTAGTGGGAAGGTCACTTTATCTTTAGACCAAGAAAGATGCATCTCCTTTGACAAAAAAAAAATTAACTTTTGAAGTGTATAGAGTCACTTGTGCATGCTTAATATGCCGTCTGTCTCATGCGCACTCATGAATGCATACATATACAAAATTTTACAACAAACAAAACAGCCAGAACAGACTGAAGTTGCTACTGTGATAGAAGTCAGTGATGACTTCAATGTATGTGAACTGTTTAAGTCCTGTTCATGAATTTTTTTTTCTTTTGATATTCTGAGGCCTGATCTTGTGACACACAGGTTTTGTTTTGCAATAACAGAAAACATTTTTTTTAACTTGTCTCATCCTGAAGTGAAAAATCACAATTGAACTGTGTGTATGGTTTTCATCTTCCCACAGCCCCAGACACTACCCTATATCCTACTTCCTATTCATTCAGAAATATTGGGATATCTTCATTAATTATGATAACAGTGCCTTCTATCTTATCAGGTTAGGGTATTGGATTAATAGTGCCTTCTACTTTATTGTGTCAGTATATTGTACTTTTTGGGGTTAGAAAATAGGATCTTATTTGCCCTTATGATTGTTACTGTTATTTATCTTTTAATCCCAGCAAAACCTAGTAATAATATCACAATACGATTTAATATATCTACTTACTGTATAAAGTGGTAAAAGGTGGAAAACCAACATTTGAACATACCCACCCATATCTATGAATTTAGATGGCACTTCAGCGAATGGGAATTAGAAAACTAAATTTTGAAATTCTAAGATGTTTATACTGATTGTTTCTATAGCATAGTGAACTCCCAATATTGTTATAAACTCTCGTTTAGAATTGTCACTCAGAAAAATTTAATAGCGGAGATAATTTTCACAAATACTAATTTCCTGCTACTATGCTACTTTCTTTCATTCAGTCTCTCCATATATTATATATTTAATAAAATTTTAAAGTGCCTTTTGGTTTCAGTGAATATTAGCAGTTGCCTCCTTCTGTACCTCACCATATTTTTAGCCTTTAGGTACTTTTTAAAGCTTCTTATTACATGTGACATCACACAGGGTACCTGTTTCTGGGCTTATAATCTAAGAAAGATGTATCAGTTAAGGCAGACCCTGCTCTTTTCACATGTTTGAGCTCTTTCTTTCAGGAGAACTAGACAGGTTAACATTGGTCCCCTAGTTTCCAGAAGGCATTTTTGTATTATGTAGTTTTGGATTCATTAAATCTCTGTGTTAGGTTAATGATTTGTTACAAATTGGGAAAATAACTAGTTCTCAATGCAGACCTTGGCTAAAAGTCATGATCAATTCCATGCAGTTTTATCTGTTAAGTCTCTGAAGAATTCTGAATTAAAGATTTGACTTATTGACCTCCTAATTAAATATCACAATTACAGTATAGAAATGTGAAATTTAAATGCCTTTAGTTTTCAATTACAACTGATAAGTTTCCCTATAAAAGTTATAAATGATTTAAAAGAATGTTATTAGCAGTCACAATCCTGAGGTCAACTAAGATCCTATTCTCTATTTCTTAAATAGTCAATAATTCTGTCATTTTATATAAATTTTATTTAGAATTGAATTATGATTCATCTATATTTTTAAATAGAAAAAATCCTTTAAAATGAACCATATTTTTGTAACTGCCCAACAGGTTCTCCTTGCCTGCTGCCTAGACAGAGCGAATTTATCAAGACAGGAAAAGTGCAACAGAGAGAGACTTTAATTCACACAGAGCTAGCTGTACAGGAGACCAGGCCAGAGTTTTATTATTGCTCAAATCAGTCTCCCTGAAAACTCAGGGATGGAGGTTTTAAAAGATAATTTGGTGGGTAAGGAGTCAGAAAGTGGGGAGTGTTGATTGATTGGAAATCATAGGGAGTCAAAGCTGCCCTCTTGAGTTGAGTCATTTCCTGGGTGGGGGCCACAAGACTAGATGATCCATTTTATTAATCTGAATGATGCCAGCTGATTTGTCAAATATAGAGTCTGCAAAATATCTCAAGTACTGATCTTAGGTTTTACAATGGTGATGTTTTCCCCAGGAGCAATTTGGGGAGGTTCAGAATCTTGCAGCCTCCAGATGCATGACTCCTAAACTATTACTTTTAATCTTGTGGCTAATTGGTTAGTTCTGAAAAGGCAGTCTTGTCTTCAGGCAGGAAGGCAGTTTGTTTTGGGAAAGGACTGTTACCGACTTTGTTTCAAAGTTAAACTATAAACTTTCTCCCAAAGTTAGTTCAGCCTATGCACAGCAATGAACAAGGACAGCTTGGAGGTTGGAACCAACATGGGGTCAGTTAGGTCAGATCTCTTTCACCATCATAATCTTCTCAGTTATAATTTTTGCAAAGGCGGTTTCATTTTATCTCTGGGTTACGATGTTTTATTGTATTATTTAATAGTTTGCTATAGATTTAATCTTATACTGGTAAAATACAAAGCTGTGTATCATTGTTCTTATTACTGTATGTACAGGTTATTGATATATGTGGTTTCCTCTTTAAGCAGAACTGAGAAGACCTTTGATATGGAGGAGTTTATATTTTTGTATACTTGAGACACTGCCTAAAGTAGACGGAAACGAGAGACAGAGTAAAGAAAGCAGGAGCTAAAGAGTTTACATGTGTAGGGGAGAAACAAATATTTTCCCCCTCTATCCTCCTAGCTCCTTTGGCTGGGCTACAAACTAAATTGACATAAAACAGATTAACTGGAAAAAACAATTTTCATTGCATCCATACACACAGGAGTCCTACAAAATAAGAGATTCAAAGAAGGGCCAGATGATTGAAGCTTATGTAGGATCCTGAGCTTTTTAGAAAATAATAGGTGCTTAGGGCTTACAGAAATGAATAAGTGGGTGGCACTAAATTATGGGAAGGTGAAGGGAAGAAATGTATGGTGAATAAAGGTTGCATTGTTAGGCATATAAAAGACCCTCAGCTGATAAAAGTTGGCTGAGACTTGTTCTCTTTCTGGTATAGGTACCTCTACTAATGAAAATTTTCTTTATAGATGTAAATTTCTTTATAAAAGGGGAGTTTTTCAGAGCTACTCCTGTGCCTGTGGTTTCTCAACATAACCAGCTCAAAATAATCAGTATGCCACACTTTAAGGAGGCATATTCACATCTTCTCTAGTCATATTTTGGGTTGTATGTCCTGAGCCCAAATATATGGCTCATATTGATTTATAAACAGTCTGTCAACAAGTGTTGGTGCAAAAAATTTGCTTAGATATTCGAGGGATAAAAGAGTAAAGGTATGAGAGTAGGTATGTTGCCCTTATACCACAGGGATTTTTCATTCTAGATATGGAGATAAAACTGATAAACATTAACAATAACTGAACTATACAAATGAACATACATTAAAGATGATTAATTGGAAAATTCATATTATGCTACATGTTTAGTTCATAGGAACAGATAATAATGAACTTCATTTATGTAAGTCAATTGTAATATTTTAACAAACAGAAGAAACACTGGAATTGGAATTAGAAGTTATGAGTTCTACTGCCACCCCTGCCACTTATTACATGTGGCATAACCTTTCCTAATATCTAAATATATTACATGTTCATAGTAAATTTACATACCGACTAAAAGAATAAAAACAAACTTTGTAATCCTAAATTGGTTGAAGAAAAATATGAAACAAAAATAAAATATAATTAAAAATTTTGGTCAATAAAAAAAAGAAGGCTGGGCACGGTGGCTCATGCCTGTATTCCCAGCACTCTGGGAGGCCGAGGCAGGCGGATCACGAGGTCAGGAGATCAAGACCATCCTGGCTAAGATGGTGAAACCCGTCTCTACTAAAAAATACAAAAAATTAGCGGGCATGGTGGCGGGCGCCTGTAGACCCAGCTACTCGGGTGGCTGAGGCAGGAGGATGGCGTGAACAGGGGAAGCGGAGCTTGCAGAGAGCTGAGATCATGCCACTGCACTCCAGCCTGGGCGACAGAACGAGACTCCATCTCAAAAACAAACAAACAAACAAACAAAAAAACAAAGACAAAAGAAGAGTGAATGCAAAGGAAAAGTGAAACAAAGTAAAAATGAAAAGATGAGATGTTGGTAAACCAGTTATTGTCAGTAATCACAATAAATATAAATGGACTGAAATTGCCAGCTACAATTTATAGACTTTTAGATGAGATTAAAACATGAAATTCCAACTAAACAATGTTTACTAGAGACATATCTAAAACATAAGGAAACATAAATTTTGAGTGTAAAAGAATGGAAAAAGAAGTACCAGGTATAGTCTAATAAAAAGAAAGCACTGGAATTTTTTTTTAATTTAAAGTTTTTATTTTGAAATACAGTTGACCCTTGAACGAGATGGGTTTGAATTCTGCTGGTCCACATAGCGGATTTTTCCAACCAAATGTTGATTGAAAATCTAGAATTCTTGGGATCCAAAATGCACATATACAGTGGACCAACTTTTGGTTTATGTGAGTTCCATAGGACAAACTATGGAACTCAAATATGTATAGATTTTGGTATATGCAGGGGTCTTGGAACTAATTTCCCACATATACTAAGGGGTGACTGTAGTTGTAGATTCATATGCAGTTGCAAGAAATGATACAGAGAGGTCCTATGTACCCTCCCTGCATTTCTTCCAATGGTAAAGTCTTGAATAATTAGAGTAGAGTATCACAACTGGGAAATTAGCATTGGTACAATCCACTGACCTTGTTCAGATTCCACTGGTTTTATGTGCATTTATTTCTGTGTGATTTTATCGCATGTGTAGATTTATGTAACCCTCGCCACTTTCAGGATACAAGAACTGTTCTATTACCACAAATATCCCCTTGTGCTATCTTTTGATAGCCACATACCAACCCTAGTCTCTATCCCATGGCAATTCCAAATCTATTCTCTGTGTATAATGTTGTTGTTTCAAAAACATCACTTAAATGGAATGATAAATTTTTAATGTATCAATATATTAGGTAAAAAAGAGGAAAACTGTAAAATTATAAAAATTTGAATTTTCCAGAAAGGTAAAAATACTATAAAACTATAAAATAATGAAATATAATGAAAATAATAAAATAACTATAACAAATCATACAAAATATACAAATACACATACAGAATTTTACAGATTACTAACATTGGGGATATTTTTAATTTCCTCTTTTAATTATATGTAAGTTGCAGCAGACAAAAAATTAATTAACAAAGACAATCTAAAAAAAAATGGCTTTATCTTATAAAGTTGTATTGTTTCTACTCATGATATACTCTACAGAATTCTTGTATATGTCGACCAGGAAGCATTAGTTAGAAAGTTCACAAAAGCACTGTTTATAATAACAAAAAACTGGAAGCTGTCTCAATAACCATTGATGAGAGGATAGATAAGGTATTTTCACACAGTGACATATATACAGCTGTGAAAATGAGTGAACTATAGCAACTCACAACAATATGGGTGACCCTTAGAAATATAATGTTGAATTGAGAAAGACTAATGAGTTGTAACAGCATTTTTATTAAACTAAAATACAAAAAAACCCAGACCAGATATTATATATGTGTTCATGTTTATGTATACTAAAATAATTTACAAACAAGGGAAAGTTAATTTAAAAACTCAGGATAACAGCTGTCTTTATGAAATATGTAGATGTATGACATTAGAGAGAAGCCACTGGTTTCTTCAAGGTTACTGATAAAGTTTAGTTCTTACACTTGTTGGTGTGATAACCATTGTTTGTGATATCATGCTTCATTATATAACATGTTACATATACTTTGTATATATGAATTTATATGTAACAAAATTTTAAAAAATAAATAAAATGAGCCTAATATTTCCTTCATTCTAATGGTGTCATAAGGATATTTTAAGGATAAACAGAACTGGTGAAAGGGAAAGCTCCTTGTCAAATATAACACTGGTTACAAGTATCAGGCAAAGTCATGAAAAACACATTGCTGCCTCTAGAGGACTGGTGAACTTCCTCTCTGCTGCAGTCTTAACTTGCCTGCATGCCTAGTCCTGCTGTTACTGCTATTGATGATGACATTGATGCTCTGCCCACCTTCAGAGAGCAAGCTTTCCTAAATCTTTCTCTCTTATAGCTTGAAGCAGAAACTCTCCCAGTAATAGAACTGCTTAGTGTCTGGCTCCAGGCCCTAGCTTCCAGGCATACTTTAAAAGAGGAAAGTGGTGCCCTTCCCTCCTGTCTTCCTATCATAAATGAGGTTGTGTCTCATCTGTATATTACTACAGGAAATTGATTTTATCCCCTTCTTATTTTCCCACTCAGGAAGCTCTTTCTTCCAGCATTCATTTATCAGATTTAACTGAAATCTTATGGGAGTTTTTAGTAAAAAAATGTTTCCTATGTGATTATATGACTGCATGGTGGATAGGTGTATTTTGAGGCAGACAAAAAGAATGAAATAACAGTAAAACAACCACTTCCTTTTATAACAAACTGTTTTATAATTTCCTAATTGTTATATAACCTCATTGGATTAGACTTCTTCCTTGGTTATTTTATAAAAGCATTGTCCAGATTATCTTCTTGCTTTCAAAAATACTATGACTGATAGACAATACATGTATAAGATAAAATGCCTTAGCATATGATTTTATTGCCACAGAAATACAAGATAGAATTAGATAATTGGGAAAGCTGATTACTGTAATAATCTGACTTCCAAAAATTTTAAAGGATTCATATTTACTGAAGACACTCAAACATTTCACAGAGAAAGAGAATACACTTTCAGGGAAAAAAATTATGTTGAGAAGGTATGATATGGTTAACTGTTGAATATTTACATAATGCCCAGGGTAATATATGTTGGGCATTCAAACAGGAAGATCTCAAACTGAATTCAGAGAGGTTAATTTGCCTTCTGGTCTCTCTTAGAGCTCCACTTTTTAAGTAGCATTTCTTCCTCTCAAAGACTCAACAGCCGCTTTCAACTCAAAAAGTTATTTAGTCAGAATTCTATAATCTCCATCAGTCTCCATAGTGTAGCTTTTTTTATGGTTAGCTAATTTTACATTTTTACTACTTCAATCTGTGCAGGTTCCTTAATGCAGCTCTTCCCATATATGTATTTTTTGTTTTTTGCTTTTCATTCACAATCTTAAATTTTATTGTATTTTTCTCACTTACTTGTTCTTGTCAGTTCAAGCCCTACCATTCCTGAAAATGTTCACATCCAATGTTAACACACAATGAACTGAGTAATCATGGACAAAATAGAAATGTATATAAGGAATCCAGAATAGCATCTAGCAAGTAGAACAAGCTCAATGAATGCTGGTATGTCTATATCTATATCTATGTTCATTATTATTACATCAGTCAATCAATCAATCAATCAGTCATCTGTGTGTATGTGGGTGGGGGTGTGTGTGGGGTGTGTGTGTGTGTGAGAGTGTGTGTGTGTGTGTATGTGTGTAGCTATATCTACCTTCATCTCTATACATGGTGAGAGAAACAGAGAAAGAGAACAAATTATGTATGTGGTAATAGAAGAAGAAAGGAGACCTTTTTCTAAACTCTATAAAGTAAAATGTTTACTAGTTCAATAGGGTGAAATAAAAGAGATGAAAATCATATTTGAACTTGATATGTCCTAGGGGTATCTCGCCTTTGAACAGAAGTTCTGAATCTCATATTCTCTTATTAAGTGCTCCAACCCATCACAGAGCTTCTCTATTCCACATTGCAAGAGAAGCCATTCTAAAGGGATCCCTGCTGTTTGTGCATAATAAAAATCCCTTCAGAAAACCCCATTTTAACAGATCATTAAATATTACTGCTTGTGAGGGGGTAAAAATCCAAGATTCCAGATCAATGCATTTTTATTTTTTTGTTCTAATCTTTCTAGTAGGATACTTAAACAGAAATACATAACATTTCTAAAATAACAAACCTTCAAATAAAATCTATATCCAAGGAAATCAAATGACCCTTAATAAACAAACAAACAAACAAAATCCTCCCTTATTACCTACAGATTTAGATCATGGACAAAAGATGAACCTTAAACTGTTTTGTAATTTCCTCTTTCTGGATACCGGTTACCAAGTCAGAGCCAACAAGCATTGCAGACATAAACATATCCTCTCTAGTTTTGTTTTTAACTACTAATGTAATGATGCAGCCTTTGCTTTACTTAGTATTTACAGTATCTATAGGTAGGGGAGATTCCAGTTGAGTATTATGAGGACATATGAATTGAAGGGCAGGGCAGTATATGAGCAAGAAGTTGAGAGGCATAGGACTTCAGTCTCTGTAGCCCAATTATTCCAACTCCTGGACAAGAAGATCATTTTCTTTTAGGGTGAAAAGTTTGCATACATTGTACTATTGGAGCATACCAAACTTCTTATTTGGTATTATTTTGTGATTTTCAATATAATTTGTATTCTATCTTGTCACCTGATATGATGATCCTAATTAGGAAATGCTTCGTGTTACGGAAGTAGTGATAAGAGATGGAGGTGAAGATTAAAAGGCTACTCATTAGGATGCAGTCTGAGGGTGCTGCCATTCTCTGAAGATCCCTGTGGCTGTACTCTCAGGTAATTACTTTCCCTGCTAGTTGGTCCTTCATAGTGCCAGGATACACAGGGGCAGATGTTAGATGTGACACCAATTGGTATTGACTCAGTAAAACTGTTTTAAAAATAATTACTAATGGTGCCTTTCGTTAAACACATTGCAATTACTGTATTACAACAATGGAAAAGAATAGTAGATAATTGCTGGGGAATTTGAGAAAATTTCTAAGAAAGTTAATTTGAACCCCTTCTTAAAGGCTGTGGTCACCTTTTGTACCCAAAGAGGAAAACTGTGGTGGACATAGGGTTTCTTAGCCTATCACAATCTCCTGGAATTTCTTCAGCACTTCTCTCTTGAGCTCCAGAAGTTCTGATGTCACCAAATAGGTCAAGTGGGATCATTTCAGCTAGGTCTTTGCATCTTTGATTCTCATCCCTGCTTACTCTGCCTGTGTTTATATTGCTAGCAACTCAGCAGCAAGCCATTCCCCATGCTTGTAGCACCTAATGAAACTGCTCAGGCAAAGCAATTTCATCTTCCAGCATTATCTTAGGCTTCCCATAGAGAAAACAGTATGTTTTTCTGTTACAAAGGAGTTTTTGCTATATTATGTTCAGTGCTTGTGTAGCATTGACAGAGGTGTCATATACTGGCAGGGTTCCCCACTATGCCCCCTGCCCACAGAATTAAGGAGATACATGTTTGTTTAAATACATTTAACTTTACATATTGACATGTTGACACACACATTTGGTGAAAAACCTATTTTGTACTCCAAAGACGTAAGAGAGAGGAGAAGAGGAGATGAATGTGCAGGGACTTTCAGTAATTCATTCATTGGTTTATTTATTCAACAATTCAACAGATATTGTCAAATACCTATAATATGTAAGGTAGGTGGGAGACAGCAGTGCTGGAGCTTTTATTATAATGGGGTAAAGGGAGAAATGAACAAGAAACGTAAAATGAAAATTCTATCATATGTTGGAAAGATCAGGAGGGAAATCAGGAAGAAGTAGAGATGGGGTATGATTTAAAATAGGATGGCCAGGGTAGAACTTACCAAGAAGATGATATTGATCAAATATATGAAAGAGATGGTTTAACATTCATATAACTTCACCATTTGCACTGCATTTGGAGCTTTAATTTATTTTACAATATTTATTGAATACTTACTGGGTGCAGGCACAATGCCTTGTAAATGACACATTTCAGTCTCTATTTTATGTATTAGGAATCCAACGTATGGAGAGTTCAAGTAACTTGTTCAAGGTTACACAGCTGGAAAGTCACAGCACAAGTGTTAGAACAAAGACGTTTGACATCTCCAAGTATTAGGTTGCTTATCTGATACTTGGCCACAAATATACTATCTCACAACTTGTAAAGTCAGCTCTTAAAAGGACCCAACAAATAGTAAATGTTCATTTTGAATGGTTATTTTTTTATTTTCTAACTTTTACAATAATAATGCAAGACTACTGTGAGACAAATACTTAACCTGCATAGCATACCTTATGTAATCCTTAAAACAATCCTTCACAAATGAAAACACTGATCACTGGGAGATGTTTAAATAACTTCCCTAGGGTCACCTTCAGCCAAGAAGTGGTTAAGCCCAAGTCAAAACTCAGGTCTTCAAAGCCTGAGCTCGTAGCAACTGTTCCAGGCACAATTCCTTCTAAATAGAAGCTTTCAATCTCATTGGGGTATGCAGAGACTCATAGGAATTTAAATGAGATAATCTGGAAGAGGCCTCTGGCTCCCAGAGGGCAAAGGAAGAGCAGTCAGCCTGTCTGACCAGGGACCACTTTACGCAGCCCTTGGGTCACTGGATAGACAACTCTCCTTCTCACTCATCAATCAATGGAAGGCCATAAAAAGAGGTGGCAATAACCTACATATTTAATGAGCAAAAGCTTCATCTTGAGTGCCACTAGCCATGAACATTTGGTACACATGCTGTGGGCATGTGGCTGGGGCTGTTGGAGTCAAGTGGATAGATATCAAGCCCTTTCCTGTAGGAAACGTTGGCCATAAATTCCCATATCTTTTTACTAGGATGTTTGCAAATTTCAGAGCTGAAAAGGGTCACCTGGTTACCGTGTAATTGTTTCTGCTATTGAACCAGTAATGAATTAGGGTCCAAACTGATGGAGTTCATTCTCGAAGATAACTCCACTTGTTAGCAAATCTGAGACTTAAAGCCAGGGCTCTTGTTATGTCTCTCCACCTAAATTGTTACTCACCAAGAATGCATACATATTTATTATAAATTAAAAAAAAATAAATAATCTAAGAAAGCTTGCCTTCACTGTTCCCAGTACCAGGCTCTTTTCCCTAGAGGGACCCTCATTATTAGATTGATGTGTTTCTTTTCAGCCTTTTGCCACCTTTTATTTAGTACCTGCCTGTCTCCAGAAAAAAAAGGATTTTGCTTTTCTCCTCTATGCCATTAGCTTTAGAGGGGACAGCATTCCATGGGGAGTGGAAGGGGGTCTATAATTGTTCATTTCTACCTACGACATGGTAAGTTTAATTCTGCAAACAGTGATAACAAAATCATTTCTCCCTCACACCTAATCCCAAGTCTTCCAATGATTTTATCACAAAAACATGTGACATTTTGATCTCCATCAGCCTGACTGCTTTGTTTATGTCTCAGTTGGGTTAGAATACATTATATTTGTTATTTCCTTAGTTCGTTACTTCTCCTTAACACTACAGTGGTAACTTATCTTATAGAAATTGTATATTTATAAAACAAATCTCTCTTGCTTTATTTTTATTGTTTCTGAGTTTTATTTACTTGTATTAAACAGCAAAAAAATTATTTTAGAGAACTTTACAGTTACTTCCAGTACATTAATAGTTTTATTGCATATATTCAGCTCTTTATTTCATCCAGCATATATTTTTGTATGTGATGTGAGGTAGAAATATAAATATGTTTTCCAAATGGATAGCCAGTTGCCTTAAAACAATTAATTGAATAGTGCATTCTTTTTTGATCGAACTAAAATTCCAAATTTCTACAGGTACGTTTCACACTATCCACTACACTTCACTGATGTAACTTTCCAGATTGTTACAGTCAAGATAAAGTTTTATATATGCTTTGGTATCTAGGAAGGCACTTTAATTTTTCTTTCTGTTTCAAAATATTGTAAATTATTCTTACGTGTTTCCTTTTCCAAATTATTTAGGATCAGTTTGTCAAGTTACATGAAATATTTTCATGAGATTTGCATTAGTCTTGCATTGCATGTATACATATTTATTTGAAAGATAATTACATCTTTATGGTATTATTCTAGTAAAGAACACATTACTTCTATTTTTTCAATCTCTCCAGATTCATCAATAAAGTCCACTAGACTCAAAGGTTTATGCTTTTCTTTGAAATTTTGTTGTTACACTGAGTGTAATTAATTTTCTATATTTTAGAAAATTAATATTGATGATTTAATTTTGTGTCCAGATTCCATATAAAACTCTCTTATGAGTTTTCCAGTTTTAGATAAACCATACTATCAAATAAAAATAATATTTTATTTGTTCCCTATATTTATAGTTATATTTCTTTAATTTTAAAAATCTTATTAACATATCTTTTAGTATAATATTGAGGAGTGGAAATAACAGCAGAAAATTTTAGCTTACTTCTGAGTTTAATGTGTAGCAGGACGAGCCACAGACAAAACCCCTCAGATACCTAGTTAAAGAAGGAAGGGCTTTATTTGGCGAGGAGCATCAGCAAGACTCATGTCTCAAAAACCGAGCTCCCTGAGTGAGCAATTCCTGTCCCTTTTAAGGGCTCACAACTCTAAGGGGGTCCACGTGAGAGGGTCGTGATGGATTGAGGAAGCAGGGGGTACATGACTGGGGGCTGCATGCACCAGTAATTAGAACAGAACAGAACAGGACAGGGATTTTCACAGTGCTTTTCTATACAATGTCTGTAATCTATAGATAACATAACCGATTAGATCAGGGGTCGATCTTTAACTACTAGGCCCAGGGTGTGGTGCCGGGCTGTCTGCCTGTGGATTTCATTTCTGCCTTTTATTTTTTATTTCTTCTTTCTTTAGAGGCAGAAATTGGGTATAAGACAATATGAGGGGTGGTCTCCTACCTTAAATGGAAATACTTCTGATACTTCACTCTGAAGTTAAAGGTTTTTTTCTTCCCAATTTCTTGTTTACTATTTTTAAAATTTAAATCATTTATGGATATTAGATTATATTCAAAATTTATTTAGAACTATTGTGGTAATTATATTATTTTTGTTGTTTTATCTGATAATGTAATGTATATTTCAGAATGATGAGCTGCCTTCATTTTTTTGTACTGGAAGTAACTGTAAAGTTATATAGATTTTATCATCTCCCCAGATATTTGTTTCCATAAAGGCATTTGCACATGCTTTTTTTTATTACTAAATCTTGAAATTATTTCTCATTTCTTTTATTTATATATATTACTTCATGTTTTCTATTTTTTGTGGAGCCTGATTTGGTAATTTATATATTTCAGAACATTATTAATTTGAAATTTATTTATGTAAACTTATTAATATTATATCGTTCTCATTTTAAATACTCTCCATGTTAATTATTCCCACTTTATCAGTCTTTATGTCTTTGCTCTTTGCTGTTTATCAGACATACCACAAAATCTTTCATTTTCTCAACAGAAAGCTTTTCATCTTATTTATTTTCTTATATTTGTATTTTATTATTTCTTATTTTCTGCCTTTCTTTCATATTAAGCTCCTATGTATTTTTGTGTTACTTTGCTCTATTTTCAGTCCATTGAGCTGAACGCTTAGTTGAATGCTTAGCTCATTTATTTTTTTATTCCTTTTTTTTTTTTTTTTTTTGAGATGGAGTCTCGCTCTTGTTGCCCAGCCCAGGCTGGAGTACAATGGCACGATCTTGGCTTACTGCAACCTCCGCTTCCTGGGTTCAAGCAGTTCTCCCAGGTAGCTGGGATTACAAGCGCCTGCCTCCACACTCAGCTAATTTTTGTATTTTTAGTAGAGATGGAATTTCATCATGTTGGTCAAGCTGGTCTCGAACTCCTGACCTCAGGTGATCAACCCACCTTGGCCTCCCAACGTGTTGGGATTATAGGTGTGAGCCACTGCCCCCAGCTATTCTTTCTTAATTTTAATTAGATATATTTAAGACTACAATGATCTGTCTTTAAGGATATAGTTTATTTTACTTTGGGTATGCCCTACAGATTTTGGTATGTGGCAGGCTCATTAGTCTCCATTTGTAAATAAATTGGTTAAAGTCTTTCATTGACATAATTAGCATGGCCCATTATCAAATGAAAATGTAGGATCTTTTGTTCAAAAACCATGAAAAAAGCTGTTAAAAGTACTAAAAGATAAGGCTTTTTTCTTTTGTCTTTGGTCCCTCAACTTGTCATAGATTTTGTGTGTATGTGTGTGCTAATATTTTCCTATTTAATACTGCTCTAACTAAAGAAAATTTTCAATTTTACAATTATTAACATGACTTTTAATATTTATTTTTATATTGTGCAATGCAAGTATTATTTTTATTTTTTATCCTTTCAATTTTACTTTTTGTTTAGATTTTGTATTTGGGGGTGCATGTGCAGGTTTGTTATGTGGGTGTAATGAGTGAGATTTGAGTACAGGTGATCCTATCACCCAGATAGTGAGCATAATACCCAATAGTGAGTTTTTCAGCTCTTGCCCCTCCCTCCTTCCCTACTCTAGTAGTTTCCAGTGTCTATTGTTCTTATCTTTTTTCCATATGTATTCAATGTTTAGCTCCCACTTTTAAGTGAGAATATGTGGAATTTGGTTTTCTGTTTCTGCATAAAATTGCTTAGTATAATGGCTTCCAGCTGCATCCATGGTGCTGCAAAGGATACGATTTTGTTCATTTTTATGACTGCATAGTATTTCATGGTGTATATGTACTACTTATTTAAATCTAATCCACCGTTTGATGGGCACCTAAGTTGATTCCATGTCTTTGCTATTGTGAATAGTGCTGCAATGAACATGTGAGTGCATGTGTCTTTTTGTTAGAACAATTTATTATCCCCAGAAATGGAACTTTTAGATTTAATGGGAGCTGTGTTTTAAGTAGTTTGAGAGATCTCCAAACTGCCTTCTACAGTGGCTGACCTAATATGCATTACTGCCAACAGTGTACACGTATTCCCTTTTTCTCCACAGCCTCATTAGCATCTGTTTTTTTTTAACTTTTCAATAATCACCATTCTGACTAATATAAGACTGTATCTCATTGTGGTTTTGATTGACTTGTCTTTGATGATTAGTAATGTTGGGTATTTTTTCATATGCTGGCCACCAATACATCTTCTTTCCAGAAGTATGTGTTCATGTCCTTTGGCCATTCTTTAAAGCAGTTATTTGGTTTTTGCTTGTTGATTTGTTTAAAGTTCCTTGTAGATTCTGGACTTTAGACTTCTGTCAGATGCATAGTTTGTGAGTATTTTATCCTATTCCATAGACTGTTTACTCTAGTAATAGTTACTTTTTCTGTGCAAAAGATCTTTAGTTTGATTAGGTCACACTGTCAATTTTATTTTTGTTGTAGTTGCTTTGGGGGCCTTAAAAAATTTGTTGCCAAAGCTTATATCAAGAAGGGTATTTCCTAGGTTATCTTCTAAGATTTTAATAGTCTGGGGTCTTACATTAAAATCTTTAATCCATCTTGAGTTAATTTTCATATATGGGGAAAGGTAGAGTCCAATGTAATTCTCCATGTAATTAGCCAGTTATCCCAACATCGTTTATTGAATGGGGAGTCCTTTCTCCTTGCTTGTTTTTGTGGGCCTTGTGTAAGATCAATAATTGTAAGTATGTGGCTTTATTTCTGAGTTTTCTATTTTGTTCTATTGGTCTGTGTCTATTTTTGTACCAGTACCATGCTGTTTTGGTTATTATAGCCTTATGGTATACTTTGAAAATGGGTAATGTGATACCTCCATCTTTGTTCTTTTTGCTTTGAATTGCTTTGGATATTTAGGCTCTTTTTTGGTTCCATATGAATTTTAGAATCCTTTTTCCTAATTCTGTGAAAAATGATATTGGTAGTTTGATATAATATAATTGAATTTGTAAATTGCTTTGGACAGCATGGCCATTTTAACAATATTGTTTCTTCAAATCCATAAGCATGGAAGGTTTATCCATTTATTTGTGTCATCTCTGATTTTTTTCAGCAGTATTTTGCAGTTCTCCTTGTAGAGATCTTTCACCTTCTTGGTTAGCTGTATTCCTAGGTTTTTCATTTTCTTTGTGGCTATTGTAAATGGGATTATGTTCTTTATTTGACTCTCAGCCTGGTCATTATTGATGCATAACAATGCCATTGATTTTTGTACACTAATTTTGTATCCTGAAACTTTATTGAAGTTGTTTATCAGTTTCAGGAGCCTTTTGGCAGAGTCTTTAGTGATTTCTCTGTATAGATCATATCATCAGCAAAGAGAGAGAGTGTTTAACTAATTCTTTTCCTGTTTGGATGCATTTTACTTTTTTCTCTTACCTGATTGCTCTGGTTAGGACTTTCAGTACTATGTGGAATAGGAATGTTGAGAATGGACATCCTTGTCTTATTCTAGGTCTCAAGGGCAATGATTTAAGCTTTTGCCTGTTCAGTATGATGTTCATTCTCAGTTTGTCATAGATGCCTCTTATGATTTTGAGGTATGTTTCTTCAATGCCTAGCCTGTTGATGGTTTTTATCATGAAGGGATGTTGGATTTTACTGAAGCCTTTTCTACATCTATTGGGATGATCATACTGTATTTGCTTTTAATTCTGTTTATGTGGTGAATCACATTTATTGATTTATTTATGTTGAAGCACTCTTGCATCCCGGAGATAAAGCCTACTTGATTGTGGTGTATTAACTTGTTATTGTGCTGCTGGATTCTGTTTGCTAGTATTGTGTTGAGGATTTTTGTGTCAGTGTTTATCAGGAATATTGGCCTGTAGTTTTTTTTTTTCATTGTGTCTGCCAGATTTTCATGTCAGGATGATACTGGCTTCATAGAATATGTTAGGGAGGAGCCCCTCCTTCTTGGTATTTTGGAATAGTTTCAGTATGATTGGTACCAGTTCTCATTTATCTATCTGGTAGAATATGGCTGTAAATACATCTTGTCCAGGACATTTTTCTTGATAGGTTTTTTTTTTTATTATAACATTCAATTTCAGAACTTGTTATCAATCCGTTCAGGTTTTCACTTTCTTCCTGTTTCAATCTTGGGAGCTTGTATATTTCCAGGAATTTGTCTATTTCCTCTAAATTTTCTAGTTTGTGTGCACAGAGGTGTTTACAGTACCCTTTCAGGATCTTTTTTTATTTCTGTCTAATCAATTGTAATGTCATCTTCATGATTTCTGATTGCATTTATTTGGGTCTTCTCTTTTTTCTTTCTCTGTTAATCTAGCTAGTGGTTTATCAGTCTTGTCTGTTCCTTTGATAATCAAGTCTCGGTTTCATTGATCTTTTGTATGGTCTTTTGCATCTCAGTTTCATTCAGTTCTTCTCTGGTTTTAGATATTTCTTTTTTCCTGCTAGATTTACAGTTGGTTTGTTCTTTTGTTTTCTAGTTCCTCTAGGTGTGATGTTAAATCATTAATTTGAGACTTTTCTAACTACTTGATGAAGGCATTTAATACTATAAACTTTCATCTTAACATTGCTTTGGCTGCACCAAAGGTTTTGGGAAGTTGTATCTTTAATTTCTTTAATTTCAAAAAATGTTTTGATCTATGCCTAATTTTGTCATTCACCCAAGAGTTATTCTGGAGCAAGTTGATTAATTTCCACATATTAGTGTAGTTTTGAGAGGTCTTATTGGTATTGATGTACATTTTTATTGCCCTGTGGTCCAAGGGTATGCTTGGTATGATTTCAGTTTTTTTGAATTTACTCAGACTTGCTATATGGCCGAACATGTGGTTGATTTTTGAATACGTTCTAAGTGTACATGAGAAGAATATATATTCTGTGGTTTGGGTTGGGGGTAGAGTATTCTATAGGTATCTATTTGGTCCAAATGGTTGAGTGTCAAGTGTAAGTCCAAAATTTCTTTGTTAGTTTTCTGCCTTGATGATTTGTCTAAAGCTATCAGTGGGGTGTTACAGTACCTTACTATTATTGTGTGGTTGTCCATGTCTTTTTGTAGTCAAAAAGAACTTGTTTTGTGAATCTGGGTGCTCCACTGTTGGGTGTATATATCTTTATGATAGTTAAGTCTTCTAGTTGAAGTGAACCTTTTTTTATTATATAATGCCCTTCTTTGTCCCTCATGATTGTTGTTGATTTAAAGTCTGTTTTATTCAATATAAGATGAGCAACTCCTGCTCTTTTTTAGTTTTCTGTTTGCCTGGTAGCTCTTTCTCCATGTCTTTACTTAGAGTCGTCATTACATGTGAGATGGGTTTTTTGAAGACAGCGACTGTTGGGTCTTGTCTTTTTATCCAGCTTGCCACTTTATGCCTTTTAAATGGGGCATTTGGATCATTGGTATTCAGGGTTAGTATTGATATGTGATATTTTGATCCTGTCATCATCTTGTAACCTGGTTGTTTTGTAGACTTGTTTGTGTAATCACTTTAAGTTGTCTGTGAGCTATGTCCTTAGTGTGTTTTTGTGGTAGCAAGTATTGATCTTTTGTTTTTATGTTTATCATTTCCTTAAGGACCTCTTGTAAGGCTGGTCTGGTGGTAACACATTCCTTTAGTGTTTGTTTGTCTGAGAAAGATTTTATTTCTCCTTCTCTTATGAAGCTTAGCTTGGTGGGATATGAAATTTTTGGTTGGAATTTCTTTTCTTTGAGGATGCTGAAAATATGCCCCCAATTTCTTCTGACTTGTGAGGTTTCTGCTGAGAGGTCTGCTGCTAGCCTCATGAGTTTCCCTTTGTAAGTAACCCAATCTTTCTCTATATCTGCCTTTAAGAATTTTTTTCTTTTGCATTTGTCTTAGTGAGTCTGATGACTATATGCTATAGGGATGGTCACCTTGTATAGTATCTAACTGGGGTTCTCTATATTTCTTAAAATTGCATGTTTACCTCTCTAGCAAGATTGGGGAAATTTTCATAGACTATACACTCAAATATGTTTTTCAGATTGCTTATTCACTCTCTATCTCTCCCAGGGATGCCAGTGAGTTATAGATTTGGTCTTTTTACATAGTCCCATATTTCTCAGAGGTTTTGTTTATTTTTTTTAATTCATTTTTCTTTACTTTTGTCTGACTGAGTTGATTTGAAGAACCAGTCTTTGAGCTCTGAGATTCTTTCCTGGGTTTGGTCTAATCTGTTGTTAATGCTTCTGACTGTATTATGAATTTTTTAAGTGAATTCTTCAATTCCAGAAGTTCAGTTTAATTATTTCTTCAAATAGCTATTTCTTATTTCAGCTCTTGGATTATTTTTCTGGATTCCTTGGATTGGGTTTCACCTCCTGGCTTGTGATGAGCTTCCTTGACATCCAGATTCTGAATTCTGTGTCTGTTATTTAAGTCATTTCAGTCTGGTTAAAAACCATTGCTGGAATAATAGTGTGTTCCTTTGGAGGTTAGGGGGACACACTGGCTTTTTGAATGCCAGAATTCTTAGGCTGATTTTTTCCCATCTGAGAGGGCTGGTGTTCCTTTTACCGTGGTGTAATTTTAGTCAGTTGGTTTTGTTTCTGTGCACTTTCAGAAGGCCAAGGCTCTGTACAGGATCTTTATTTGTGGCCTAATTTTTGCCTTATGTTTCACAGGTGCTGTATCATGGCAAATTATTATTGGTTTTCTAATTTGAGCTGCTATTCAATAGATATTGCTTAAGCATGATGGCCAGCAGATTGGCTCTTTTGTATTTTAGCATGTTCATAGACATACTCGGTGGTTGGGGGAGAGAGATATGACCCCCTCCCCAGATCTGCTCCTGGGCCTTGGAGGAACCCCTTTTGATTACTGTTGCTGTTCCTGCATTTCCTTTTTCACTTGTTCCAGGCTGTGGGGCTCCCTCAGGCAGGGGCCAGGGGTCTGTGTTAGGAAGGCTGTACACTTCCTGGACTTGCCCTGTGGAGGGAGGCATACCCTCCTCCTCTGCTGGCCTATGAACCTGGGCTTCTTGTCACTCTTGGTGTTCTGAGAGTGGGGCCTTCTCTCCTGCTTGGACATTACCCAAACCAATGAGTCCTGTCAGGCCAAGAGCATCAGGAGTTCAGGGAGTCACACAGTTTGCCATCTGCATGTTTTCCGGGGGAACACAGAGCTGTGCCTGACCACAGTATTCAGGCAGGGGTAGGGTCACTGAGCTGGAAGCCCAAGCTAGCAAGTTCCACCTGGCTAGGAGCAGCTCAGTCACTGTGCTGGAAGCAAGAGTGGAGTCTTGTCTGGCAAGGAGTGAGGCAGTCTGACTGCTCCCCAGCATCCCAACTGTGGCCTCTGTTGGTGTTATGGCAGCAGATACTAGGCTATTCAGGGATCCAGACCTGTGGGATTCCCTGTATTCTTGAGTGTTGCCTCTGCAAAATCTCTGTGTGGCTCTCCATATCAGTCTAGAGGCCCAGGAAAGGAGGGGGTTCTCTCGTTCCCAAGATTTCACAGATCCTTGTGGGAAGTGTGGATTCCCTGGGAGCTCTTCCTCTCTCACCCTTTCCCTGTATTAGGAAGCTTCTTCTGGCTCTGCACTGGTCCCAGGTGGGTGGCTGCCCAGTTTTACTCTTCTCTGTTCTTCGTGTGTTCTCTTACTCCTTTGATGGATCCTGACATGGTTTTTTAGACAATTCACCTGAAGAGTCAGTATTTACTCCCAACTTTGTTTCTTCTTCATGAGAGCGGGTGCACACAAGTTGCTTCCAGTCTGCTATCTTGAACCCCCTTCTCCAAGAAAGGTTTTAAATGCAAATATAAGAGCATTTAATCTGTGTGTAGAATCACCAAAATTACACAATTTGTATTCCCTTGCATATCGTGTCTTACCAGAAAAGTAAAAGATTGTACAAAATTAACATTTTATTTGTATTCTACTTCTTCATATGTGTACATTCTACTAAAACTCTTTACATTTGGCTTACTGGTAGGTAAAGAAGGAGTGTGAAAAAGAACTATGGATTTCTCTATCTTTCTCTTTCTTTCAGTGCCATCATTTTCACCATAATGATGAGTAAGAAAGAGTATGATAGTATTGCTTTGTCATTTGCGTTTCTTAGAATGTAATTGCTTTCTTTCTGCATTCAAGCAAGTTCTAGTTGGCACAAAGGATGTGGCCTCTAGAGGGCTGTTAGTGCCCCCACCCTTACTTTCCCTTTACTTAGTATTAATGTAACATGCTTATCTTATATAAACTTTTAATATTTGTTTTATTGTTCAATCACTTTGTTCCATTTTACCTTTTTACTTTTAACTATTTGACTATGTATGCCTTGTATTTTTATTATTCTAGTAGGTAGTTTAAAAATTAACACAAGCTTTACATATTTTCCAATAGAATTAACCAGCATCTATATTCTCCTTTTCAACAAGACAATATCCTTAGTATGCTGTTACTTCCTCTCAGCCCTCTTACCTCCCCTGTTGTAATAGTCAGGATCTTGGTTCTAGAGTGTTAGTAACTTTTCAAATTGTTACCAAAAATTGCATATAAAATACTCTATTTGTTATTAATAAAGTAGTTAAAAGGTGGAGCAATTTGGACACATAATACTAAAGATTTTAATTATAAAGTTTTTTCTAGTTATATGCATATCATTGCTATTATAAACAAAAAAGAAAAATCAGTAGAACGAAACCAATAAAAAACAAACATCAGCAATTCTCATTTGCTCTTTGATCTACAAAATCAGAATCTTCTTGGTCTTCTGTATGATCTTTCCTCTTAACCTTACAGTTTCACTTGCAAAATATGTCACAGCACATTAAAAGCAAACAGAAAAGCTGACTATTCAAGCAAAGGAGTATGAGTCCCTAGTCATCGGTTAATGTTGTTGGGTTTTATTTTGTAATTCTCTAATGCCAATATACAGCTACAATTGTATTGAAATTAACTATATTGTAAATCATAATTCTTAATTAGGAGTCTTTACTAATCAATCCTTATAATTGGATAATTATAGTTCTAGTTTAGTTCCATGTTATATAAATTTTTATTCAAAAAAAAAAAGTATGTATTTAGGTAGGCACAGTGGCTCATACCTGTAATCCCAGCACTTTGGGAGGCCGAGGTGGGTGGATCACCTAAGGTCAGGAGTTCAAGATCAGCCTGACCAACATGGTGAAACCCCGTCTGTACTAAAAATAAAAAATACAAAAATTAGAAATACAAAAATTAGCCTGGCGTGGTGGTACATGCCTGTAATCCCAGCTACTTGGGAGGCTAAGGCAGGAGAATCACTTCAACCCAGGAGGTAGAGGTTGCAGTGAGCCAAGATTGCACTATTGCACTCCAGCCTGGGCAACAAGAATGAAACTCCATCCAAAAAAAAAAGAGAGAGAGTGAAAGGAAAGAGGGAAGGAAGGAAGGAAGGAAGGAAGGGAGGGAGGGAGGGAGGGAGGGAGGGAGGGAGGGAAGGGGGGAGGGTGGGAGGGAGGGAGGGAGGGAAGGGAGAGAGAAAATATTTGAATTTTTCATTCAAGTAGCACATAATTATTTTAAGTAATTTTTATAAAGTGAACAAAGAGTAGGCACCCCGATTACTTTCACTGAACCACATGAAGTCAAAGGAAAATATTCATCTCTGTGAATTCTGTGTTCTCAGCACTTCAAGGAAAGTTATGAGTCACATGAGTCATACCAGAAGCATACTCTGTTTTTCTCTACCTCCAAGATTTTAATGAATAACCATTAATATAGCTCATAATTAAGTATGCTTTTCCAAAAGTATTTCCAGTGCAAATTTACCCCTGACATAACATTTCCATTGATCTACATAGAAGGTGTTACCAGTACATCTTTTTACCTTATAATGGTTTCATTAGTAGCATTTCATGATCTTTTACTTTTAATCTGTAAGGCTTTAATGTCAGAAAAGAAGATTGATGTTAATGGGGTTATTGAAATATCAGGTTTAGACTAAAGTGCACTATAAAGTGACAGGAAAAGTTCAAGGCATCTCAACACTGACAGAATCTGCTCATTATTTAATTAGGGTCTGAAAACTCTTAGCAGAAATTTCTGGCCTTATGTCAGAACCTTTCTGGATCATGTGCTGCATATCATTGAAAAGTTTGGTCTTAAATGTATCTTCTCATACAAATATAATTTTGATATTTTGGAAATTATGGTACCTGACAAGTCATGGGTTCTAAGATAGTCCTAAGAATAGTCTTAGGATTCATCCTCTCTATTCTTTCTCTGTTATATTCCCTCTACATCTCATCTATTTTCCTAATTTCACTCTGTAAATTTTACTGTAGGATTTACATTTTAAATATATAATTTTCCTTTTAACCATAGTTGCTTCTTATAATGTTTCTTGTAATTAATATAAAACAGCCTTTTTATTGGTCTGAATTCACAGAAATATGCATGTCAGAGGATATTGCAACCTAACAGTGAAACAACAACAACAACAACAAAAACCCTTACATTTGATAAATAGACATTGCTTGGTTAAAAAGCCTCGGTCCCAGTAAAGGTCACAATGAACTGAGTTAGAAAGCAATGTCTACATTTTCATATGTGTAGCCTTTAATTTTTTTTTTTTTGTTAAAATACCTAGATGTAAAATAAAATAATGTTATATGGCAAACTATCTAAATAAATGATAATACTCAAGTATAGTTAAGCACATTTTTATCCCCAAATGTTCAGATATGCATCTTAGTTTAATCCTTAAGGGCTTGAAATTATGAGTAATTATATCTCTAACTTAGAATTTAAAGAAAGCTGGTTTTAACACCATTTTCAGGATTTTTGTGGCAGCATATGTATCTCAGAGCTTAACTCAGCATCAGCTCTAAAGTCAGACAGATCTACATCTGCCTCTGCCTCTTCCAAATATGACCTGTCAAGTTTCATAACGTCTCTAAACCTCCACTTCCTAATGTGTAAAATAAACATGAGAGGCCTCTACTTTATGAAGTTATTATGAGATGTAAATGAGATGCTATGTATAAAGCATGGTACCTGATCCATAAGTATTCAATAAATATTAAATATTATAACTTTACTTGTTAAAATATAAACTAAGTAAAATTGTACTTATTTTATTACTAGGTTTGTTTATCTCAGCTTATTATCTTTTTCAACTAGTGGTGTATTAGTCAGGGTTCTCTAGAGGGACAGAACTAATTGTATAGATGTATATATAAAGGGGTGTTTATTAAGAAGTATTATCTCACACGATCACAGGGTCTCATGATAGGCTGTCTGCAAGCTGAAGAGCAAGGAAGCCAGTCTGAGTCCCAAAGCTGAAGAACTTGGAGTCTGATGTTCAAGGACAGGAAGCATCCAATCCAGCATGGAAGAAAGACGTAGGCTGGGAGGCTAAGCCAGTCTAATCTCTCCGTATTCTTCTGCCTCCTTTTATTCTGGCTATGCTGGCAGCTGATTAGATGATGCCCACCTGGATTGTGGGTGGGTGTACCTCTCCCATTTCACTGACTCAAATGTTAATCTCCTTTGGCAACACCCTCACAGACACACCCAGGATCTATACTTTACATCCTTCAATCCAATCAAGTTGGCATTCGTATTAACCATCACAAGTGGCTATACAGGAAAAGGTGACACATAGTGACATGTTGCTGAAGGATGGTATGAAAAACTTACTTTACTACAAAACATAGTGATTTCTATGTTTAACCACACTTGCATAATTATTTATCAGTTCTGTGTGTGTGTGTGTGTGTGTGTGTGTGTGTGTGTGTGTGTATCTTTGCTTACCTTGCACCCCATCCACTGTTTGAGATAGATTTTTTTTTTCCCCTCAGGACATACGAGTGGATGAGGAGCTCAGTCTAGGCCAGTAATAATAGGCTAAATAATACCCATCCTAGCCTTAAAGAATGTGGGCACATGACCCTGTTAGTAATATAACAGTAAATTTCTAGGACTCTTTTAATTGTTTATATTGCTGTCATAATAATTTGCTCATAAATACACAATGATTAGATTTGTTTTTGTCTGATTTTCTCCAAATTTCTCCAATTTCTTTGGTCAGTAACTAGAAATGTGCATTAAAAATTTAGTTTATGCATTAAGCATTTATCGGGGGAACCCGCCCCCAATATTTCAATGCATATTCTATTTTCCCTAAGTGTCGGCCAGTCTGAGAAATAAAGGGAAAGAGTACAAAGAGGGGAATTTTACAGCTGGGCCGCCAGGGGTGACATCACATATCGGTAGATCCGTGATGCCCACCTGAGCCACAAAACCAGCAATTTTTATTAGGGATTTCAAAAAGGGAGGGGGTGTATGAACAGGGATTAGGTCACAAAGATCACATGCTTCAAATGGCAAAAGGGAGAACAAAGATCCCATGCTTTTGAGAAAACAAGGTAAGGACGAAAGCAAAGATCACAAGGCAAAGGGCAAAATTAGAATTACTGATGAGGGTCTACGTTCAGCTGTGCACATATTGTCTTGATAAACATCTTAAACAACAGAAAACAGGGTTCAAGAGCAGAGAACTCATCTGACCTCAAATTTACCAGGGCGGGATTTTTTCCCCACCCTAATAAGCCTGAGGGTACTGCAGGAGACCAGGGCTTATCTCAGTCCTTATCTCAACCTCATAGGACAGACACTCCCAGAGAGGCTGTTTATAGACCTCCTCCCAGGAATACAATTCTTTTCCTAGGGTCTTAATATTTAATATTCCTTGCTAGTAAAAGAATTTAGCACTATCTCTCCTACTTGCACATCCATTTATAGGCTCTCTGCAAGAAGAAAAATATGGCTCTTTTTGCCCGACCCCATAGGCAGTCAGACCTTATGGTTATCTTCCCTTGTTCCTTAAAATCGTTGTTATTCTGTTATTTTTCAAGTTGCACTGATTTCATATTGTTCAAACACACATGTTTTACAATCAATTTGTACAGTTAACACAATCATCACAGGGTCCTGAGGTGACAAACATCCTCAGCTTACAAAGATAACAGGATTAAGAGATTAAAGTAAGACAGGTATAAGAAATTATAAAAATATTAATAGAGAAGCAATACATTTCCATGAAATCTTCACAATTTATGTTCAGAGATTGCAGTAAAGACAGGCATAAGAAATTACAAAAGTATTAATTTTAGGAACTGATATATGTCCATGAAATCTTCACAATTTTTGTTCCTCTGCCACGGCTCCAGCCGGTCCCTCCATTCAGGGTCCCTGACTTCCCACAACAGCATTAAGTGTTAGAGTTCTCCAATAACAAATACAAACAGCACATCACTCAACTTGTTTCAGGAAGAGAGGTCTGTTATATTTCAAGGGTATTTGCATCTAATAAAATACCTACATTTATAAGATAAATTTGTTTTATAAAATGTTTATTTTATTTGGTCTAAAATACTTGTCCAACAGTGGAGTTGATCATAGGAATCACTGAACCAGACATCCAAATACTGTTAGGATTCCCTTTCAGCTCTCATTCTCCCCTACTGTAGTTGGGATTGGGGGACTTAGTCCCCTACAGTCATATCTGAGAGCTTTTTGGCCAAAGATGTAAGGGCATTCTCATTCTTTCCCCTCATGAACAGTTTGAAGTATTCCAGAGATTTCATGTTATTGAGTCACCCAGATTATTTACCTTGCAACCCTCATCGTTACTGTAGATTAGGGGGCTGATTTGGTAGGGCATTATGATTGGCCAAGTCTAGGTTATAAATATAGTACTTTAGCCTGGCGATTAGGGTCTGTCATATAAGATAGATAGAGCACCACCTATATTCTCAGACACACATACCAACACAGCCAATAAGAAATTTACTCCATCTAAACAAGTATCATTATAAACAGATGTCAACCTATCATTCACATAGGTGAAGAATTAAAGACAGGAATGCATGTGATATTTAGGCTAATATTAATTTCTCCAATTTGACTTGAATGAAGGGTGAGAGTAATAGAAAATGAAGTGTGGACTTTAAGCTGGAACTAGGGGGAGGAAAGTCTTGTCTGTGGAGCTAAAAGATTTGGATATGTTTCTGAAAGCCATTCAGGTTTTCTGAGAACAGGTGCTATAA
Source organism: Homo sapiens (assembly GCF_000001405.40). NCBI lineage: Eukaryota > Metazoa > Chordata > Mammalia > Primates > Hominidae > Homo > Homo sapiens. The sequence continues at coordinate 44,190,166 of NC_000004.12, read as the reverse complement.
TAAGAGCTATGTTTCAGTGCAATGTTGCTGACATCTTTGTTTAGTATGGATAAAAGGATATAAAGATTAGAGATGAAAGGATTTCTAGAAGGTTATTACAGTTGATTCAGTAAGAGTTAATGGGGATCAAAACCATGAGAGTGAAGACTGAAGGTGAGGAAAATGATTGAGGTATTATCAAAGTATCAAGAGGACTAGATAACTGTTTGCTGGGGGAGGGAATCAGTAGAGGGGTAGAAATTGGAATAGCGAAAATGACTCTGAGATTTGAAACCTGGGTAATTAAGAAGACTGTGGTGCTTCTATAAAAATAGGAAAATAGAAAGCATAAGAGGAGGAACTGGTTTAAGAGAAAAAGAATAATGAAGTTATTTTTTGACATGATTTTTTTGAAGTTTAGACGATGTCCAAAGGCAGTAAAAACATGAGACTAGAATGACAAGGAATGATCAGGTTCTGGAAATGTGTGTAGAGTCGGCTATAGAGAGAGACAGTTCTGTGATTGTGTGTGTGTGTGCATGTATGTTGGAATGGGTAGATGGGTGGCTATGTTTGAATGTTTGTAGAAAGAGAAAATGGAGTCTTATGGGAACAGAGATAAGGTGAAGTGGCTATCCCTATTAACCTCGTTATTCCAATAATGGTTGATCTATATAATTGGAGAGAACTTTGACTAGATATGATAATTGTTTTCCAAAATATTAAGGACCTTTAGTTGAAAGCAGGGATTAACCTCGTTATTCCAATAATGGTTGATCTATATAATTGGAGAGAACTTTGACTAGATATGATAATTGTTTTCCAAAATATTAAGGACCTTTAGTTGAAAGCAGGGAATAGATTCATTCTATGTTGCTCCAGAAGGTAGAAATAGATTTAGTGAATGGCAGTATTTGAGGAGACAAATTATGGCTGAGTATAGGAATTTTTTAACATTAGGGATACCCACAAAGTAGAATGATTTGCAGTACAATATTCTGGGCTTATCACTACTATAGGAGCTTAAAGAAACAGGAAGATAATTCGATAGAGCCTGCAAAATATTTTATTTTAATAGAACAGTTAAGATTCTACAATTCAGATCCAATATCATCCAGTTATTAAGGACAATATTATGTTCACTTATATAAGATGACATAACTCAATATCTACCAAGGGCCAGGAATTACACTAAATCACTTGTATTTGTTTCTATTGGCTACTATGACAAATTGCCATAAGCTTGGTGACTTACAAAACCAGAAATTTATTCTCTCACAGACTCCAGAGTCTGAAGTCAGTTTCACTAGGCTAAAATTAAGGTGTCAGCAGGGCTACACTATCTCGAGAAGTTCTAGGGAAAAATTTGTTGCTTGTTTCTGATGGCAGCTGACATTCCAGGATTTGTAGCTGCATCACTCCAACCTCTGATTCCATGGACACATTGCCCCCTTCTCCTCTGTAAGTATCAGATCTCTCACTACCTCCCTCTTGTAAGGATACCACTGATTGACTTTAGGGTCCAGTGGGATAATCCAGAATAATTTCACCATCTCGAAATCCTTAATTACCTCTACAAAGACTTTTTCATGGAAAGTGACATTTACAGGTTCCAGGGATTCGGGCCTGCTATCTTTTATGGAACCACTTTTTAGCCTACTACAAAGGACTTCCTCACATTTATCTTGACTTAAAGTAACCCTAGGACGGAGGTGCCGTATTTCTATTCCTTTTTAGACAGAATAGGAAAATGAACCTTAAAGACACATTTGACACCTAGCTAATACATGTCAGAACTTCACATCAAGCAAAATTCTGCTCTATTCAAAAGCTGGGCACTTTTTTATTGTACTATGAAATGAAATTAAACCCTGCTATGCACATATATGCCTTCATCTTTCCTTCATCATGATGATTCTGCACCGAGCTGCTGCCTTAACAGGCACACTTTTATAAATTTCAAAGTGAAAAGAAGCGGCACTCATATTCAATAGTATGGCAGCTACAAGAAGTTGCATATGGCTGAGGATTGTTGGAAATACTTGAAAACATTTATTGGCAGGCAGGCACTTAAGATCTGAAGAGATCCAATAAATAAAAATCCACTCAACTATGGCTCCTGCTGGCAATTGTTGCTGCTCCTGCAACACAAGAGTGTTAGACTGTTTTTTTTTTGTGTGTGCATGTATATATATATGTGTGTGTGTGTGTGTGTGTGTGTGTGTGTGTTTACCTCTTCCACAACCTCTGCTTCCCTTATTGTCACTGAGAGATTTTTCCTCAGGTCTAAGGCAGCTGTTTAGTATTGCATAACAGGCGACAATAATTTACAACCAGCGTGGTTTTATGTTCATATAAATTTGTTATACACAGCCCTCATAAGTGTACCCCCAACCTATATTAACAGAGTGCCTTCTTTTTCCCTCCCGGAGCCACCAGACATGTTGTAGAGACAACATCTCATTAATCCTTGCCAAGCACCTTGTAGGTGTTATGATCCACATTTTATAGATGTGAAACAAGCAAGCATAGGCTTGTGTTCACAAATTAGAAAACCAAATAAATCATCCCTCTCATAAAACATATACTTGTAAAAAAGAAGGTCATTAGAAGGTTGCTACCTGGGCATGTGAAAAACAACTTTGCCAATGTCAGTGATAAAGAATGGTAGATTCAGACGTGGGAACCTTGGAAGGAGCAGGGAGTAGTTCCGCAGGCTTCATTCCAGATTCCAAAAGGAGCCTAGGCATCTTTGTGTGGAGTTTTTGTTTTTGATTTAAGCACGAGAAGGGTGAATGTGGATAGAATCCTAGCTTCCATGGGGGAAATGAAGAAATGAGTTTTAAATGAAGAGCTCTTGCAAGGTGTCTGTAACAACTTTGCATGTGATAAAGGCTTCTGAGAGGACAAATGAACACCTAATATGTTTTCTACTACGAGCATGAGGTGCAATCATGTAAGTGAGGTAGTGTTCTTCTGCAGAAAAAAGAAAATTATTTTTCCACATTATGTGTGGTTCTCAAGTAATTTATTTCTCTTTAATAAACTAAAAGGGATAAGGTAGGAACTTTGCCAAAGGAATATTTTCATTAACTAGAGAGACTGTGAGGCTCTTCTTATGACTCACTGCTAAATGGTTTATCTTCGACTCCCCCCATTTCTTTGCTTTTGTTACACACCTTAAGCTGAGTTACACTCCTCAAGCTGAGTTACACTTGGGTTTATATATTTTGGTTAAAACAAAATAAAATAAAACAAAAAGAAACTTCTCTAGGAATAAAGTAATCCCCTGTGTGCTTAGACAATATTTTGTAGATAATATTAATTTCATTTAATTCAGTTAGATAAATGGTTACTGAATTCTTATGAGCCTAGCCATGTGGTGATGCTTCAGGAAATACCAAGACGAAAAGGAAAAACTCTCTATCCCATAAGTGACTATGAAACGGGAAAAATTCCCTTGTCCCCCTGGCAGGGCATGTGATGCGGGGGTGACTCACTTCTTCGGTGCCCCACTGCTCAAAACCCCTAGGGGGAGGACGCAGACGGGCAGGTCGTGGGGAGTGTGGGCTCCGTCCCCACAGCAGCGTCTAGGGGTGAATGTTTACAGCTCCTTAGGCCCCAGAGGGCACGTTACAGTGTGTTCTTTTAGTTTTGCCATCTGTAGGCGGCATGTGTTAATCAGCTCAATTAGACCCTCTGCCTTATCGCAAGGACAGAGGGCTTTCTGTATCCCAGTGTTCTTGCCTTGGTGTACCAGAAAAATTGGGTTACATGTGGGCTTGGAGCATGAGTGCAAGTTTTTACTGAGTGTTGGAAGTAGCTCTCTGCAGATGGATGGGGAGCCAGCAGGGGTATGCAGTGGAAAGGTGTTTTTTGCCTGGAGTAAGGCGACGCAATTCTCCTCTGACTGCTTCCACCAAATTCCCCTCAGCCGCCGCCACATCGCTCCCCCAGTTGATGGCCTGCTGGCGTCTGCCAGTGCCTGTCGGTGTGCTCTTTCGCTCCTCGCCACCTGTGTGCTGTTCTGCCAGTGTGTTCTTCTCGATGTCCAGCCTCTTGTGTCTGTGCCGGCTAGGGTCTTGGGGTTTTTATAGGCCCAGGATTGGGGCGTGACAGGCCAGAGTAGTCTTGGAAAATGCACATTTGGCTACGAAAACAGGGGTGCCTGTCTTTACCTAGATCTGTGGGCACAGGCCCGAAGGTGGAGACCTCGCCAGGGACCCCGCCCTTTTCCTCCCAGCACTTCCCTGTCCCGCTCCAGTATTAACTATATTAGTGTGTATGTGTTTTGTGTGTGTGTTTGTGTGTGTGTGGTGGGGCAGAACACAGGGATGAAAGTTAAACTGAGTACAGAAATAACCATTATTTAAGACAAAATAGGCTCAGTACCTTGAGATGGATTAAAACAAACAACTATGGGTTATTAAAAAAAAAAAAGCAGGAAATCACAAGGAATTACATCCAAATATGATAATGAGAAGTTTTATGCTGAAAGCAACATACGGATTAGGCTTTGAAGAATAGCTAAAAGGGGCATGGGCAAGAAAAGAATGCAGTCCAGAGAAAAGCCAGCATTGGTAGAGCGAGGCATTCACCAGAAACAAGTATATTGGAGTCACCAAATGGGGAGCACTAAAATATGGGCTGGGGTTATTTGTGTTACACTGAAGATAGTCTCCAAAGCCAAGATGTCACAATCAAATTTTATCGTATGTGCTAGAGGAACTATTTAGAAGGTTTTTGAACAAGGATATACTTAATGGAATTAGGTTTTAGGAATATATATTTAGCAATGGCATTGAGAATAGTTTGAAGTAGGACTAAAGTGGAGTCAGAGAATTGGTTAGGAAATATAATGAGAAATAATAAGAAACCTGTCATAGGTGGTGGAAATTGGAACAGAGATGAATAGATAGATTCAACAGTTGCTGTAATGGTAGAATTGATAAGACATGACAAGTGTTTGAAAATAAGAGATAAATCCATTGGATAGCCAAAGGTGAATGTGCGCATGGTTTACGGAAATAACTGAGTCATAGGAAGATACTGATTTGTAGAATGAGAGAAAGGCAATAAAATTATTTTTGGAAACCTCTTCTAATATATGTCTCACTAAACAAATATATTTTCTGTGGCACTTCTTTTCTCATGCTACATTATATTTTCTCTGATATTTCTTTTCTTATGCTGCATTACATTTGCTTATGCACATTACTATTATAGTATTGTTTAATCAGTGATAATACAAATCAGCCTCCTGAACTGTCTGAGTAATACATGCCATCTAAGCCCTCATGGAAATTATAAACTCTGAGGGATATGGGACACCAGAAGTGTGACCTCGGGACTAATTTTTATGTGTGGGTGGTGGGAGCATTCTTACTACTCTGTGGACATCAAAATGAATATTTACTAACCTGAAAGATGGTAAACGCTAACTTCCAAGTGAGTGATGTAATTAGTATTAAATACTATACAAATTCAGAGGCATGAAAATAGTTTTACTAATTTTGTTAAGCAACTATTCTGATGAAGGCACCATGAGAGAATAGAAAAGCACAGTTTCTGCTTTTGAGGAGTTTACAATTAAAGACTGAGAGCCACACTATGAGTAGGTAAATATGATAAAAATTAACAAGTTCAGGGAGTATCAGAAGAGTGGGTTGGGGATGACCATGTCAGGATGAAAAAAGGAATATGACCATGTTTCTCTTTTCAAGTCACTCTTCTTTTTCTTTTCTTTTCTTTTCTTTTGTTATACTCTTTCACTCATAAAAGTGGCTAAGTAATGCTAATGGAAATTATAGAAAACATAAATAAATGAGTTCAATTTTTCCTCACATATAAATTAATTTTATTCATTTGTCTTCAACTCTAAGATGAAGACGTCTCCTCTATGACCTGTAAGTTTCAATGTAGCATGGCAGTTTTACTGATTAATTAAAAATGACCCCATTCCTTAGCTCACTCCAATCACAAATCAGCCTCTTTTTATTTTACTCCTTGCTCCCTCATCCATGCCCTATTCACACTTTAGCTACATCTGCACTTGTCACCCCAAGCCTGAACTACTTGATATCAGGGACTGTGGTTGTGCAGGTGTGTGTGCACATGTGTGTGTGTCCCCACCCTTGTAGCTAACACTATGCCTTATATATAGTAGGTGCTCAGTAAATGTTTGTGAAATCAAAATGGAGTTTTTCCCTTTTGACTCAAGTGCTTAATATTTAGAAGCGTGTGGTGCTAATATTTAAGATAGATTGGTTCATTCTGTTTAAGTACCACATAACCATTCACACATCATTGAGTTTAGTACTATTAAAGGATAATTTCCCTTCTAGGAATTGTGACTGTTGCAGACACATTTTACATACCTATCATGTTTTATCATCACTGGGCAGGTAAAGAGATTAAAATGAAAAGTTTTTTTTTTCAAATGTGCAGCTGTGTACATAGACTTTGTTTGGAAATGCTTGTGTATTCAAGGAAAAAATATAGAAATACTCTTAAAAACATCCCCACACCTAGAACTACCCAGAAATCATGCAGCCTTTTTAAAGACAAAAATATTGACATTTAGTTTCTGTACCTCATTATCTATTCAAATGACTGGGAAAAGCTATCTTTTCCACTTTTCTATTTTAATATAATAAAGCCCAAGGGAATTGATCAAAAGCCCTGTTTTGCTGAGTTTTACAAGTTTGGGCCTATTGTGATATTTTCTATTTGTGACATTTTACTTAATATAATGTTTTTTACTACTGCTCTTAATTCACACATTTTTGATAGCTTATACCAGGGCCTTTGTGTTTTATTTTCTTAAATACCCTTTTGAACATAAAAATGTAATATTTCATAGCCTCTCAAATCTACATGTGTGATAGATGATTCTTGACTATAAACTAATAGTTTACTTTGTATAGAACTTTACAGCTTACAAATTGCATTCACATATATTATCTCATTTGCTTCTTACCATAGCCATGCGACTAGATATTTCTATTTTAATTTCATTTTTAATAGATAAAAATTTAAGAACACAAGAAACTAAGAGACCTGTCTGCAATTCATATGTGCATAGGTGTTACGTGCAGACCCAGAATCAGTGTGGAAACATTACAATTATCCAATCAGTACTCTCAGTATTCAAGTGAACAAATTGACCATGTCATGGCCAATTAGCACATGGATATTTACATTGAATAATAGTAATTAACATTTTTCGGCATTTATACATGCCAGACTGTTTTAAAGTACTTAATATATATGTTAGGTAATTTAATCCTAGCTAAAGCTATTTGACGTTTAAACATGAGGAGACTGAGGCCCAAGGAAAGTAAGCAACTTGCTTAGAATAACAAATCTAGTAGGTTTTTATTTATTTATTTATTTTTTATTTTATTGATCATTCTTGGGTGTTTCTTGCAGAGGGGGATTTGGCAGGGTCATAGGACAATAGTGGAGGGAAGGTCAGCACATAAACAAGTGAACAAAGGTCTCTGGTTTTCCTAGGCAGAGGACCCTGTGGCCTTCCGCAGTGTTTGTGTCCCTGGTTACTTGAGATTAGGGAGTGCTGATGACTCTTAACGAGCATGCTGCCTTCAAGCATCTGTTTAACAAAGCACATCTTGCACCGCCCTTAATCCATTTAACCCTGAGTGGACACAGCACATGTTTCAGAGAGTGCATGGTTGGGGGTAAGGTCATAGATCAACGGAATCCCAAGGCAGAAGAATTTTTCTTAGTACAGAACAAAGTGAAGTCTCCCATGTCTACTTCTTTCTACACAGACACAGCAACAACCTGATTTCTCTATCTTTTCCCCACCTTTCCCCCTTTTCTATTCCACAAAACCGCCATCTTCATCATGGCCCGTTCTCAATGAGCTGTTGGGTACACTGCCCAGATGGGGTGGTGGCCGGGCAGAGGGGCTCCTCACTTCCCAGAAGGGGCGGCCGGGCAGAGGTGCCCCCCACCTCCCGGACGGGTCGGCCGGCCAGGCGGAGGCGCCCCCCCACCTCCCTCTCGGACGGGGCGGCTGGCCGGGCGGGGGCTGACCCCCCACCTTCCTCCCGGACGGGGCGGCTGTCGGGCGGAGGGGCTCCTCACTTCTCAGACGGGGTGGCTGCCAGGCAGAGGGGCTCCTCACTTCTCAGACAGGGCAGCTGCCAGGCGGAGGGGCTCCTCACTTCTCAGATGGGGCGGCTGCCGGGCGGAGGGGCTCCTCACTTCTCAGAGGGGGCGGCTGCCGGGTGGAGGGGCTCCTCACTTCTCAGATGGGGCGGCTGCCAGGCGGAGGGGCTCCTCACATCCCAGACGGGGTCGCGGCCGGGCAGAGGCGCTCCCCACATCTCAGACGATGGGCAGCCGGGCAGAGACGCTCCTCACTTCCTAGATGGGATGGCGGCCGGGAAGAGGCTCTCCTCACTTCCCAGACTGGGCAGCCGGGCAGAGGGGCTCCTGGCATCCCAGACAATGGGCGGCCAGGCAGAGAGGGTCCTCACTTCCCAGACGGGGTGGCGGCCGGGGCAGAGGCTGCAATCTCGGCACTTTGGGAGGCCAAGGCAGGCGGCTGGGAGGTGGAGGTTGTAGCTAGCCGAGATCACGCCACTGCACTCCAGCCTGGGCAACATTGAGCACTGAGTGAAGGAGACTCCGTCTGCAATCCCGGCGCCTCGGGGGGCCGAGGCTGGCAGATCACTCGCGGTTAGGAGCTGGAGACCAGCCCAGCCAACACAGCGAAACCCCGTCTCCACCAAAAAAATACGAAAACCAGTCAGGCGTGGTGGTGCGCGCCTGCAATCGCAGGCACTCGGCAGGCTGAGGCAGGAGAACCAGGCAGGGAGGTTGCAGTAAGCAGAGATGGCAGCAGCAGAGTCCAGCCTCGGCTCGGCATCAGAGGGAGACGGTGGAAAGAGAGGGAGAGGGAGACCGTGGAAAGAGAGGGAGAGGGAGACCGTGGAAAGAGAGGGAGAGGGAGACCGTGGAAAGAGAGGGAGAGGGAGACCATGGGGAGAGGGAGAGGGAGAGGGAGAGGGATCTAGTAGGTTTTAAAACTGAGATGTGAACCCAGACAGTCTGCACTATGCGGCCTTAAGTATCATTCTTTTTGCTGGCAATTCACCAGTAAGAATAGATGTAATTAAACAGACATAAATTAATAATGTTTTCTAGGACTATACTTACTGTCAGTGAACTTGCAGAAAATTATCCTTGACCCCTAAAATTCTTTGAAATACCATAGTAGTAATTGAATTTGTTTCCTTGTTCTGTGGTAATTTCTATTCATGGTAACCTTTTAATGCTTAATATTTGATCAGAATTTTACAGCTTGGAAAATCTCCTCCTATTCATTATATCATTTAGAATTACAGACTCTTATAACATAAAAGAACTTAGGGGACAACCCCAAAATATTAACCAAAAAGAACCGAATATTAGAGAGGTTACCTGACCAACACAAAGTTCTTGCTTGGTTGGAGTGGCTGAACCAGGCTCAAACCCAGATCTTCCAAGGTTATTCCCCTAGTGATGAAAAAATTTCAGCATAATAAATGCATCTAAGTGTGTGTGTGTGTGTGTGTGTGTGTGTGTGTGCATGTATGTATACTGACTGTTCTTCAAAAATAATATTGGAGAGGCATGACCTAGGTAGCTGGTTTGCAGATCTCCTAGTTAAGACTGTACTTGCCATTTACAAATGCTCAATGGATGGAGCATTCCTGGATGGATATCCTAGTTTATTTAATAGCAAATAATCAAATGAAAAGTTGATTAATTGTTCCAATATTTGAAAGTTTCTAGGTGTACCTATTTATCTAACTATTTAAAATAATTAACTCTTTTTTTTTACAGATAAATCTTAGGTTAATATGAGACTTGCTTATTCACTAATCTGTTGCTTACACTTCAATAAATGGTGATGAGTTCTTTATATGATGGAAGAAATCCTAGCTGATGAGATCACCAAAACACAATTATATTTTCTTTTTTAAACCAAGTATATTGGGTGCTCTAACTCACAGGGCAAAGTGCTTTCAGGAAGATGTTTCAGGTATATATTTGATTCTATTACTAGTTGAAGAGACACAGAGACATTTCTAATAGTCATGTTGTTCCCATATATTCACTAGTTGGTGATATTTAAATTATCATTCATGTGGTGCTTAAAGCATGTCAAGTGGCTTTGGGCCACTGAATAAAATAATATAAAATTAAAGTTTTAAATTATCCCTGGAAGCCTGCAATTAGCGGGCATCCACAAGAAAACTGGGCAACTAGAGTAATCATTATTTACCTAATTAATTTTTCTCAATTTCATGTCATAAAAAGCAGCTAAATCAGTTTAAGTTATTGTATCTTAGTCCCAATTTAAATCTACTAAGTTATCAATAATAATTTAAAGTATGCTTAAATGGATAGCAATTAAAACTGATAGCATAAATCCAAAAAAGACTATTAGTGATCCCTAATGATTTATACAAAGAGCAGTCATATTATTCTATTCTTTCAAAGATGTACACAAAATAAAGCCAAGCATTCTCTTTTAAGTCATTATATAAACCTCCGAATCTGTTTGGTCTGATTGGGAGTTCACCTTGCCTAAAGATATTGTATTAAATAGGATTAGCAAAATGTGAAAGAACATGAATATATATATATATAAAAATATATAAAACATATATATAACATGAATATATGTTATATGTTAATATATATTTAATTCTAATTAATGTGTATAACTATTTTAAGTTCTTTTTATTTTTAAAGCTCTTAAAATCACAGTAAATTCAGGTTCCCCTTTTCTTCATAGTTCTTGAAGTCTATAGAAAGAGATATTCTAAAATATCCCAAGCATTTCAAACACTGTATAATTATAAAATACTATTCTTTAATAGACTCTATTTCCGACCATGCCCTGGCCCATATTATTTGTCATTGGAAAGACAAGAGGGAGGAGAAGAGAGGGATATAGATGACTTTTTCGAAGGTGGCAAAGAAAATTTGAAAGTAAAAAGTGAAAGAAAAAAAAAAGCTAGTGTAGGAAATTCAGTTAGACCCATTTGGTATGGAGTGCATCTTAGTTCATCTTCCCAGAAAATTATAGGGATCATTCTACACACATGTAAAATCTTTTCTCTGCATCTTTTTGTCCTCACCCACTTGGAGTTGGAGAAAGCCTATGAACTTCATCAGGCAGAAAGCTCATCTTATCCATAGTTGTGTCTCCTCCAGAACCTAGCACTATGTCTGGCACATGGTGGGTACAAAATTCTCAGCTGAATTCATTGATCTCTTCTTCAAAGAGGGCTTCCTTAATCTTCTATCTTGCACTGCAAGACCAGTTAGTTTTCAAGACACAAATGTTACATTCTATTGTCATTAAGCATTTTTTTCTTCCTCCCAGTGAATAGAAACAAATAGAATAAGGCATTTACTTTGGTAGTATCTAGTACTCTCTTTCTGAATTGTCTTTCACTTTGATATTATTGCTTCTCTGCCTGAGTAACTCTATCTAATTCTCTGTTGCCCTGCCAATAAACAGGAAATTATTTTTTTCATCACTTATTTATCCTTAATGTAAGTTGCTTTGCTTAGATATTTGCAGTTTAATCCTTTAGTCATTATTGGGAATGAAAATCATAGATTCCTTTGATGGGGGCTTTTGGTTAAAGTATAGCAAAATATTGACAGAAAGGGTAAAAAAAACAACATTTATTTATATACTATGTTGTATTAGGGTGTTGAATTTCATGCTTGCTTAGGATCACATTCAGCCATAAAGGTAACTAAAGAGATGCTGCATCTCCTCCACCACTCCCGGCTTCATATAAACACATACATACCAGCCCTTCACACTGAACTGAAAACCTCTAGGGATGTATATGACATATGCACATTCAAAAAATACCACTGATATACCTTGATATACTCTCATTGTTGAGAATCATTATACTAGATCCTTTTACATGATATTTTATTTAATCTTAAAATGCTCCTATGGGGAAAGTAGTTTTACTCATATTATAGATGAGCAAGTTAATGCTTAGAGGAGCTAAGTATCTTGTTCAAAGCCACAAGGCTAGTATTTTCTGGAGAGCCAGAATTTTAATCCAAGTCAGTAGGACCCCAAACCTATTTATTTTCAAATTTTATTGCCACATAAATCTGGTGCCACTAAAAACTGATCCTTCAAGTAACATCCCTCTAGTCAATGGAAAAGACGGCTGGTGGCCAGAGTGGGTCTGATAGAGTGGATCTATCAGAAACCCAGGAAGAGAGAGAAGACACACTCAGCTGGGACATTTAATAACATTTAATATGGGACAATTTACACCAGTGTAGGAAGTACACTAAGATTAGTTATGGTACCTAAATGGTTAAAACCTGTATTAGTCCATTTTCACGCTGCTGATAAAGACATACCTGAGACTGGGAAGAAAAAGAGGTTTAATTGACTTAAAGTTCCACATGACTGAGAAGGCCTCACAATTATGACAGAAGGCAAGGAGGAGCAAGTTATGTCTTACATGGATGGCAGCAGGCAAAGAGAGAGAGCTTGTGCAGAGGAACTCCTCTTTTTAAAACCATCAGGTCTCATGAGGTTTATTCACTATAGCGAGAACAGCACAAGAAAGACCCAACCCCATGATTCAATTACCTCCCACTGGGTCCCTCCCATGACAAGTGGGAGTTGTAGGAGTTACAATTCAAGATGATATTTGGGTGGGGACACAGCCAAACCACATCAACACCTGTAGGCCTAAAACTATGAGCCTCAAGAGGGGTGGTAGAAGAGGGAAGGAGAAGAGAAGGGAGAGGGAGACAGAGAGAGCTTCCTGATAGGGCTGTGCCTCTAGGTCCAGGGATATAACCAGATCATCACATTCCTGGGGGTGGGGTGGGGTTAGGGTGTTGTCTTGCTAGTCTTTGCTGTTGACTGAATCCATCTGAAAGCCAGAAGGCAAGAGAGCTTAAGAACATAGTCTGTACCCATCAGCCACTGTGGACAGAGGAGAATAGAGAATGGATCTGGGTAAGTCCAGCACAGAGTGTTAGCAGTGCATTTTCTCCACCCTACCCCAAAGTCTCAGCTGACTCTCCCTGACAGAGAGAGGCTTAAAACAAATAAAACCCAACAATTTTTTTAAATATTTGGTTGCAAATACTTCTGAAATGTAATGGTGTATTTCCTTACTAAGCAATTATAAGCATTAGCATTTGTCCTGGTTTTATCATATTGCAGACAAAGGAAGTTTGAAATATTGCTTAAGACTTTCCCTGAGATAGATAGATAGATAGATAGATAGATAGATAGATAGATGTAGACATATATACTTTATGTTTCTTTGTTGTTTGTGTTTTTCAGGAGGGGGAGTCAGGTTAGTCAAGGTATAATTTACATACATAAAAGCTCAGCCATTTAAGGCATACAGTTCTATCAGTTTTCACAAATGTATACAGTCATATAATCAACACCATAATGAAGAGATAGAATATTTCCATAATTCCAAAAAGTTGTAAAACTTTTAAAAATCTTTAATTCGATATTTGGCATTGACTTATGTTTCTTCTAATTTTTGAATAGAAAAAAAATGGTGATAGAAACCAGCAGTGTTGCACATAGGAGCTGCTTTTAAGAAAAGGTTTTTTATCTCTTAATCCTTCTGAGTAATATCAACTGCCCATGTTGGCTATTAATTCATTTCATATATATTAGACTGATCAGTGGTTCATAACCTTGGATGCACATTGAAATCTTAAATGACCTGATGGCCAGGTGGCACCCCATTAAATCAGGAGGTCTGGGGTTGGTTCCAAGGTATCAATAATCTGAAGCTTTGTAGGTGATTCCAGTATGCTTCCAAGGTTAGACCCCCGAAATTAGACCAGTTGTTCTCAACTCTGGCTGCACAATAGAACCCCTGGGCAATTGTTTAAAAACACTGATGCCTTCCTCCTGATTCTGATTTATACAACTTGTTCAAAAGTTTGACTCTAAGAAAATAAAATAAGAGTTGAGTAATTTAGATCTCTGAATTGTTGGGCTCCATTTAATGAAGGTTTTAGAACAGCTCTGGGTATGTGGTAGTGTTTAATAAATGTTAAATGGAGATCCTAATCCCACAGTGGAGTCAGGGAGAATAAAATATGCCTCTTTTTGGAAACACACTGTGAATTTGAAATAATTATCTTGGTAAACTATCACTTTCTGAAAATTGCCTTCCTAAGTAATTTACCTCAAATGGTAGGCCTTATATTTTAAGAGAATACCATATTTCAACTATATTTTCACACCATAATATTAGGCCCCTATATATCTTATAGCACTTTCACAATTTTCCTCTAGGAAGTAGACATGAAATAAGATTAAGAGACTAAGAATAAGATTTAAACCAGCCTCCCCTTTGGAAGCATAAATGATGTGATTGCAGCTCTGGGCCTGGAGAATACTGCAGCTTTGTAAAATATATCAATGGTACTTTCTTGCTTTTACAGTGGCAGAATATATATACAAAGGACACCTAGTGCAGTGGGTAGAACAAAAATGAGCTAAGTGTCTAACAAAACAGATAGAGGGCTAACAAAACATTACATTTTTTTTTATATTCCAGGAACTAGTAATTAAAATAACAAAAATCTTCTTTTCAATATGAAGCTATTGATGGTCTCTAAGACAGAAACTCTCATTAAACAAATTTCTCAAATTTTATTGTTTTGAATAATTAATCAGCATACTGCATCTTTCAATGTACACTAAAGACCCTAGGTCTTGTATTTAATCTCACAAACCTAGACTAGTACAATATGCACCATTTTTGTTAAAATAAATGTTCTTGGTTTAAAATAGAAAATATAGAGTTCATTTAATTTTACCTTCACACTTCTTATTCAACTGTTCTACTCTTCTTCTTTTTTTTTCCTCCTTTTTAGGACCACCTCAGAAAATAGTATCACCTAAACAAGAACATGAAGATAGGAAACATGACAAAGTCACTGATAAAGGAAGTGAAAGTGGGACTTCCTGTAATGAGCTCTCCACTTCCAGTTGTGACAGCCATTCAGAGGCAAGCACTCCCCAGGACAACCCATCCAGTGCCCAGCAGGCAACAGCTCACCAACCTAACACTTTAACATTGGATCGCCCCTCTAAAAAAGCACCTGTACAATGGATACCCCCACCAGACAAACGCAGAAACAGTGAACTCTTTCAGACCCTCATCAGCAAGTCCCGGGAAACAAATCTGTCCAAAAAGAAAGTCTGTGAGAAGCTAAGTGTGGAAGAAGAAATGAAAAAGTGTATTCAGGATTTTAAAAAAATCCACATTCCAGATTATTTTCCAGAGCGCAAACGCCAATGGCAATCTGAACTGTTGCAGAAGTATGGGTTATAGTAATTGTCACATTCCTGCAGTATTTTGATGACATTCAATGTTTACTACAGTGTCACCACCTGACTGATGTCCTAACAATGGTCAGTGTGATTCTTGCTGCTCTTCCTTGTTGTGAACAGTGGATGTGGGACAGTATTTTCTTTTATGTTTTAGTTGTTGTTCTTTTTAGAAACATGATTAAAAAGGAAAAAATATTAAATCAATAAGTGTTAAATCAAAATGGAATATCTGATTCAAACCATTTTACAAGAATGAAAGTAAAATGTGCATGATCAAGCTTAGTATCTTGGTTTTTGAACTCTGGTCAACTGGATATGTTTGTCATTTTGTAACTTACCAAAAACAAACCATCATATCATACCAACTAAAATGATATATGGATGAAGCAACATCAAGTAAAATTTTAGACGATGGCTATAGGACCCAAATCTAAAGCTGTCTAAATGTTAATTCAATGAAACAAGTATTATTTTTGCATGAATACAATGTTACAAATAAATCACAAGAAATAGGGAAGATCTGTTTGTTGCTTGGAAAGAAAAAAATTACAAAAAAAAGCAAAAAAAAATGTTTTAGACAAAGCCTATAAATGTAAGCTGTCTAGGAGATTGAATTTTCTTTGTTCTGGATCTGTGACTTTTTTGTGTATGTGTATGGTGTTTATGTATATTAAGATGGTGTAAATATGCCTTATACTGTTATTTATGGCATCAACATTCATTTACTAATGCTAGTCATGATTATTACTGTGAAATGAGTCTTACATCGGGCTGTGAAAATTGGTATAATGATGCTTTGAAAGATCCTATTATCATGTTAATCAAAATAATAGAGGGAAATGGTAAAGAGCTTTATGTATTTATTAAAAAAAGAAAAATGTATTAGAATTTCTTGATTTCTATTGACTCTTCTTTAAAAATATTCAACTGTCATCTTGTTTTCAATTTTCCTTTAAAACTCTAAGCTGTAGAATTATTTGTTCAGACTTAATGTTGACAACTTTAAACGTAATTCAAAATGGAGACATAGTCAGATCCAGATAGCATTGGTATGGATTAATAAACACTTAGCCCACAAGAGAAAAAGTCCTCATGTAAAAATACACTAAAATGTTATTTTACCTATTAACCAGATTGAATGCTTCTCCAAAAACAACTAGTAAGTTACCTCTTACAGATCAAGGCACAAAAATGGCAATATCAAACTAAAAGGCCAGGCTTTATGAAAAATGATTTCTTCCTGGTTGTACATGTGGAAAGAAGCTTTCTTGTCATAAGCCACACAATTTTGCCTTGCCATATCCACAGAAAGAAATGTATAACATCATGAAATTTCACTAAAAGAAAGGCTAAGAGAGGGTAAAATTATCTTCAAGAATTAAAGAACCCATTCTCCTCTGTAGTTGGTCAAAATGGAAGTTGAGCAGCATTTGAAGTATCATTTCTTTCAGCACAATACAAGAAGATGAGCATTATCAACTCAAAGTTTAAAAAATCTGCATTCATTTTTGGATGCATTGTTAGATTTCTCACTGTACCATTATGTAAAATATCACCTACAGTGGACTATTAAAGGAAACTAATATATATGATTTACCTTGAATTATCTATCAGGTTTTAGGCAAACAGCTGCTCTCAAGTTCTGCATTTCATTTTGGGAAGGTTGGCAGTCCCAACATGGCTTGATGTAGCTGCAACACACTGGTGAGAGGATAGAGCTTGGCAGTAAGGTTTCCACAGTTCGAATCCCACCTGTACCACTTACTATCTGTGATCTTAGGGATAATGGGGAAAATAAAGGGGCATAATACCATAGAAAACATTTAAATGACGTAATTGAAGTAAAGCATCACCAGCACTACTGGAGCTGGAGGGAAAAAAGGAAGGTGTTTGTCTTACTGAAGTCTAGGAACCAGCACTATCAAATGGGGAGTTTGTAATACTCGGGGGCAAGCTGTCTGGTAAGAACTATAGCCTCTAAGGAGTCACAATCACTTTCAAAGATGCTTCATGAAGCACAGAAGAGAACATTACTCTAGTTTTCCACTTTTCCCACATTCTAATTTTACATCAGCACCTTCCCTCTTCCCAATATAAGTAGGAGCCCGTTGTCTAAGCAGCCTAGGAAATGTAATTTGTACAAGGGTTCCCCTTGAGACACAAAGTCCAACTGCAAAAGGCAAGGAATCAAGGAATAAATCTGAAAACCTTGCACCTTGCTCTGTTTTTTTCCCCCAATAAAATAGCTCAAATCGAATTGCAATGGAAATAATTTGGTAACTGGGAACCCTGCCATCTCTTCGTATCTCTACACTGTAAAATAAGTGAGGCCAGTGATAATTGTCTATTCTTACAGTCCTTGCTAAATTAGAATAAAAGTTCTGAACCATGGGGTAGAAGGGCGCCCACTTCAACAACTGTCTTTTGAGCACTTATCATACACCAAGCATTTGTCTCAAAGGTCAACAGCAAATTCAAGAAACACAAATGACCAGCTGTTGCTTTTGGAAGGAAGCTTAGAGTGGGTCTGATTCTCCCAAACCATCATGCTTTCCCCAGAAGCTAAAACTTGGCTGGTCTCTATTTGGGTTAAAAAGGGATCAAGGGATGCAGCAAGAACAGGGATTCTTCCTTGAAAGAAAAAGAAGACACCAAACTTCCATGGTGAGTTGGGCTAAAATTGGTATATAAAACTCCCTTTCCAAAAACCCAGTAGATAAAATCTGACAATCACCACAAGTCAGAAGACTGGAATCAGGCACTGAAGTTGAGTATTTATTCTCGCCCACATGTTTTACATTTGTTTGGTACACAGTAGATACTGAACTTGTGACCTGATGTGTTACCATTGCTAGTTTAAATGGAAACATTTAGTACTAACTAAGATGAGAGAAAAAAGTAGAAGTCAAGTGTGATATTTTTGATTCTGGAAAAATGGAGTAGACTACCTTTTCCTATTCTTCCTACTAAGTGTAATTAAATCCCTTTACATTATATTTAAAAAAAAAGTAAGACTCCAAAAGGCTGAAAGAAGAGGGAAGGCTAGCTAGGGATATTGGGTGGTAAGTTTCCTTAGGTTTCCTTTTGCCTCATACATCCCAGACTTGAGCCTCACACATCCCAGAAACACTAATAGGTGCAGACAAGCCCCAACAAATGTCTGTTCTCTTTAGTCAAAAGACCAGGAAAGGGGTAGCAAGACAGAAAACATTTAGATAAACTCTGCTTTGTCAGGTTGGGGAGAAGTGGACAAAATTGCATTAGTTCTTTTAAGCCTCCCCAGTTTTCATAGAATAAAATTCAAACACTGTATAAACCATAATATAGGTTCTCAATAAAATGGCTCCATATCAGTTTACCTTTGTTGGGCAACAAACCACTCGAAAGGATAGTGGCTTAAAAAAAAATTATCTGCTTGCAATTCTGTAAATTGGCAATTTGTCCTGAGATCAGCTGGGCTGTTCTTCCACGGATCTCACCTCGGCTTACTTACCTGGATAATCCTGGTTATTTGGCAGGGGATGAATAATCTATAATGTCTTTATTGAATGTTTGGCCATTGACATGTTTCAATTACAGTGACTCAGTTGTCCATATAGCCCTTCCAATGGTCTAGCTCAGATTTATTCACATTGTGGCAGTGTACGAAAGAGTGTTCAAGGCCCTGAAGGTGTAGCTCTCAACTTATGCATCATATTCTCTGTACTCTATTTGGAATGGTCAAAGCAAGCCATTCCAAATTAAAGGGGCTGTGAAAATAGCTCTACTTCTTCATAGGAAGAGCAGCAAAGATTTTGTGACCATTTGCAACCTACCATAGTTCTGACATATGCTTTCACATCTAGAAGCAAACTCTTTGCTCACCAATTACTATGGATTTATGATTACCTGTACCCTAAAATCAATACCATCACCAACTCCTCTAAAACCCAAACACATACAAACTTCTTCATCCACCTTTTGAAATCCTACCCATACTAATGTGTTTTAATTCAAATGACACCTACTCTTCAAAGCTTTCTTTAATTTATCAGAACAGAATTAGTAATCATTTCATTCTCAGATATCTCAGATCACTTTAAAAACATCCTTTCTGTACCTATCATTTATGTCATAATATATAAGGGTAATGACGTACACTTGTCTTTTTAATTAGATTGAAAGATGTTTCATGTAGCTTAAGATCTTACTTTTCTTTGAATGGGAAAAATAATGAGTAGAGAGTTTCTGCACACAGTGGGCACAATAATTTTTGCAAATTAATAAACATCCTTTTCAATGCAAGAATATCATTAACAGCCATTGATAGATATTCTTCCTGCCTCCCTAGGCTTGCTAAAAGCCCTTTTACAGCGTTTCCAGGCCAAATCTCACGCATTGATTTTACATTCCTAATCCCTCACAGAGAGATTACTCAAAGGGATATCTTAAAAATATTTCACAGTTTGTTTCAATTTGGATGAACATGATTTTGGCATCTCCTGCTTGAGATGCAGTGATTAGGCTGAAAATTATTTCTTCTCTCCTACAGTGTCTCCTTTTGGTTTGGCATACAGTAAACATAAGTTGTGACCTGGAATGTTAATGATCTGTAGTTCAGAGTATTAAATAAATTTTACCAAGGCCTAGTTATATTTGTTTATGAAAGGATGAAATTTGAAAGAGTTTCCTATAAAATCCGTAAACATCCAACCTATTTTCAAATTACCCTCTCTCTCCATTCCATAGTCCTAAAAACGTCACTTTGAAACATTACATACAGGGGTTAAAAAGATCACATAACTACAGAGTTGAAAGAATCTTAAAAAGCATGTACATTTTCTACATAAATGAAATTAAAGTAATCTATCCCTATTTCTAGAATGTTCCCATGGGCTAAGTACTTTATCAGGTAATATCAAAGATACAGCCATAATAAAGACACCTAAGAGCTTATGGGTTTAATTTCAACTATAAGATGTGTACACAATGACTATGATACAGGGTAGGCAGTGGGGTAGGCTGTAATAAAAGCACAAATATTGTTACATGGATTTAGAGGAAAAGATGGCTTTATGGTGGAAGTGTAATGTGACATGGGACTTGAAGGAAAGGGGATTTGGATTTGTAGATATAAGGATGTTGAAAGGGGACTGTGTAAGGAAAGAGACAAGTCTTTAAGTTTGAATGTGTAAGATAACTAGTAGATGAAGCTATTTTAGAAAAAAAAATTTACAAAAATATTATTGAATATATTTCAAAGTTTTAATGAATATACCATTCTTATGTTGAAGCATATAGTAACGCTGATGTTTTAATCATAATTTTCATATTCAAGATCATATTCTTATGAGTAAATTCTTTTTCTACTCACCCAGTCTTTTTCTCCAGTCTCCAGTTGCAGCAGCAGAGTGCTAAGGTAGAGGCAAATTAAATTCTCTTTAAAATGCCTTTAAGAAGATGAAATGGAAACTGATCAATTAAAACTGATGAAAATAAATAAGTCAATTAGAACTTGGACCCACAAATAACATTTTTGAGGGGAGAAGTATTTTAACATTCACATTGTTTTGAATTGCCAGTGCATAGTGATAATAAAAAGCAGATTAATTTTTAGTTAGTTTCATTGACATTTTAAAATTATCTACCCCTATTTCCTCTACCTAGGGTAGATTGCTCTCATCAACTGTGCTTAACACTTATTGCAGTTCAATGCAGAAAACAGACAGTTATAGTAGAGTTTAACAAGTGCTAAGCCAGAAACACATAAAAAGACGGTCTTGCCTGCAACTGCAAGTACATACCTTCATCATTTTCCACTTCAGCTACAGTAATAATGACTACACTGGTCTCTGCCTTCAATCTTTCCCCTTCCGGTCCATCCTTCATACTGCTAGAGAAGTGATCTTCCTACAACAAAAATTTTTCATTGTTATTATCCTCTTGCTTAAATCTCTTCATTTCACTGCCGACTGGGGAAAAAGACTTAAACTACTTTATATAACTAATAAAGTGCTCCATTTCCTGTCTCCTTTCTTTCTCCAGACTTATGACCATGTATTCACATGTACACACACGTCCTTTTTCAGCTATTTTTAACTACTTGCAATTCCCAAGTAGAATTTGCTGCTCCTTTCATTGTGCTCACCAATACAATATTTTTATGACAGGGACACAATTTTCTTTTTTTTTTTCTTTTTTTTTTTTTTTAGTATTTATTGATCATTCTTGGGTGTTTCTCGGAGAGGGGGATTTGGCAGGGTCATAGGACAATAGTGGAGGGAAGGTCAGCAGATAAACATGTGAACAAGGGTCTCTGGTTTTCCTAGGCAGAGGGCCCTGCCACCTTCCTCAGCGTTTGTGTCCCTGGGTACTTGAGATTAGGGAGTGGTGATGAATCTTAAGGAGCATGCTGCCTTCAAGCATCTGTTTAACAAAGCACATCTTGCACGGCCCTTAATCCATTTAACCCTGAGTGGACACAGCACATGTTTCAGAGAGCAGGGGGTTGGGGGTAAGGTTATAGATTAACAGCATCCCAAGGCAGAAGAATTTTTCTTAGTACAGAACAAAATGGAGTCTCCTATGTCTACTTCTTTCTACACAGACACAGTAACAATCTGATCTCTCTTTCTTTTCCCCACATTTCCCCCTTTTCTATTGGACAAAACCGCCATCGTCATCATGGCCCATTCTCAATGAGCTGCTGGGTACACCTCCCAGACAGGGTGGCGGCAGGGCAGAGGGGCTCCTCACTTCCCATACGAGGCGGCCGGGCGGAGGTGCCCCCCACCTCCCGGACCGGGCGGCTGGCCGGGCGGGGGCTGCCCCCCACCTCCCTCCCAGAGGGGGTGGCTGCCAGGCGGAGACGCTCCTCACTTCCCAGACGGGGCGGCTGCCGGGCGGAGGGGCTCCTCACTTCTCAGACGGGGCGGCCAGGCAGAGATGCTCCTCACCTCCCAGACGGGGTGGCGGTCGGGCAGAGACACTCCTCAGATCCCAGACGGGGTCGCAGCCAGGCAGAGACGCTCCTCACTTCCCAGACGGGGTGGCGGCCGGGCAGAGGCTGCAATCTTGGCACTTTGGGAGGCCAAGGCAGGCGGCTGGGAGGTGGAGGTTGTAGCGAGCCGAGATCACGCCACTGCACTCCAGCCTGGGCAAGATTGAGCACTGAGTGAGTGAGACTCTGTCTGCAATCCAGGCACCTCGGGAGGCCCAGGCAGGCAGATCACTCGCGGTCAGGAGCTGGAGACCAGCCCGGCCAACACGGTGAAACCCCATCTCCACCAAAAAATACAAAAACCAGTCAGGCGTGGCAGCGCGCGCCTGCAATCGCAGGCACTCAGCAGGCTGAGGCAGGAGAATCAGGCAGGGAGGTTGCAGTGAGCTGAGATGGCGGCAGTACAGTCCAGCCTCCGCTCGGCATCAGAGGGAGACCGTGGAAAGTGGGAGACGGAGACGAGGAAGAGGGGAGAGGGGAGAGGGAGGGCAAGGGCAAGAGCCAGGGACACAATTTTCTAACGTGTGCATGTTTTCCTTTATCTCCCACTAACTAAAGATGAGGATTTGCCAGCACAGTCCTTACCTATTTGGTGACATAAAATAGAGTTTGTAGATACAATCCCTACCACACCCCATTCCTACCACATTTTCACCTTTCCTTTTTCTCATCTTTTTCTTCAAGCAGAATAAGTTATAGAAATAGAAATTCACTATTTTGCAAACCCTAATGAAATAATGGATTTAAACACCAGCCACCCATGGCAGCAAAAATTACATGAAGGGATAATGGAAAACTTTATAATGGGTGGATCATACTGATAGTATCTGATCCCACTGCCAAATCTTAACATTATGCATAGGAAGACAACCAGACACTAGTGCCTCCTGACACAAAAGAATAGGAAGCTCACAGTACCACCTCTGATGTATTCTTGCCCAAAACAGAGATGTATCTGATAGGTCCCTAGATCTAACTGCCAGTTTGCTGGGAAAACAGGGGATAAAGAAACCTAAATAACAACAAAATGGTGCAGTCAATAATTTCTAGGATGGAGATTCTACATGACAAGTTAATTCTTCAACAATAAAGTGGTCAGGGAAAAACAAAGAGGGAAGAGAATCTATAGTCAAAAGACATATCCTATAGATGCTATACTGGGAGTTCATGTGGATCCCAGTTCCCCTCAAACCAACTGTAATACCATCATCATCTTCAAGGAGTTTATTCATCTTAGATGAATGTTTAATGGTAATAACAAATTATTATTTGTTAACAATAATACCATGGATATGTTGAAAAAAGTGTCCATATCTTTTAGAAATACCTCTGAAGTATTAATGGATTAAAATCTAAGACATTTACCTTTAAAATAACCCATGGGGGAGGAGCAATGGTTCAACTAGATGAAGCAAGGTTGGCCATGTGTATAATTGATGAAGCAAGTGATAGATACTCATGGTTTCTTTCTACTTTAGCATATGTTTGGAGAAACTCATAATGAAAAATTAACCTTTTAAATTAAAAAAAAGCATTTTGAGAAGGTGAAGAATGTTGACCCAAGAAATATCCTAGGAATTTTGAGCAAGGTTGAGAAAGTTAAGAGCATTTTTGAGGTTGGCAAACAAGAATTTATAGTGATACCAATTTATCTTATTGCATAATTTTCTGAAGGAGTATAGGCTCCTGCGGTAGAGAGTAGGTGTGGGGGTGGTAGCATAGATAATGTGTATAAAAGTAATTAGCTTTGTATTTGTTTTTTTTAACCATCAGAGAAATATAATGAAATATAGAGCAGCAAGAGAGATACAAGTAATGGTGAGGGTGTTAGTTAAATTATGGACCTTGTAAACTCAACTGGATTATTTTAAATGAAGTGATTAAAGAAGGTAATAGATTGGGGATTGAGAAATGGAATAGATACCAGCCTGGAAATCTTATAATCAAAGCATGAACTCAGAGAAAGTGAATGCATATGACATCTAGAAGAAATGGTGATTGTGGTCTGTTAAAAGGATTCTTTTAATTCATAATTTTAATACTCCATATTTTGAAGGCATTCCGGAAGGGCCAAAAATCACTTGAATCTATTTCAGCTTTCTTGGCTAATGATTTGACTTACATAATTCTGACCGTGTTGCATGATAGATTACTGTAATGGCTCTCTAACAGCTCTTCCTATAACTTCTCTAACAAATAATCTGTACCAGGCAACATTATTCTTCATAAAACACTGCTTTCATAATGTACTCCCTCACACAAGAGTCTCAGGACGAGGAGCCATCTGCGAGTCTAGTGTGACTGAACCTGTCATTCCTAGGCCTCTCTTAAGTGGCCAAACCCTGTACATTTTTGTTTCCCAGTTGCTAATTCTCATCAGCCTCAGCTCCAAGAAGACACATCTTCTTCCTATTACTTCTTTTCTTTTTGTTTTCTAAATTCTGAATTCCTTTTCTTCCCTAATGTTTTTCACATCAAATCAATAATCCCATCAAAACCAAGATAAACACAACATAACAAAAGCTGTCTGTGTGGGTTCAAACCCTAGCCTGATCACGTATTAGCCAAATGCAATATAGTGGTGATAATGAGTACTTATCCTAAGGATTGATAATGAGTAGTTAACCTTATGTAACCTTACACGTATTACATATAATACATGTAAGATTCTTAAAACAATACTCACCATTACTCAACCATTTTTCTAACTACTTATGAAAAGCCCTTTTTGCCATATTTCCTTATTTGATTCCCTTTAGTAGAGATACAGAATTGCTATATCTCAAAATATTTACACATGGTATTCTATAGATTTGTTCTATAATTACATGAAAAAATAATTACGACCTCTACTATCCTTGTATTCACTATGTTTAAGTAGTGTTTTGCACCATTAGTTACTTAATAATGCTTATGATTAATCAAATGTTAAATATCTAAATTAAATAAAGGAAGCAAACAAATGTATTAATAAATGAATCTAGGAATGAATTACTAAACAAAATAGCATAAATTTATCCAGTGAAGTTTCAGAGAAATAAACTATCTCAAATTCCCAACTTGTTCTAAAGTAAGATGCTAATTTCTCACTCTGGATTCAACATTAACACTCTGGAGTTATACATCCAATTAATTATGCATCATTTTTCTGTTTCAAAAAACCAAAGCTTGTCTACTTCTTCTCATTATAGTTGCCTCTTGATTGTTAGTAAAGTTAATTTGTTATATAAACTTTCAAGGAAATATGCAATTTTAGAGAAGTTTCAAAAAGATACCTAAGCTTCATAGAGCTCTTCTATGTACCGAGGAAATTTTAAAGAGTAAACTCTGACACAAATCAATGTTGACATCTTAAATACTTATTAGTGTAAATATTCACTCAATCTGAGATTCTGTTCTATCCATATCAGTGTAGTAAAAACTGAATTATCAGAATGCAAATATTTCTGCTGAGGATTTTTTTTATAGGGGGCAGGGAGCTGCTACTATCCCTAAAGGTAATATTTCCCCTAAATTTTTGTTTAATACTATGACATGTCACTAATTGCTATTTTAAATGTGTATAAAATTTGACAACAAAGTGAATTTCTTTTCTCTTTTTCTTTAGCGAACAAAATTTATCAGTGTTTTCTTATTGAGATATAATTCACCTATTTAAAGTATACCATTCAGTGGTTATTAGCATAGTCACAAAGTTTTACAATTATTATCAGTGTCCAGAGTAGTTTCATCATCCTGGGAAGAAAGGCCATATCCTTAGCAGTCATTTATGAATCCCCTTTCCCTGTAGGCAGCCCCTGGCAACAACTAATCTACTTTTGGTCTCTGTAGATTTGCCTATTCAATATATATATATTTATCATACATATGTATGATGTATAAAATCATACAATATGTAGCCTTTTGTGTGGAGCTTCCTTTATTTAGCATAGTGTTTTCAAGATTTATCCATGTTGTATCATGAATCGGTACTTTATTTTTATGACTAATATTCCAATGTATGGGGCTACAAAATTTTATTCTTCAGTTGATGGGCATTTGTATTATTTCCACTCTTGGCTATTATGAATAATGTTGCTATGAACATTTGTGTCCAAGTTTTTCACTGGATGTATGTTTCCAATTCTTCTGGGTATACACCTAGAGTGGAATTGCTGGGTAATACAGTAACTCTCTGTTTAACTATTAGAAGAATTGCCAAACTGTTTTTCAAAGTGGCTGCAACATATTACATTTCCACTAGTAATTTATGCCTTCATAAATTACAGTCTTACATGCTTCATAAATGCAGTCTTCTCAACATCCTCAACAATGCTTGTTACTTCTCTTTTTTTCAGTAGTTGTCCTAATGTGTGCAAAGTGTTATTTCATTGTGATTTTGATTTGCATTTCGCTAATAACTAATGAAATTGAGTATCTTGCATAAGCTTTTGGCGATTTATGTTTCTTCTTTGAAGAAATGCCTATTCAAGTCCTTTGCCCCTTTTTTAATTGGATTGTCTTATTATTTTTAAGTTGTAAGAATTTTTCGTATATTCTGGATATCAGATATTTAGACCCTTATCAGACACATGATTTACAAATATATTCTTAAATGTTTAAATTAATAGGTTTCCCAGACATTGCCAATGAACTATGTACATATGAGAGCATGCCTTCAACATTCAGGCAGACAAATTATCACTCCATTTTGGTGTTCACACACTGCTTACTCAGAGCCTGAAGGTCAGCCAGCAGTGAGAGCTTAGAATGTTCTCAAGTCTTTCCTGGGCATGTACATAGCCCTGCATATATATGTGACCTTCCAGATTCCCAGAAATATTTTGGAGCTTTCCGAAGTCCTCTGTGTATATCTAATTCCCCATTTTTTTCTTTTAATTAATTTGTTTAGCTTATTGTTTGCCCCAACTGTTATCACTGCCTCAGGTAACTGTGATGGTAAACAATTGTCACTGATTATTTCCAAAAGCACCTTCGGGAAAAGAATGTTCATACTAGGGAAAGTCTGAGTCAGGTCAAATAAAAACAAGCTTTATCAGTGGGATTTTCCAGCAAACCATGGGAATTGCTTTGAAGGAACCCTAGCCCCATTTTTTTCCCCTTCAGAAGAGGCTAGGCTGCTAGTTTTCACTTTGATTTGTAGCTATTGCTTTTCACAGAGCTAGGGAGAAGGTCCTAGGACTAGGGCATTAAAATGCTGCAAAACTCATTTCTTTTACTGGGATTCTGCTGTTTTTCTTGAGTAAAGACTCTCCTAACTGTTACAAGTTTCTGGTTAAGTTTTAGAGTTTTAAAAAAGTTGATTTTGGGCATTTTTGCCAGTATTTTTATAGATTTTATGGTGATATTTTCTATGGTTAAAATAGAGAAATGATCAAAGTATGATTTCACAATCCACATGGCTTATTGTCACAGAAAGAGACTTTTTTTTCCACAATGTTCAAAAAGAGGGAGAATAATGAGAACAAATCTCACAGGAAATACACTTGATGGAGGAGGTATTTTAAACCATACAGTGAATTCCAATTTCATTTAGAGTCCAATTATTAAAGTCTAGTTGCTCAGTTAGGATGGAAGCAGTCCTCTTTGGAGATAAAGCCTAATCAAAGTTTGAGGCATACTTTTCTATGAGATATTCTCAGAAGAGACAATTTGACCAACACGGTGGAGATCTGGGAAAACACACAACATCCTTTGGCACCAGCAAGCATTGCAGGTGTGGGCAGGGAGGACTTGAGGGAACAGCTCAAGGACTGGACAAGAGTAGCCTTGCCACAGCCTATGCCCTCAATGTGTTTGTCAGAGTCTTGGGTTATATATGTTTTGGAGTACAGCAGTTGAAGCCAATAATTCACATTTATGGTCTGATAAGGTATGAGGTAACATTCTCGAGGGGAGAGGGATTACACTCCATGTTCTTACCATAGCAAAACATTATGTCACTCAGGTAGCAAATCTTGTACGTGCTTGGAATCATTTCAGAGCTACATAATAAAAGGAAAGGATTTGGGGGGACCTTTATCCATTCCAGCTCTATTACTGTTTTTGAAATTGATATAATTTTAATGTTTGTCTTTTTCTGAGGAAAGTTTTTCATTGAAAGGAAATCGCATATTTCTTATGCACAAAAGAGTTGTGCACATCCAGTGGTATTATATAGAATCTTCCTAGATCAAGTCATTTCTTTCTGTCTTCTCAGAAGCCCGTATTCAAATTCAACATAATTTAATTTGTATGGAAGAGAGACCACAGGAACAATCTTTTTCCTTTTTAGTTATATTTTTGTTCTTGATTTTAACACTCTGTGCTTGTATTAAAATTCTATCATGAATTATGCACCATACAAAATCAGTACAGTGGAGTAACATAAATCAAAGAACAGGTGATATGTTGAAAGTTACCTTTCTCATAACTGAAAGTACTGTCAGTTCTGATCTAATAATAATAAAAGCACTGACTGATGTATCCAGATTTTGTTTCCTGGACAAAGAAGGATAGTAATCAGCAAAAAATTCATTTTTCATAACTGCCTCCATTGTTCTAGAGTTCCTTGAATTCTAAACATCATAATAATCACTTCCCTCAGTACCTAGAAATCATGTGCCTGCATGATAGAAGCCTAACCGGCAGCTGTGACAAAGTAATAAATCCAGTCACTTCAAAAGAGCTCGTACCTTAGACTTGATTAAATCAGGCTGCTATAAAAAGTTTGCTATTTAGAATAGTCACCTTTTCCAAAACACTTGTCAGTGGAATAATTATTTAGCTTGAAAAGTCCTATTAAGAGAAACAAAATCACCAGCAACCACGGGAAGTGGAGGTTCAAAGCCTCGGTTTATGAGTGAGAGTCTGATTCACCTTGAACAGGATATATACAGCTACACATGGACTGACTGGTAACAAGATAGTGTAACATTGTTTTAGAATATTTTTTTAAAAAAATCCTTTTGAAGCCCAAGTGAAATGCTTTCAGTATCATAGTAATAAACCCTAAATCCAACTATATCATTAGCATATTTGATGGGCAACTTTCTCACTTTCCCCTCATGACTTCAGCAACCTCAGAGTTGTTATGGTTTGTACTGAAGAAACTGCAAATGTAGGGATAAGACAGCCTTTTCATAATCACACGAACTGCGCATAACCAGTGTCAGCAATATTTCAGCATAAAATTCTGAATTTACCTATACATAAAACACACTTAATTAAACTTATCTAATCTCAAGCCAGAATCTTCCAAATAATAAATAACTCTTCACTGAAAATGTTGTTTCTTGCCACCTGGGGACATGAAGATAATTAAAGAGTGCCATAAATATATTATTTTGTATTTGTCAATCTTGCTCTTAACAATTATCATGACAGTCCTATATAAAGAATATTTATTATCTTAAGGAAATATGTAGGTTATTATTCCTAGGATTGAAAGGAAACAAGTAAAGTATCATTAAATTATTCAATGTTCTGCATATTTAACTGAAAACCCTTAAATTGCTTGTCTGTGTGTTTTAAAGCAGAAATTCCTAAATTCCACCATTTGAGATTGGAAATCACAGTTGGAGAATAAACAGGATCTGTCTTCAAATTAGGGTGAAATTTCCATTTCACATGTGCTGTTGTCAATATCTGGATGTTGAAACAGATGCATGCATGGCACAGTGAAAACACAGTTGAAATTATGATTCTGAATAATCAGTTTCCTGTGCTGCTCTAGTGTCCCTCTTCACTGCATTCAACACTATGTGTATTTGTTCTCTCTTTGCAAAACATCATATCTCACATGTTAATAGCCGCCTGATGAGGTACCATGACTATAGAAAATACCCCATAGGATGGCATGTGCTTGTCATATTAGATTTTAAGTATTTTTTTTTTACTTAAGCAATTAAAAAAAGCTAAATGGAATCCTGAATTATTAGTTTGCATTCATATTTCTACCTAGTATTTTATTTGTACAGCCACTTATTCATTGCTGTGTTTTTGTTTTTTTGTTTGTTTAGTCCAGTTTTCTTTGTTTTTTTTTTACTACAAAATTAGACATTAATGCTGCAGTCATAAGTAATAAAGACACAGTGGCCTTACAGAGTTTATCATCAGTAAACAATTCCAAGTGTAAATAAACAAACTAAAAAATAGTGATCAGGGATAAAAATGTCTCCCAGAAGACATCTGGCCCTGCATCTAAAGAATTAGTAGGCATTTTCTAGACAAGGGAGTTACGGGATTACTCAATGCTTTTGTGGAGAGAATGGATTTTCAAATTCAAGAAAGAAGATTGCACAAATGAGAAACTGAAAGAAATCCAGAGGCAGAATGTAGAGAGGTGAAGCTGCAGAGGTCAGTGGAGACCGGAACATGGCGAGACTTTTAAGCTATTTCAAAGGCTATTTCAAAAGCTATTTCAAAGATTTTTTTCTTAAGGACAATGGGAAGCCAATGAAAGTTTAGAAACTTGAGAGTAAATGAACAAAAAATTTTCAGACTATCATTTTGGGTGCAGAGGAAGGTAAAAGTTTGTGTATGACCAATTGGAATTCTATCACAGTTATCCAGGGAGAGAGATTATGTACAGTACTTGAACAGGGGGGTGAACATTAGGTATAGAAAAAGTGAAGTAATTGGAAAGACCCAGGGCTATTCGGAATATATTCTTTTCTTAGGATGTCTCCATACATCTGACTCAAATGCCTCTGGTAAGCTTAACCCTTTCATAAGCCTTGTATAACCGTTATAAGTAGCTTTTTGGTGAGAATCAAACTGTCAATAAAAGAGCAGTGGACGCAATTGGAACCTCAGCTTGGTTATTTACTACCTACCAACAGTCACTTACCTTTTTGGAATTAGTTCTTCCTAGGTTATAGAGTGGAGATCTACAATGTCTAGCAGATAATACATGCACAGAGTATTTTATAAATCATATATAAAAATATCACTATTATTCAAAGAAAGTAAATTCAAGTAGATTAATAGCAATAATTATGCATCTTGAGGAAAATAGGAGTGTAGAGAAGGGTTATAAGCTATCTCAAAGGACCATTTGTGAAGGAGAAGTTCAATACTCCATTACACAAACTACACAACAGCCTGTTGATTTCTTCACCTGTTCATCACATCAAACATCTGCAAAACCCCCTTAGCCTGCCCAAATCAATTTGGAGTCTGGCTTTGCAACTATAATACCAATCTCTCTTTCTATCATATATTATATGAACATCACAGCATTTCCTTCCCCTCCTGTGTAGACCACCAGAAAACTGACCCAGTATTGTCTACCTGCTATATCTGTGGTATTTACATTGTTTATACTATGCATCTGCATTGGCCAGAAAAATGCATGACCAGTGTCCCAAGTGTCCTAAGGTTAATGGGCATACTTCTTATATTTTTGTTTACTGGAAACATTGATGTCTCTTTGATAATGGCAAAAAAATTTTACAACTACTTCTGAATTAAGTTATTTTAGAATTTCCTGGCAAAAGTCTATGTTTTCTGAGTTCCCTATTAGGAAATAACTTAAATAATTAAGGACTGACTGAGTTTTTTTCATTTAAATCACTCTTTGCTGCAAGAGTCGTTCTAAATGGCCACATACAAATATTCTCCTATTATTTGAGAAGATGAGGTCATTGGAATGCTTCTCTGGATTCCACTAAATAAACTTTTGGATGGATTCCAGATGTAGAGATGTTTAGATATGGGATGCCAGTTTATACATAGAGGGATACTCTTTATTTTACTGCCAAAAACTTTCTTTCTTGAGGGAGGCTTGTGCATTTGCTTTGACTTGAAATTCTATAAGGCACGGGTTAAAGGCAAATATGCCTTTGATCCTAAAATTGTGCCAGTTAATGTCACTGGAGATCCTCGTAAAGGGATTTTTGTGTTTGCTTTTTCTTCTCTGCTTGACTTTGCTACATTATTCACGCTCACCTTTAGTCCATCTGGCAATGCATTTTTTCTCTCTTTATTTGTAGTGCCACAAATATGTGATATTATCACCAAGCCTGGTAATGTTTGTCTAACATCCTCTAGTGCAAAAAGCAACTAATGAAAGGTGTTTGGTGGAATCTCACTCCCTTGTCTCCTGACTACCCTAATATCAGTGGCTAGTTGCTTGGTCAGCAGTGTTATTGAATCTGCTCTCCTTTGTGCTCATTTGAACCGTCCGCTAGTGTGATTTCTGGTTTGATTCCCAGACAATTGTAGTTAGTAAATTTCCAAAGAACTTCAGATAACCATAACTGTTTATATGCTTTAAATGAGCTGGATCTTGCTATGTGAATGGTCATAGGTGGATAAATGAGAATAATTCTGGGACATATATTATGGTAATGTTTCATTGCCCTGTATTTTGGTGGAATTTGAGGTGTTGATTATGGTAGAGTTTGAGGTGTTGATTAACTGAGCTAAGTGCCCCTCTCATTTTAGACTTTATTGCTGATGGTTTTTATTTTTAAAAGAAGTTATGAAAATCTACTTTCCTGTAGATACACTTATCATAATAAGTCTAATAGAATATGACCGACATACTTTTTCTTAAGAGTGAGAACCTTGCTTCAGCTTTAACTTATTTACAATTTCAGCTACTTATATAGATTTCTGTCAACAGGCCAAGAGGGTGAGTTGAATATTTATGGGCCTCTCAATATATCAAAGATATGATTAATTTGCTATAATTTTTTCCTTATATTTGTTAGCCAACTAGTTACCATAAAAATCCTTATATAATTACCATTTTTTGCCTCTTTGTCATAAACACACAATGACTCCTTAGCCCAAGAAGAAGAAAAATACTTGGTTTTATTGTATAGAATGATTTGAAGGGCATATGGAGGACTCCATTGCAGCAATATGACAATAACCACCTTATCTGGTACCAGTGTTTGGAATTTGGCCACTAAGAGCTCATTCCCTTTTCCTTTAACTATATTAGCTCTTCTTTTCTCTTTAACATGTAAATAATTCTAGAGTAGATAAAAGAAATTAAACTGGTTTACATCAAGGTGTAAGTGACCTAAGTCGTTTTTTCTTCTAACAGGAAAGAGGCAAGTAGAGAGAGTATTGGGAGTTTGTGTTATGATGGTTGAAGGCTGAAATAAAGAAGGAGGAGTTGAGGTGCCCCTAAAGCACACTTGATTGATTCTATAGTGATATGCTTTGGTGGTGTTCTCACCCAAATCTCATCTTGAATTGCAGCTTTCATAATTCCCACATGTTGTGGGAGGGACCCAATGGAGATAATTGAATCATGGCAGTGATTTCCCCCATACTCTTCTCGTGGTAGTGAATAAGTCTCACAGGATCTGACGATTTTATAAGGGTTTTCCCCTTCTGCTTGGCTCTCATTCTCTTGTCTGCTGCCATGTAAGATGTGCCTTTTGCCTTCTGCCATGATTGTGAAGCCTCCCCAGCCACGTGAAACTGTGAGTCTATTAAACCTCTTTTTCTTTATAAATTAGCCAGTCTCAGGTATGTCTTTATCAGCAGCGTGAAAACGGACTAATACATACAGTGTGTCCATAAAATGAGTGGCTGTCACTTGGGCTCAGTGATAGTCATCTAGGTCTGCATTACTCAAGGAAAAACAAAAACAAAAACAAAAACAAACAAAACAACCAATGAGAGAGCTTGTCCTCAGCCATTTTTCAGTTTTTCAGTCTTCTTAATCCCCAGTCTACCCAGTAAAGATTTAATAGCTTCCTCAGTTAACCTATCTTCTTAAAATTGAGTACAATCTTATTTTGCATTGCCCTTGTTTCATTTCAGAGCATATTTATAGCTTGGATCATTGTGCCAGAGGGTCCTCAAAAAATCCAGCCTGTGCACGCTGAGATTCCTTTTTGGATATTTGCCATGAGACAGTGTTTCCTTCAACTATGAGCGCATGGACTCAGCACACTGTTCGTGAGTCTAAGTTCCTGTAAAACCTGGGCCATTTTATTTCCAAGAAATCGTTTATATAATTTACAACAGAGGGAAAGAGTACCAAAGAAAGCATAACGTTTCCTCAGTGTTCCCATCTTTCACTGTCAAGAGAAAATTTTGTTCGCTTGCAACTCTGCAATAACTCTGTTAGCAAATAGAAGGTTCCCACACTTCTTTGTGCAATAAGTGATAAAGAAAAAGATGTAACTAGACACTATATTGTTAATTTTGGAAATAAAAGGAGAAAGTAAGTCACTGAAAAGGAGAGAGCAGTGACTAGAGCATGTCCTCTAACCTTGTATGTGGATAGTCCACTAGGGCTATTGTATAATTATATTGTAATTGTTTTAAATAAAACTCGTTGTCAGAGGTCTGAAAAAACAGTAGGTAATATTTGATCATTACTTGATGTTATCACAAATAGAAAATAAGGGGACTCTTAAAACTGATGTCTCTGGCTTGAATAAGCGAATCTTCCATTCACTCATTCAGTGACTTATTAAAAAATACTTAATTTGAAGCTTTGTCAGAACAAAAGACATACCTGAGACTTCCTTAATCTTGGGGGCAAAATGTAGAGCAATTATTATGTACTAAAAATAAGTAAACTTACTGCAAATTTATTTCAATATCTTTATTGTTTTCTTTGAATAATTTAACCCAAATTATATGCTACTCTATTTCAGAAATTCACATAATTTACTTATATTTCTACAGTATGATCATTTTCATCTCTAAGGAGTTGTTAATAATTTTGTCAAAAAGTATCTCTGAGGACATTTATCACAAAAAGGTAAAACTGCTTGCCTTTTTGAGAAAATCTTCCAACTTTGCACACTTTGGAGAACCTAAAGTCCAAATAGTCACAAATAGAGTGTTCATCTGTACATTATCGGCTTTATCTGTTAATTTTTCTGCATGGGCATATAATACTGCCATTAGTCTAGGAGATTCATAAAGCTGACATTTTCCTAGTTTTGAGATCGACAATCGATCAGTGTTGAATGGTCACTTGGATAGCCTCAGCATGAAGACAGCGCATGTTCTTCTCCCAATATACCTGCTTCAGTGGCTTTCCTTTTGTCTCCTCATTAGCATTGTCCTCTGGCAAGACATAACATCTACATACCACAATGTAGTCCTGTGCTTTTCTCAGTTCCAACACTTTTCAATTTTATATACCTATTCTCTAGCCAAACAGGTTATTATTTTACAAAAATGCCAAAATTTTTTATCTGTAGCCTTGCTTTACACTATTTTGCCTGGAATTTCCTTCTTCACCCAAAAAGAGGTACTATTCCTTCAAAATAATCCCTAATGGCACCTCCTAATTGACAAAGCAGGACCTAATCTGTCCTCATGTGAATTCCCACAGAACTTGACTTGTACCTCTGTAATTACAGATTTATAATGGTTTACATTAATAGTTATTTGTGTATTTGTCTCATTCCTCTCCTGGTATGTAATATTTCTAACAGGCCCAAAACTACACTGTGTGCGTGTATAAAGTTATATTTGTTATAATTAAAGTTAAGTTGAACTGAACGATGAAATAACAAATGCATATCATTCAGAAGAAATAAAAAATAAAAGTAAAGCAATATTTATTCATCATGACTACTAACAAACTTAGCTCACAATATCAGAATTAGCTTGCATTTGGAAAAAAAACCTAAGGGCAAGTGAATTTAAACATCAAGTCCAATACACACTTATTGAGTACCCACAATGTGTGCATGCTTCCAAACTTTTCATACATTTATTTAAATCTCTATAGGTTCCTAATAGTACATATATGCTTATATTTTATTTTTATTAAATTGAAATCACATATATACATTAGTTTGTAACTTGCTTTTTTCTTTTAGCAATTTAAAACAAAATTGCTGTACATCAGTAAACAAAGAACTAGCTGACCTTATGACTGCACCATGTTCTATAATTTGTGGTATGTCATAATTTACTGATGGACATTTAGCTTGCTTCCAGCGTTTGCTGTTGTATATAATACTGATAGAAATGTCCTTGAATCTGTATAACAATATTCTCAAATTTTATTTCTTAGGGATAGTTTCTTAGAGGTGGGATATTTTATAAATAGAGTATACGTGACTACACTTTTAATATATCACACTTAATTAAATTCAATGGAGAGTATAGTTGTACTTAACAGTACCTGTTTCCTTACCGCTCCATATATGATGTTGCTAATCTTTGAATTTTGTGTATAAGTTGATGGTAAATACATTCTATAGCATTTTAATTTGCATGTCCTTCATTAATTAAAATTTACCTTTAGCATAGTAACTCTTTGGCATACAGGTTTCCATTTCCCATGCTTTCCCCCCAGGCCATAAGTAATATTCTTTCTGGTTCAGCAGTCATTTTTTCAATATTTTGGCAGTATCTATGTGAGTAAGGCTTTATGCTCTCTTGCCTGATATGCAAATGAATAAATAATACATTCACATAATTAGTTACTGACATGATAATTTAATTTTGTCCATTTTATCTACAAAGAGGTGGAGAGGGGAGGTGTTTACTTTGTATTTTTCTTAGACGTTCCAGAGTCCAAAGCATAATTCCATGTACTTAATTTCAAAGAAATAGAAGGCTTGTTTAACTGGCTATTCCAAGAGACAACGATCTCTTGGAATAGCATTATCTCTGTCCTAACCATTCTGCTCAGTCTACGCAGTCACAAGGCATTGGAAAAGAAATCATTGATAAAAGTATGATTTCCAAGACGTACTCCTATGTACATATGTCTTAATGCACTAATAAATGGTATTTGTAATGTATAATATTTGAATGACCTATATTTTGTAAAATTGTATTCTCATTTTCAGTTGTAGTTGCAACTATGTAATGAATGTATATATCAAATATGTATACATATAAAATTCAGCAATATATTCAGTGTTGTTTTAATAGTATCACTCATTTTAGATAGCGATTTCATTTTAACTTCAGTGTTTATGCACAAATACACTAAGTGTAGACAATTATATGTCACTAGTACTCTCTAATTTTATTTTAATCTGTCTTTTTCTGTGCTCTGCCTCTCAGAGTCAATAACTCTTTCCTTCCACATCATGTGCCCTGTCAACTTTCTTGGGTCTGAGTAATGTTAAATGAAATCCTATTTATCATCACATGCTTGGTTTTATATAACCTTGTTGATACAAGGATTATTAGACTTTATTTTGCATGTACAAAATAAGAAAACATTCCTTTGAATGACTACTCATGGAAATCAGCATTGCACCTAGTTATGGATTATTAGACTTTATTTTGCATGTACAAAATAAGAAAACATTCCTTTGAATGACTACTCATGGAAATCAGCATTGCACCTAGTTATCTTTTATTCTTTCATTTTTTTTAACTAAAATCTCTAAAGCTGGTGGTACTATTTCCTCATTTCTGCTATAACTGATAGATTTTAATTTTTAGAGTAACATTTCTAGACTGTGAATGTACAAAGGATAAATTTTATAAAAATAACCAAAATTGTGTTCAGGGGTGTTAGCAAACAACCATTACAGCCTTCAGCAATTGAAATGGATACTGGTTCTGGTGCCGGCTGGCATGACAGAATTGGTTGCATCTATGCAATTTTAAAATTACAGTCATGGTTAAAATGTAAAAAAGTCAGCCAAACAATAAATTTTTTGAAGTACAATGTTAAATAATCTCTTTAGTAATGTATTTTCCCTAAATTGTTTCCATTTTACTTTCCTTTTATTGAATCATATGCACATTCTAAGTTACCAAGATTCATCAAGCAAGGCAAAATTATCCTTTCCATTTAAAAATCTTCAACATTAGTCCTATTTAGCAGTATGAAAAATAGAAGAAAAGGCTCCTACTGGGAGCTTTGATACACAAAATCTTGCTAAAAATCTCAATTATGTCATGAAATATCAAGGAAATTCCAAATGCTTCTGGTCAGCAAATAGGAATTTAAAAAGATATTTGAGTAAAAGAAAAATCTTCAATTACATAAAGCTGATAAGCACAAGCATTCTTTACGCTGTTCCTCAGGATTCTTAGATTTTCTATTTTTTAAGAGTTTTATCTTTCATGCAAATATTCCTAAGTCTTTGCTTTCATATTACATATAAGACAGAAATAAGAAGATGCACTTTAATCAAGAAGAACTTTAATTTCTTTTTAGAAAAACGAGATTTTTCATATTTTGTATCTTTCAGTGTTGAAGTTTCTGATATTTATTTTAATTAATTCTTGATATTATATAATTTTATGTCATTTTGAGATGATCTATTCTCATTTTAGAGGACACTCTATTCTTTTTAATTGTATGTTTTGTCTTTATTTTTTCACTGGAAAGGTGACTATTTTTAATTTTTTTACATGTTTTTAGAAAAACAGAGATGTGGTCTTACTATGTTGCCCAGGCCAGTCTTGAACTCCTGTGCTCAAGTGATCCTCCTGCCTCAGCCTCCCAAAGTGGGGTTACAGGCATGAGCAACCACACCCGGCCAAGTTTTTTCATTTTAATAATTGTTAACATTGGTCTTGTATCCAATAATGAACTGTTACACTAGAGAACTATGAAATCCAAATCCAGATTATGTAACATATGTCCAAAATATGGTAATAATTGTTTTACAAGCATTGATATAGTACCTTACATTTTATCTACCACACAGATCACTTCTCTCGGCTCCTCTTCCTTTTCCCACCTTTAAAATGGCAGCTTTCCCTAGGCTTCCTTGACTAGTTCCATCATCCTACACATAGTCTCTCCCTTATACTGTCATGGTCTGCTCTCACAGATGGATAGTACCATGACCATGGCTTCCATCCTTCTGCTGACCCATGTGCTCCTTCCTGTGAATCCACATAAACCACTGATTCCTTCTTCTGCATTGTACAACTTCTATGAATGGTGTTTGTCCTGCTATTTTTGGTAACTCCAACAGGATAAAGCAGACTTC
The DNA here is from genome assembly GCF_000001405.40 of Homo sapiens. Classification (NCBI taxonomy): domain Eukaryota; kingdom Metazoa; phylum Chordata; class Mammalia; order Primates; family Hominidae; genus Homo; species Homo sapiens. The sequence goes on along the minus strand of NC_000004.12, from coordinate 44,150,922 downwards.
CTGCATTTAGAAATTTTGATTAAAAATTGTATAAGTCTTTATACCTAAGTATTCCTCCAAACTTCTCCCCTAGGCTCTCATATCACCTTTCAAATAAAGTTCTCCTAGTTTTCTATTTTAATGGAGGCACAAGGGGAGTTTGGTTTCCATAGCTCAATATTCTGCCAAAGGAAGTGTTCTTGATCTCTCCTCCTTGACAGTATCCCAAGTGTTTACGAGTGATTCTCTTCAACAATTCATCACATACTTTTGCTTTAGGGAAAAGAATGGAAAGAGAATAGTCTAACTTCATGATGCTCTATTTCTCCAAGACCTAAACATCTCCATTGCAGTTCTATTTTTAGGTTAACCAAATGAGTCAGGTGAAGAGGAAGTGTTTGTCCACTTCCAGTGCTTCCCAGAAAAGCTTTCAGTGCTTAGACTGTGGGCATATTTAGAGCCTTTTATCATCACATTTGGTCACGTCCCTGAAATTTCGGTAGTAAGGAAAAATTCCACATAACTCCTCTTACAAACAGAATAATCATCTTCCAGGCATGTTCATAATTCTCAATGTTACAAGCACATGACTTATCATAACTTTCTCAATTTAGGCAAAGTGCCATGGCTATATTTCCCTAGAGGTGTGTTTAGATACTATTTATAGTCCAATATGAATAATTCCTGGGCCTCTTTTGGTGGCTTCTACTGCTTTTAATCTAGCATGGTCACAGTCATTACAGTGTTTAAGACTAAGGTGTTATTCAGAGAGATTGTGGACACAGGCTTAGCCTTCCTTCCTGCAAATTCCATTCTTTTGACCTCATCGGATTTCTACTGGCCACAATATACCTAGTACTGACATTTTATAACTGTGCGCATTCATAAGAAAAGGATTTATTTCCCTAATTCAGAAGTCTCTGGATATAAACCTTTTAATCTTGAAAAGAGTTTAATTCTTCATTACCTCACAGGCACTGATTTCCATCTATCCCTCCTTCCCTGTCTCCCTCCCTCTCTTCCTTCCTCTTTTATACAACTAGCTTACTGGTTTTGCAGAAAAGTTGGTACCTGAGAGGTAAGGGGCTAGCCTATGTTTTTTTTGTTTTGTTATTACACGGTTCATGGAGCAGAGAAAAGAGAAGTCAAAAAATAAAAGAATTTTAGAAGCTCCTGTCCCAAGGTGCTTAACTGAATGTGTATTCTAAAATGAAGCCTAGAAATAAATATTTCTGGTAAATGTATCTTTTGCTCTGATTAGCAGTGGTTGGGAGTTCCCTTGATGAAGTCTTCAAATTGTATTCTCTGTTCTGAACATTTTACAGACTTTACTAATGATGCTATGCTACTCCTGCTTATTAGAATTTTACATTTTGAGGCAATGAAACATAAAACCCAGAATAAAAATCATCACTTAAGGGCCAAGAGAGAGACACAGGGGAAATAATAAAGCATTACAATGAGACAAGAGCAATGAAAACTATGACATCATTTTATATTATGGGATGAAAAGCCGGAACACGTCAGTGAAAGGGAAAATCAGTAGAATGTAGAACACACTGGAGAAAAAGAAAGCTGTTGAGAAAAGTAATTCAAAGAAGGAAGTGCCATAGGAAAAACAAAGAAAAAAAGAGGGAAATTCAAAAGAAGGTAATTTAAGAAAGAAAACATGAAAAAAACGGCACAGAGGGAAAGAAGAATAAGCAGAAGAAAAGGTAGGAAAAAAAGATAAAAAATAAGGAGACAAGAAAAACAGATGAAATATTAAATTAATCAACAAATTGTAGATTTTAATGAGATACACATAGAAACAATAATATCATATCCAATAGTTTTTTATTTGGATTTATATCAAAAGTAAGTAATTCAGTGCACTTGTAGGCATTTCACATGGGCAAGATAAACAAAACGCAAACTATTCAAAGTATAGTTTTCATGAAGAAAATAATTTTGTTTTCATCATTCCTGGTTCTCACAGTATTTTACTTGTATGTATTTGTATGTGTATTTATAGACTCAAAGCTACTTCCACTTGTAATGTTCAGCTGTACCTTTATTTTTGACAGAAATGATTACTAAATTGGAATTTTCTAAGAAAGTTAACATAGAAGAAGGCAGTGAGTTTAATATGCATTTTAATACTACCAATTTGAGATTTTCAAAGACAGAACTGCTGGATTTTAAGTGATTAATAAAATTTTCCCAGTAGAGTGAAACCTCTGCTAGTAAATTAAAATTTGTTTTTATCAGGGAATAGCTGTCTGTAACCTCTATGATATTAACAACCAGAGACAAAAGGAAATCATGAGACTGAATAGCCCACAGGAGAAAGAAAAATCATTTATTTCAGTGGAGGTAGCTCTGATCCAGAGTTCAAATTATTTTACAAATGCAATATAAGACATCTGTATAATGACAGAAACAAAGCAATTTTCAAATGGTCAGAGAAAGTGTTGCAGAGGTTTTATGATTAGTTAATAGAGTACATTTAAAGGGTTTTGTTGTTATGTATTTAACACTTGCTAATGACTTAGGATCAATGTGATTAATGAGCCATTTTCTCTGCAAATTTGCTTTCTGTGCTACAGAAAGAAATAACAAGCCTCAGCGGTAAAAAAATAATTAAGGCACAAACAATGACTGTACAAAGAATAAAAGCAAAATCTGTCAAAATAGCTCTAGAGTAAGTCCAAAAGGAGCCCAGTTCTCTTTCTGGATGTTGCCTCTGACAAGGAACGGGAGAACAGCTTTGCCCACACTCACTAGAGATTTTAATTTATTTTAACTGAATGACTTCCAAGATCACTGATTTGTAAAACGTGCCTTAAGCTGAGCCCCTAGGAGCACTTCCAAAGAACAACATATCATTTTCCTCTTTGCTAAATCTCTTTATTTATTGTTGAATTCACACAATGCACCCATCCCTCTGGCCTCAGGACAGACTTTTTTTAAAGCCACTAAAAAGAATCCAAGTTATTTTATCTAAGCACTGGAAAGTGTTAAGAAAGGTAAATATAACACAGAAACACAGACGTATGTATTCTCCAGGAAAAACAGTGCTTGTAAAACCAGAAAGACTCCTCCTGCTGCTAGTGCAGATGATGCATGGGAAATGGCATGTTTCTACCATCAGAGTTGGTGACCAAAAGGGATGCAAATTTGAATTTTGCCTCCCAGACATCTGGGTCCTCAATGAATTAGTAAGTGTGGGTTGAGATGAGGAAGGATGCTTGCCCAAATCTTCCTCTCTCTGCAACAAGAACCAACTGTTACAACCACATGGAGCTGTGTGTTCCCATTAGGCTAGTGGGGATGGCTGTGGGTTGGAAGAAAGCACCATGAAAACAGAGATAGGGTTTTCAGTTTTCCTCTTCCATTTTAATCCCTTGGATATTTTCAGAGAAGTCATTTGTGTCTGCTGGTTCAATATAGATTGTTTCACTGAGCCCTGCACTAAGTTTGCCAGTTTTTTCCTGTCTCTAGATGCGTAATTGACTCAACAGACCTTTTTAAAATTTTATCCATGCCAAAAAATAATGAATAAAGCAAATTACTAGTATGAGTAAATCATAATATTCATTCATGAGCACTTGAACAATGAGGAGCTCCCAGGCCAAGGAAAGCAGCTTAGGAAAGCAGTCCAGTATGTTTCCCTGTTATCTCACTGCCTCCCTGGTGACCACTTGAAGGTTGGCTTAAATACTAGATGGAAGGGAGTCCAGAGGAAGAGAAGGAAGGGAACTAGTCAATCTGTCTTTGGCACTGGTTCTCAAATCAGGGCCCAGATGCAGCATATCTATGCTTTGTTTTATGGGCTAGATTGTATCCACGAAGTCCTAACCCCCCCATACCTCAGAAGGTGACCGTATTTGAAGATAAGGCCTTTAGAAAGGTAATTATGTTAAATGAAGGTCATTAGAGTGGCCCTAATCAAATATGACTGGTGTTCTTGTAAGAAGAGGAAATTAGGACAGAGGCAGAGACAGAGGGAAGAACCTGTGAAGGCACAGGGAGAAGATAGCTGTCTGCAAGCTAAGGAGAGAGGCCGTACAAGAAACAACCCTGCAGACACCTTCATTTTGGACTTCCAGCCTACAGAACTGTGAGAAAATAAATATCTGTTGTTTAAACCACATAGTCTGTGGTACTTTGTTATGGTAGCCCTGGCAAACAAACACATCTTGTAATGCCTAACTCCACATGGCAATTACACATCTGTCAGTTCTTGCTCATTGGCAAGAAATTATGCTTAACACATTCCCAGCTCTTACATCATTAGGATGAATTTGTATTCATTGGGACTCTGAGTGGGGAAATATTTGTAAAAGAGCTAAATGTGCCACTGAGTGAGCTAAGAAAAACAAACTTTGCAGGAAGACAAAACTTTGATATAGGAATATAGGAATACATAACTTGGGGTTTAGATATGACCCCAAATTTTGCTATCTGTGGTTTAGATCCATAAATGGAGAAAGCAGACTAGGTTTTAGCAATGCCAAAATGAAGCAAGGACAAGTTGAGTGATTAGCAAGTGGGAAGCCATGCATAGTTTACCTGAATTTGCAGCAAATTCATGAGGTTTATTCTTCCTGACAATTACATTCTATTCTGAGTAAGACCAACAAAATAATTAAGGTTAGGAAGAAGTTTAGTGCCCCCGCTTTTCTTCTTTCTTTTTTTTTTTTTTTTTTTTTTTGTTACTGTTGACTGACTCCCCCAGGAAAATGTTTCACTTTGCCAGGTTTTGTCTTTGGTAAAGTCTATTTTCTTCTTTCCTCTACACATGCTCATGCTTGTTAGTTGTTTTGGTGGCTCTCTGTCCTAAAACTATCTGGGAGTGACTCATGATATGAATCACTAAAGAGGAAGAACAAGTTGTGAGTGTTTCCTCCTGCATCCTCCTTTATCCTGCCACCTCCAGAAAATTCTGAGTTTAGGAACTTGCTCTAGGGACATCCAGCATAGCACTTACTCTATGACTTTGTGCTGAAAAATTTGATATGCATTCTTATGTTTTGTCCCATAACTTGGATAAATGGGCAGATTTTGAACTCAGACACAAGTAGGTTTTTATTTAGGTTTTTGCTTCTTTCCACCTATGTGACTTTAAGCACATTATAACCTTTCTGGGTCTCAGTTTCCTCATTTCTAACACACACTTGATGGTGTTTCTCTGAGAGTTAAATAAGATGATATATAAAAAATGCTTAGTATCCCTAATACTCTTGGCACATAGGAAGGTAGGCAAAACTCAAAAGATATAAGTTGCTATAATGCATATGACTAGGTTATAATAAGGATGCGTTATTATCCCTATTTTATAGATATAAATATTGAAACTCAGAAGAGTTACAAAATTTATCCAAGGTCACACAACTGGTAGGTTGGAATTTTCATTTAAGTCTGAAGTCTTAACCACTTTGTTTTCTTGCCTCCTAACTGATGGTATATTGAACATCAGCTCTGTCCTAAGGATGATGTTACCTCTGAAATTCAGAATAAGTGATATGATCTTCTGAACTAAAGGAACACATATCTTATACCCTATCCCCCTAAATAATTTGGAGACTGATACTAAGGTGTATATTACACTTTCATTCTAACCGTAAATGAGAATAACAATTTGTTGGGGATGTGGGGAAGTGTGTGAGTTTCCCTCTCAACTTTTATTTTAGGTTCAGGGGTACATGTTTAGGTTTTTCACATGGGTAAATTGCGTGTTGCTAAAGATTGGTGTATAAATGATCCTTTCACCCAGGTAGTAAGCATAGTACCTAATCTGTAGTTTTTTAACCCGTGCCCCTCTGCCACTCTCCCAAGGATAATAATTTTTAAAGAAGAATATAAGACTGTATTTCATTTTGTATTACTTACTTATTTTTGCTTTTATGAGAGGATATGCCCTAAGTTAGCATGTGAACTGATTCTAGGCTAAGCACTATATTAAATAATACTGGGTCTCCTTTTAAACTTTCAGAGTTCCATAGCCATATTTCTTTTATTTTACAAGATGTCTTAATTTCTTTTTTAAAAATTAATCCAACGTATTTATGATTTGCTATGTGCTTGTTAATTTCATCATTCAGAAAAATTTGGAAGAACCTCCATTCCTTCTTTCTTTTTAAATTTTTTATTTCCATAGGTTTTTGGGGAACATATGATATTTGATTACATGAATAAGTTCTTTAGTGGTGATTTGTGAAATTTGGTGCACCCATCACCCGAGCAGTATACACTGAACCAATGTGTAAATCTTTTATCCTTCACCCTGCTCTCACCCTTTCCCCCGAGTCCCCAAGTCTTAATCTTCTTGAGGTCTTCAAGGTTGCATTTGGTGGTATGAGCCAATAGTGTGAATAAATATTATATACTGTATCTAGAAAAGCCAGATAGCTATCTGAAAAGAATTAGCAAAAAAGAGAAGCTTTTCATTATTCTAGCATTTTCAAAATTCTAGCAACATTGTAAGAAATGAATTAAAGGAAGGCAACTGAGAGTAAAAACTTTAAACCTGCTATTAACTCACCCCAAAAGAAATTGCAGTGGTGTCAGCACAGTGAACAATGAAATATAATGCCATTGCTTCACTCTAACCGTACACTGAGTTAAGAGAAGCTCTGACACAAAGTTATAAAAACAGATGTTTTATTTTGTTTTTTTTTCTTGAATGAATGATATTTGTTTAAAAAAAGCATCACTTTGTATGACATCGTATTACTCTTGTAATCTGAAATTTAAGGAAAATTATTTGGAGTAGAATAATCCATCTGGTGCCAACTTAATACTATACTATGAAAGTCTTATTTAGTAACAAGCTTGGGGTCATATGCATAGTACAATGTCAAGTCAAGACTGAACAAGATTTTAGATAATTTAGCAAATAAGAAAAACAACTTTTCTTCTGTTCTTCTTATATCAATGAAACAGTTGTTTTAATGACATAAGAAAAAAATCAGAGAAGTGTTGGGTCTTATATAATCTAGGCACTTTGAATCTTTGTGACTATTATTGTACCATTTTCTTTCTCATTTAAGAAAGCATTTGAAAATACAAGTATATGAGGGTGACATTTTAAAATAAAGATGATTTTGAAGCTCTTCCAATTTAAATGACAAAGCAGAGGAAAAATCCTGTATTTAATTACTAGTAACAATTAGCATACAACTCTCCATCATAGATTGCACCTCTTCAGTATATCAAAATCCAGTGAGAGAGAACCACTGGACAGTAAGAAGTATTTGTACACATAATTTGTACACATCCGTTTGATAGGAAACAATGCAGGTACCAATGTGGGATGATCGTTGTTCCCAATGGTACTGAGGAGAGATTTTAATGAGGAACTAATATTCCACTTCGGTTCTGAAAGAAGAAAAAATACATACTAATTAGATATGGGGGACACCAGATAAGACGGGATCTCAACAGATTTTTCAGGGAAAGAAAGCAAAGACATTGAGAGACATAAAGTAGCATGAAGCACGTGGGAATGTCTAAATAGTTCAGAATGCCAGATACACTTACAGGGATGAGTAGGAAAATACTATAGGGTATAAAACTGAGCTGGATCATTATAATTGGGAGACAGTTCTCCACTGGTCTCTTGTACTTCTGCACATCTTGCCAAAGCCCTGACAGGTTTTGCTGTAGACTATCTTTTCATAGATGTTATAAAATATATTTAAAGCAGTGATAAAGTTTGTTTGGTGCACAGTATAATAGATAATACCTCTTTCCAGGGCAAAGGTCTGGTAGATTTTCTTGTGGTCTACTATGAAAGGTCGGATTTCTCAAATCTTGAAGTTTCTACAAGCCCAGTGCATGTGCAACACACACATGGGGCCCATCTCCATATTGTTTAGATGGGACATGGGAAGCAAAGATAATTAGTACAAACATGAAGCTTATACTGTTTGCTGTGCCATAAGTATAAAATTATTTGTCTCTGACCCAGAAGTCTCATGTCTTCTGCCAGCATCCATGAAAATATAGCAAGCTAATGTATTAGCTTGTGAGGCCACTTCCTATCTTGATAATTATATGAGCTTCAATTTATTCATCCTTTTAACAATTTTTTTTTTTGAGACAGAGTCTCGCACTGTCACCCAGGCTGGAGTGCGATGGCATGATCTCAGCTCACTGCTACCTCAACCTCCCGAGTTCATGCAATTCTCCTGCCTCCCAAGTAGCTGAGATTACAGGTGCACACCACCACACCCATCTAATTTTTTTGTAGTTTTAGTAGAGACAGGGCTTCACTATGTTGGCCAGACTGTTCTCGAACACCTGACCTCATAATCCACCCACCTCAGCCTCCCAAAGTGCTGGGATTACAGGAGGGAGCGACCGCACCCAGCTAACAAATATTTTTAAATTGTCCTAATCATTTAAGCTTTGGGTATAGAAGATTTAATTTTAAAAAAGAAAAATATCCTCACTCTTATGGAAATTATACTCTAGTGGCATGAGATGAGAGAAGGTCAGAGGAGACACTTCAATAAGTAAGATATCTGGTGTGTTAGATATTGATTAGTGTTTTGAAGTAAAGACAATGGGTAGAGAGTGTCATCTTTGTCCACTTGGACTGCTATGCGGAATGCTGTAGACTCGTGGCTTTGAACAACAAAAATTTATTTCTCATAGTTCTGGAGACTGGAAGCCCAAGAACAAATCACCAACAAACTCAGTATCTGGTGAGATCCTGCTTTCTGGTGCATAGATAGCCATCTTCACAATGCATCCTCACCTGGTAGAAGAGGAGAGGGAGCTCTGTTGGGCCTCTTTTATAGGAGCACTAACCGTGTTCATTAGGGCTGCACATTCATGACTTAATTACCTCCCAAAGACTCCACCTCCTAAGACCACCACACTGGGGATTAGGATTCAACATATTAATTTGGGGGAAACATAATCATTCAGTGTGTATCAAGTGTCAAGGTCATGGCAGAGGAACAGTGGCTTGCAATTTTAAATTGGATCTTTAGAAAAGCCCAAAACAAGAAGTGGATTTTTGAATAAAGACTTTTAAAAGTTAAGAAAAACAAGTGAAAACCATTTAAAAGTTCTTTTATGAAACTAAATATATTCTTACTATACAATCCAGAAATTATGCTCCTTGTTATTTATCCAAACAAATGAGAACTCACTCATGTCCATACAAAAGCCTGCAAACAAATTGTATAGCAATTGTATTTATAATTAGCAAAACATAGAAGCAACCAAGATGTTCTTCAATAGATGAATAAATAAACAAGCTGCAGTACATTCATGCAATGAATTATTAAGGAACTAAAAAAATGAGTTATCAAGCCATGAAAAGACATGAATGAACTTTAAATGCATATTGGTAAGTGAAAAGTCATTCTGATAAGGCTGCATACCATATTTTTCCAACTATCTGACATTCTGGAAAAGGAAACCTAGGGAGATAATAAAAAGGTCAGTGGTTGCCAGGGCTTTTGGAGAAGGTTGGGAGAAATAAGTAAGTGGAATTCAGGAATTTTTAGGGAAATTAAACTATTCTGTATAACACCATAATGGCAAATACATGTCATTATACATTTTTCAAAGCCTATAGAGTTTACAACACAAAGAGTGGGCCCAAGTGTAAATATATAAACTATGGACATTAGTTGATATTATATCAATATTGATTCATACATTGTATCAAATGAACTGCATTAATGAAAAATGTTAATAATAGGAGAATGGGATTGGAAGGGTTGAGGAACTGTATGAGAACTCTATATACATTCTACTTCATTTTTATGTAAACTGAAAACTCCTCTAAAATGTGAAGTTTATTAAAAATAATTTTTAAAGGTGAAGGCAAAATCAATTTGGAGAATCAGTTCAATGGAATTCTAGCCAAAGGGAAGAACAAATGCAAAGACCCTGAAGCAGAACCTGCCAACATGTCAGGAGTGAGGTGTGGCTTTGGTCTCAATTCTTGTGTCCCCTCAAAATGTATATGTTGAAACCTAATCCCCAGTGTGACAATATGAAGAGGTGGGGCTTTTGGGAGGTAACTAGGTAATGAGAGATTAATAATTTTATAAGAGAAACCCAAGAGAGCTCGCTAGCCCCTTCCACTATGTGAGGATGCAGAGAGAAGTAACTCACTAAGAGGAAAAGGCCCTCAAGCAGACGCTACATGTGTTAAGTGCCTAGATTTGGGACATTCTAACCCCCAGAACTGTATGAAATAAATTTCTGTTATTTATAAATTACTCAGTTTATGGTATTTTTGTTATATGCAGCCCAAGAAGACTAAGGTGAGGATCATGAAAGGTTTTTTAGCAGAAGAGTGACATAATTTGGCTTAAATTTTAAGTGAATCATTTTGTCTTCAGTGCTGAGTGTATTGTGCAGTAGGAGCTGGTAGAAAGCAGGTAGGCTATTTAAAATAATTCTGGAGAGAAATAATGGTGACTTGAACATTTGGACCAAAATCTTTGGCCTGAGTAACTAGAAAGATAGAGTAAAACTTTACAGAGATAGAAGAAAATATGAAAATTAAACATTGGAAGATAAAAGGAGAAATTCTTTTTTGATTGTGCTGCTGAACTTGAGACACCTAATAGACATCAGCATCAACGTATTGATTAGGCACTTGTATATTCAATTCTAGGTAGCAGTCTGGCAAGAGTTATAAATTTAGTAGCTGTCCAGTGTAGTCAGTAAGGACCTAAGAATAGAAAAAAAATAATGTAGATAAGAAAGAGATTTAGGAACTGAATCCTAGGGTGCATCAACATTTTGGGGTTAGGTAAAAGAGAAGAAAGCTACAAAAGGAACTCCAAAGGAGGAGCTAATGAGATGGAGAACAATCGTGTGTCCCAGAAACCAAATAAAGAAATTATTTTAAAGAAGATAAATAATTGAAAAGCTATTGGAAATGCTGCTGATTTTCAATGATGAACCCATCAATCCTTTCCTTGACCCATGGAATTTTCAGTGATGGGTCAAGGAAAGGATTGAGTATAAGTTATTGGTTTTAGTTATGTGAAAATAATCAATGATATTGAAAATAATTTTACAGGTGTGTTGGAAAGAAATCTTGATTGTAGAGGACTCAAGAAGGAATTGGAGTTTAAGAAGTAAAGATAGCCCAAATACATAACATTACAAAAATGTTTTGCTACCATATGACATGTAGAAATGGGATAGCAGCCATAGTGTAATATGGAAACAACAGAGGTTTCTGTTTTTGATTTTTAGATGGAAGAAGAGAAAGATGGCTAAAGTGAAGTTGTTTAGTAGGTTTGAGGTTACTGTGAGAAAGTGGATGGGTTAGTCTTCACTATGGTCTTTTATCTGTAATAACAGGAAGGAATACAGACTGTATAGTGACAAGTATAGCTAGATAGGAAAATGTCAAAGTGCGAACTTGTGAAAGTTATCTTCTGATTGCTTTTATTTTTTCAGTGAAACAGGAAGCAGTTATCATATCAGAGTAAGGATGAAGTGATAGTGGTTGGAAGTTTAAAGAGAAGAAAGCAAGCAGGAAAATGCTTGTCTAGGAGAGTAGGGATGTAAATAAGTGAGTAAATGTAGAATGGTGCGGGAGGCCATTGAGGACTCACTTGAAATTTGTGGCCAGAAGCAGAAGTAAAATCAGTTAGCATGGATCATTTTTTCAATAATATCCAACTAATTGGGTATAGGAATAGAGAATGTAAAGAACTGAATTTAACTAGGGTTGTAATTTTTTCAGATAACTTGGAGAAATGAAAGAAGGGATAAATATTGGATAAATATACAGGGCACAGACTATAGGAATGGACCATATATTAAACAGTAAACCAGAAGTGAGCACATTTCAGGGGTGAGGGTCAGACAGAAGATATTACAGTCAATTACTTTTAGGTCCTGTTGAAGTTGAACATTTAAGAGTTGATGTATGAGAGAAAGAACTGGAGAGAAAGAAATGACTATGTAAAGTGGCATACTTTAAGTTGAGATCTGGGGAGACTTCCAGTCTTTGGTATTGGCAAAGTCTAAGACAAGCTATGGGGGTAACTGTCTGAGGTGGGGTGGAGGTCAAAGCATTAAAAAGAAGAGGTCAAAGAACTGTTGGGGGTGTTCTGATCTGGCACTTAAAGAGCTTGGAAGTCACCATTATGCCTTACAACAAGTAAAAGGCTGAACAAACTGAAATCCACAACTTTTCTTTGATCTCTCAGAAACTTGAAGTCACAAGGAAAACTGTTGCCTCTCTCACCCAAATTGTTGAGACAGAAAGGCAGATAAAGATAACCAAGTTTACCAGACGGGAGACCCACTAGCAGAAACCTTTGTGAGAACCAGCAGTGGGGCAGGAAAATCTGAACTACAATTGATGAATTGTTGGACGCTCAGTGTGAACAAGTCTGGAGTTAAAAACTCCAGTCTTAGGGTATAGGCTTACATTTTTGTGCGTTTTCCCTCCAGTAGCTTCCATCAGGGAAAGGAAAAAAGTAGCCAGAGCATTCTGTTCTCCAGCAGGCCTGCCCTCAGGAAAATCTATTTTACCACCTACACTATTGGGGTTTTATCAGAAGCTAACTGACCAGGGGGACGGGAATTACCCAATTCCAGCCTCCTCTAGCCATCTGGTCTTGCCTAAGAGGGGAAAAATCTGAGAAGCACTTGTGAGGATCACAACCTAGAGACACTGGCTCACTAAGAGGCTGAGACCTAATCATAGGATAATAGAATGTTTCACCTCAACCCATACTTTATCACTACATTATTTTTTAAATTATATTTTAAGTTCTGGAGTACATGTGCAGAATGTGCATGTTTGTTACATAGTTATACATGTGCCATGGTGGTTTGCTGCACCCATCAACCCGTCATCTACATTAGGTATTTCTCCTAATGTTATCCCTCCCCAACCCCCACCCCCCGACAGGTTTGGTGTGTGATACCCCCCTGCCCCTGTGTCCATGTGTTCTCATTGTTCAGCTCCCACTTATGAGTGAGAACATGTGGTGTTCAGATTTCTGTTCTTGTGTTAGTTTGCTGAGAATGATGGTTTCCAGCTTCATCTATGCCCCTGCAAAGGACAGGAACTCATTCTTTTTTATGACTGCATAGTATTCCATGGTGTATATGTGCTACGTTTTCTTTATCCAGTCTATTATTGATGGACATTTGGGTTGGTTCCAAGTCTTTGCTATTGTGAACAGTGCTGCAATTAACATAGGTGTGCATGTATCACTACATTATTAAAGGCCTACTTACTGCAGTCTCTTTTACTGGTACATCATGGCTGGCCTTCCACAAAAAGTTACAAGGTATATTAAGAGGCAAAATGCACAATTTGAAGAGAAGGAGCAAGTATCAGAAGCAGAGTCAGATATGGCAGACCATGAACTTAAAACAACTATGATTAATATGCTGAGGGCTTTAATGGATAAGATAACATGCAAGAACAGATGGGCAGCGCAAGCCAGTAGATGGAAATTCTAAGAAAGGATGAAGAAAAAATGCTAGAGCTCAGAAACACAAACAGGAATAAAGAATGACTTTGATGGCTCATTAGTAGATCGAGGAAAGAATCTCTCAGCTTGAGGATATGAAGATAGAGATCCCCCAAACTGAAAAGCAAAGAAAAAAAAAAAGACTGGAAAAAAAGAAACACTATCCAAGAACTGCGGGAGAAGTACAAATGATGTAACATGAATAATGTGATACGAGAAAGGGAATAAAGAGAGAGAGAGAATGGACGAGAATAAATGATTGAAGCAATAATGACTGAGTTTCCTAAAATATAAATTTTAGACACTGAACCACAAACCTGGAAACCACAGAGAATAACAAGCAAGAGAATGCCAAAAACAAAACAAAAATAAAACAAACAAACAAAACTACACCTAAGCATATAATGTACTCAAACTGTAGGAAATCTAAGACAAAGATAAAAATCCTGAGAAAATCCACAGGGAAAAATCACTGTACCAATAAAAAAGTAAGAATTACCAGACTTCTCTTCAGAAACCATGCAAACAAGAAGAGAGTGAAGTAAAATATTTAAAGGATTGAGAAAAAAAACTACCAATGTAGAATTCTGTGTCTTGTGAAATTATCCTTCAAAAGTGAAGGTAAAATAAAGACTTTCTTGGACAATCAAAAATTGAAGAATTTTGTTGCCAGTAGACCTGCTTTGCAAGAAATATTAGAAGTAGTTCTTTAGAGAAAAAAAAATAATATATGTCAGCAACTCAGCTCTACATAAAGAAAGAGCATTAGAGAAGAAATCAGTGAAGATAAAATTAACGCTTTTTTCTTATTTTTAATTGATCTAACAGATAACAGTTTGTTTAACAATTTTGAACTGCTTTGTTCAAATACAATGGTTCAACAGCATAGTTGTTCAAGATAATGGTTTATTCAATACAACATATTTAAGGAATATAGCATATATATAAATGAAATGAATTATAAAAATGATACAAAAGGAGAAAGAGAGAGATTAGGAATATTTTGTTATTATAAGGTGCATTAGTCCATTTTTACGCTGCTGATAAAGACATGCCCAAGACTGCACAATTTACCAAAGAAAGAGGTTTATTGGGCTTATAGTTCCACATGGTGGGGGAGGCCTCACAATTATGGCAGAAAGCAAGAAGGAGCAAGTCACATCTTATGTGAATGGCAGCAGGCAAAAAGAGAGCTTGTGCGGAGAAACTCCCGTTTTTAAAACCATCAGATCTCATGAGACCCATTTACTGTCACAAGAACAGCACGGAAAAGAACTACCCCCAAGATTCAATCATCTCCCACTGGGTCCCTCCCACAACATATGGGAATTATGGGAGCTACAAGATGAGATTTGGGTGGGGACATAGAGCCAAGCTATATAATAAGGTATATGCACTACCTGTGAATAGTGTTATTTAGAAATAGATTTGAATTAATTGTGCATGTATATAACAAATTCTAGGGCAATCACTAAAAAGAGGATAGAATAGATGTATAGTTGATACACTAAGAACTAATGAGCCTAGATACCAAAAATGTCATTTACATGAAAGTTGCAAATATCAAGAGCAAGGATAGACATTATGCTGAGAAAATGCCTGCAACTAAAAGTTTAAATATTCAACAAATGAGAGAAAATCTTAAGGATCTTTTAAAATCTGTAAGAGCTCCAAAAAAGATAGTTGGTAGTAACCTAATGACATGTGATTCAAATATGGGGAATTTTAGGAAGGCGGAAGAGAACATGATCTGGAAGCACCTTGTAAAGAAGCATGTGTTTTGTCTTGTGAGCGATACAGAGCAATTGAGTATATGATAGAGTATATATATATATGTTTGTATGTGCATACATTCCTTAATCTGATAATGTATACATTTATATAGTTTTTTCATTACGCTTGAACATTTGGCATATGTATATTCACAACTTTTATAAATAGAAATTATTTTTCTCTTAGAACAGATAGTGCCTAAGAAGATCACTCTGACAACACAGTGGGAATTATGTCGGTGTAGTCTATTGGGAGAGTTCCATCAGGAAGAATTGGGAAAGGGTGAAGGGCAAGAAAAGAGGGAATGGCTATTAGAGAGGCAAAGGATATACACATTATACTATAAATATAATAGCCAAAGGATCACTCAATCTATCATCCACCTATATATTTATCTATCTACATATGTATGTGTGTATATATATGAGGTGTTGTGTGTGTGTGAATGTGTGCATATATATATATACCACCTCTCAGAGAGAGAGAGAGAGAATCCTAAATAATTGTCAGTTTCTGACTAATGTGACTGGATAGATGATCATCAAAATAAGGAACAGTGGAAAGACAGATTCTGGAAGAAGGATGAAGGATCAATTTTGAGCACATTGCATTAAGGTTCTTGTGGAACACTGAAGTGAAGGTGAGAAGGAGGAAGAAATCCAGGATGACTTTTGAGTTCATATATTGTCTAACATGGTAGATGGTCATGTCTTATTAACTGAGATCAGGAACATGTAAGAATGACCAAGTTCGAAAGTAAAAATAATTAGCTAATTTAAAACATAGGGAGTCTAGATACCTGTGATGGTTAATTTTCTGACTGTGCCACTGAGTGCTAAGATGGAACATTATTTTTGAGTGTGTTTATGAGAATGTTTCTGGATGAGATTTGCATTTGATCTGTAGACTCGTTAAGGTAAATTGCCCTCTTCAGTGTAGAGGGACATCCTCCAATCCATTAAATGCGTGAATACAAAAAAAAGGCAGAGGAAAAAAGAATTTGCCCATTTTGCTTCCTGACTGCCTATTTGGGCTAGGACATTGATCTACTGCTGCTGCCAAGAACTGGGATTAATACCATGGGCTCGCCTGGCTCTCAGGCATTCAGACTTAAACGGAATTACAGTACTGGCTTTTCTGGGTCTCCGGTAGATAGCAGATCATGGGACCAATGTACTATTCGTTTTGTTTATCTGGAGAACCTTAAGACCAATTTCTCTCTCTCTCATGATAAAAAAAAATGTAGGTAGGTAGTCTAAGTTTAAGAAAAGAATCACTAAACCAACCTGAGTGTACCTTGATAATGGACTGTTCTCCAGCTTTTAATGTTAAATATTAGAGACAAGGAGCAAACTTGCAAATTTTCCTGTTATAACCTAGTATGTGAGACACAGTTTGGTTATTTGGACAGAACTAAACTTTTCTCTATTTCTAATGTTAAGTTACTTTTATCCTCAATCTACAGATGAAGGAACAGACTCAGAGATGCTAAGTAGCCAGCTCAAAAATCAGACAGGTAATAAAAGACAGACACCTATCTTCTGACTAAATCCCATGCTCTTTCTTTGTAATTTACTTCCATGCTAGAGTTTCCAGCTACAGGGATGAGGTGCTGGCGGAAGGGCAGTGCTGAGAGGTGAGAGGATTGAGCAAAAAGGGCTAAAGTATAGGGTATAGTGAAAAATAAATTATTGTAGAAGCTCACAGTGTTCAGGGGCGATGAGGAGGGATTAATTAATTATTTATATAATGTGTTTTCTAGAGAATCTATTAGGAATATTTCTTTATTAAAACTATCAATGTATTTTTTGTGTGTGTTCTAAAGCAGTTAAGGAGAGGTAAAGTTTGTATTTCCAAGATGCATGTATATATGTGTGTGTGTGTGTGTGTGTGTGTGTGTGTGTGTGTATCTATAAATTTTTAAATCAGATAGTGACTAACTTTCTATAGTCTTCTAAGTCTTCTGTTAAGCTCCAAGACTTAGCCTATGTATATTCACAACTTTCATAGAAATTATTTTTTTTGTAACAACATTCAATGTATAACTTTACTTTTACTGTGAGAGACTGGTAGAGTAATAATTCTCTGCTGACTAGAAAACTACTATTTTCATACATACAAAAGCTACTTTTTTATGCAGCCAGAAAGACATGATTTGAAACTCTAAAGTATTGATAAAAGCCTATTTTATAACGCATTATCTCCCTTCTGCCAAAACAACACCTATTCTCAAATCTTAGGGACGAATCTGTTGGAATTTGTAATACATTTTCAACTATAATTACCCTTCTAGAAACATGGCGTATGTCATGCTTTGTGGAATGGCCATATTTTAATAATAGCTGTATCTGAAGTAGTACAGTATTTGTTATGGCAAAGAAAAGTCATTTCTATGTATTGCAGTTGTAAGTATATATACACTAAGCTTTAAAGTTAACAAAAAACCTATATCAATTAAAAAAATTATCTGGCTATGAAATTAAAATAATTGAAATATCTGTATTAATGATATCAGCATCATTTACAAAGTTGTCACTTAGCAATTGTCTGAAGTGACTTGCTTCAAAGTAATTGGAGATATTTGAGGGAAAACAACTAAATCACTTAGAATTTGTTGGCAACCAAAATAGATTATAACTAATTAATTTTAGGGCAAAAGTGTTCATTCATCCATTCACGAATTCATCTATTAACTCATTCTTTCATTTATTCAGCACACATTTGAGTGCCTTTTTTGTACCACACATTTGTACTGTTCAATAATGGTTTTAACCAAGGATAATAGCACTCACCTAATGGGAATGTAGAACTTTGACTTGGAGTCTTACAAACATGTATTGGCTTGGGGCCATGAACACTAAGTGTTTTACAAAGTTAAGAACATTTCACTGGGAGCTTGGTGCAGTGGTTTACCTGTAATACCAGCACTTTGAGAGGCCAAGGGAAAGCAGATCGCTTGAGCCCAGGAATTTGAGACCAGCCTGGGCAACATGACAAAACACCATCTCTACAAAAAATACAAAAATTAGCCAGGCATGTTGGCATGTGCTGTCCCAGCTACTCAGAAGGCTGAGGTGGGAGGATCACCTGAACACAGGGAGGTCAAGGCTACAGTGAGCTGTGATCATCCCACTGCACTCCAGCTTGGGTGACAGACTCAAATAAAAAAAAAAAGAGAGAGAGAGAGAACATTTTACATAAAGAGAAAATTTTCCACTTCAAATTTTAAGTTAATAACACTTACATTGAGAAATGCTGTGTGTACATTAAAGAGAAAAACATAGCCCTTAACTTCAAGGGACAAATAGCCTAGTGGAAAAAACACAGGCACAGACCAAAACGTCTTCGCTTATATGGCAAGTGCTCTTATGGAGAGACTCCTAGGCTGTTACAGAGTCACAGCCCAGCAGAGAGGTAAGAGGGGGCATAAAAGCTTCCTCAGGAAGATAGTCTCTGAACTTAAGTTTTGGAGAGCCATAAGAATTAGCCAGCAGGAGAAGAAGAATAACAAGTACTCCAGACAGAAGAACTGAATAGCAAAGGCAAGGAGGCACATGGAGAATGGTGAGTGTGTTCTGGAAGGTATGTGGTTGCTTGGCTTTTCATAGGATAAGTGCAGAAATGATAGGAGGTAGATCCTGACAACATGAAGGACAGGTCATGAGGTGACTTATGTGTCACAGGAAGCCTTAACATTTTAGTTAAGCAGGTAAGTCGAAGTGGCAAGATTAGTTCTAAATGTTAGACAAGCATCGTTGTGATGGTTAAATTTGGGGCGTGAATATTGAAGATGGTGAGGCCAGATAAGAGGCTGTGGTTCCTGGACTTTCTGTGGTCCCTCCACTCTCCCTTCCTCCAGACCATACCTTTTGTATTCCATCTTTTCTTTGTGGTTTGCAGATGTCTGAGAAGACCACCAGCCCTTCAGGGAAAATGGAAAGAGAAACAAAAAGAAGGAGGTAACAAGAACAAGTAAGAATCTGGAGATGAAGCTCCAGCAGAGTTGGCGGGGCGGGGTTGGGGGGTGTGGGGAATTACAAAAAACAAGAGTCTGGGGCAGTAAACCATGTGAGGAAAGGTGAGACTTTACCTAAAGCAATGGAAGGAAGAAAGAGTGAAGGAAAGCGATTTGTGAAAATACCATAGATTTCCTTGCCTTTTGCTATGTACTGATATGCAAGGAAGCCTGGTGTCAAAGTAATGCTTTTTCAAGGACTTTAAGAAGGTCTATCTTCCCTAAATATATGTCTTACTGTTTCCTGTTGTCTGAAATACCTTTAGCACCAGTTGAGTAAATTTAGTTCAGCAGAACAGATTGGAACCGAAATTTATTGACTTGGATAAAGCAGTATATCAAGTTTAGCTAGTAGAAATAGGAAGTGTTGCATCAGTGAATTTAGGGGCGCATACCCAGATTACAACCTTATGGAAAATCAGGGCAGGATAAAAAAGGAGAAAACTGCAGAATGCTTGCATTTTTGTGATTACAAGAGTGAAATGAGCCAAGAACAAAGAGCAAGTGAAAGAGCATGTCTCACTGAGCCTCAACCACCCATTATTGCACTTGCAGTGACTCTACCCACAGGCTAAGAATATTATGCTAAACAAATATGTATAAATTAATTTAATAGAAAACATGGGAAAATTTGCACTGAAGGATTATTATTATTATTTTTGGTGAATAAAGAATAAGATAATTCTTGGATGGCCTTGGGCTGGATCAGTGGAATTTTACAGTCTAAGTTTTTGAGAATTTGAGACTTGCAGATCTGATGGAATTGCCTAACTGACTTAATAATTATAAGCAAACAAACTAATACTTTAAGAATCCATATTGTAATACCTAAACTACCGTATAGTGTTAGAGAATGGAAAAAAATCCAAAACTAAAGGACAAAGTATAGATGAATCAATATGGAGGAGGCAAGAAATTAAGTTTATAATCAAATATAAATTACTAATACCAGTATGTTTCTTGAGAGTATATTTTGACTCTCTTGAGATGTAAAATGTACCAGTAACATGAAGGTGACAACAAATATTCGGATGTGGTTTCTTTTATTTTGTATTATTTCTAAAACCAGAGGGTTTTCAATAAGTAAAAATAGAATCTAGTAATATTTTATTATAATAATTTTTAATTTTTTAAACTCATATAGAAGTGATTGTTTAACCTAGTCTGGATAGATCATATACTATATAATATATAGTTCATGAATATACTATATATATGAAAAAAATTTCCAGAAGACCATTTTCTGTCTTTTTTTTTTTTTTGTCCTAGCATTGATGTGCAGAAAGGCCCACATCTCCATGAGGAAATGTTTTCTGACAGTCCCACAGGTGGCCCTCTCCCTTGCAGAAGGTGAGTGCAGTAGGAGCTTGTTGGGAGTGCTGGTGATACAAAATTGTAATTTGTTCGAAGGAGGTAAGCAAGATCTGTCAAAATCAAAAGTTCGGCATCTTAGAGAATCAAAGGTGATATCAATATTGGAAATGATTTTAAAAATAAGAAAGAAGAGACATGAATGCGGAATAAATTTTCAGTTTCTGAAGTTGTAAGACTATGAGAAGGCAGATAATATCTGTGGCTCATCTCTCTTTTTTCAAAATAGTCTTGTATTTGGCATCATTGTAAATCTTAAATTAAAAAAAGTTAATTCTCTTTATATATGGGTAGTCTTTATAACTACCAACTAAAATAAATGTCAAGGCTGGACATGAGCCATATAGTAAATATGTGTCTGGCTAAGAAGATATTAAAGAAAAATTTCACTTTCCACTCTAAATTAAAAGTTTCTCAAAGATTATTAACATAGCTTTTGCAATCTTTTCTGCAAGTACTCTAGTCCTCCTGGATATGTTGAACAGTTGATCTTTAAAATCCTTTCTAGAGATCTGGACCTGGACTCAAATTAATTTTAAATGGCTGAGTACTCTTACTATAATCTTTCTTATTGAGGCTTAATTTCTTTTTAATGATGTTTGCTTTAGCATTTTCTGTTTTAACATAAATCTCTTTAGTTAAGAATTCTGTGGTCAGCTGGACTGCTTTCTTTCTATTAATGGTACAGTGCTCAGTTCAAACAGTTGTCCTCTTGCTTTTTTTCATACTAATAAACTATAATAAACTATCTTGTTTTAAAAAAACAGACCTTGAGTCTTCTTCTTGTCATTATTACAAAATGTAAGAGCCATAAAAGCAAATGCTGAGTCAAGGCTATCTGAATCATTGGCTTGTTGTTGGTTTTCATATCTCTGAGATTATTTTATGATATTATTCTTTGGATGTTGGTCAGCCTTGGCTATATATGTCAACTTCTTTTTTTTTTTTTTTTGAAATGGAGTCTCATTGGATGCAGTGGGGAGATCTCAACTCACTGCAGCCTCCGCCTCCCAAGTTCAAGCAATTCCCATGCCTCAGCCTCCCGAGTACCTGGGAGCACAGGCACATGCCACCACTCCCAGCTAATTTTTGTATTTTCAGTACAGACAGGTTTTCCCTGTGCTGGCCAGGCTGGTCTCAAACTCTTCACCTCAAATGATCCACCTGCCTTGGCCTCCCAAAGTGTTGGGATTACGGCCATGAGCCACCGAACCCGGCCTCAACTTCTTTACACATAAGTTCTCTGTACACCTGTGCTCATCAGAAAAGCTCACCAAGCAGTCACGATTACCCTTCAGCCAACATGTTTTTATGCTTAATTTAGATTATTAGCATTTGTTCAATCAGATTTTTAAAAATGTCTTCTTCTATAATTTTTGTGTATGATATTGGCCAAGATGAACCTTAACATTGCCCTCAGCTTTATTAAACTTTAGAAAGGCTTTTTCCTCAGTCTAGGCCCTGACCACCCTTTTCCTGCAGCATTAACTATAGAAAATTTGTATTTGTGAATCTTTTCTCTGCCCTTTTGAGATGTAAATCTTTTGGAAAGCCCTTTGCCAATATTTCAACCCAGAAATGTCTTTCTCAAGGACCTGGAAGCTATCTCTTTGAAATGTAATCAATGAAGATAGACTATTGCCCAGTTTCTGTGGGAGGGTTAGTTCTTAACTTCTGATGAAGCCTTCTCCAAGTCCTAAAACCACCTCATGTAGTTGGATAAAGGCAATTAATAAACAGAGATGGGCTTCAATCCCTGATTTCTTACTCCAACACCTGCTTTTAAAACTTTTTGTAGCTTTTTGTTTCAGGGGAGTTGAATTCAGACTGGGTTCTGGCCTTTCTCCCCTATTGCAGTAGCCATGAATAAAGTCTTCCTTGCCTGTTTAACTTTGGTAAAATTTTTACTTTGACATTAGTTTACTAATTTTTGTTATTTTCAAAATTAATAAACTTTCTTTTAAAATTCTTAAATGGGTGGGAGAGATCTCTACTTACTCTCTGAGTTTCCTGTTTTCCTATTATGAAATTATAGTTAATAGTTTTTATATTATTTATCTCCATGCTTCCCCCATATACTGTCAATATTCTGTGCCCAAAAGTGTGCTATTAAAGCAATAATAGACTTGGGTAAAAAGTGCTTGTCTTTTATGGGCCTACTTTGTCATTTGCCTTACGGTCACCTTAGAGTTGCAAGTAGCAATTCTTATCACCTGTTTTTTAGAGGTGGGACTTTTCATGCCTTGTCGTCATATTTGCTTAGGAATTACAATTCCACTTCCCCAGAGGAAACAGTAATCAAGTGTTTGGAGCCTCTTTCTGAACTCCCCACATTCATTTCTTCTCACAGGAAGAGTAATCTTTCACCCCACTGGTGCTATGAGACATGTTAAGGTGAATAATTGCTTTAAAAAGCAGTGTTGGTTTGTCACTTTCCTCTTCTTGTATTCCATAACTTGTACTTGGAGCATGAAAGAGGTTTAACTGTGCATTCAGCTGGCTATGTATACATTCAGAGTTTGCTCTGCAAGCTCAGCCTTTTCCCAGACAGACCCCAGAGTCTAATTTAGGGGCATTTTTAGAAGGAAAGGTATAGATACTTCCACTTTGGATCTAGGCTTTAACTACATCTTTATCACATTTTAAGGTAACAAAGCTACATTTAACTCTCATGTCCATTTAAGTGCTATTTATTGAATTAGTTAAGCACCATGGAGAAGGCATAAATAAGTGAGATCTCTGAAATCTGAAACAAATCCCTCCATCTTCTGAGTACTGAAACTATCATCAAGGTAGGAAGAGAGGAGTGGCTTTTAGTAGAATTAGCAGCATTATTCTAGATTCATATAATTTCATACCTACACTTGAATATATAGTAATACATAAATTATTTTTACTTAGTGTATCAGTATAGAATCTACTCCACTTTTAAGTCCAGATCTTATAATTTAAATATCCCCACCATTAAGGTCTTTCTTCACCAGAAGAAAAAGATAAAGACAGGAAAGAAGTTATTAAAAAGTACAAAAATTATCCTCAACGTTCTTGGACATGTTGCTTCAAACTTCCATTATAATAAATTGTCTGGTTATCTCCTGTTGTTACCTTCTTGCTTCTACCCTTCGGTTTCTGGGTTTCTTACCCATAAACATAACTGCAGTGAATATTAATACATAGATGCCTTATGTAACATGCAACAACTAAAATTAAGTTTGACCTACAGTAGCACAGGTCCTGTCCGGAGTGTGAAGGCTTTTCACACTAGAAATATTATTTTAAACTTTTATAGTTACACTATCAGTTTGCTTCTTACTTTTATCTCAAGCTTGACAGTGAACTCATTTTGCTGAGAAAGAACCTCTTTATTGCTTCTAACATCCCAAAAGATACAGCTGTGGGAGGAGAGGGGAGAGGAAGGAAGAATAGCACATTTATATTTATATTTTCCGTTCTCCATTCTGTACATCCTCTCTGCTTAAATAGATCTTGCCTTCCTGGTGTTTGCACGGGTTCTTAAAGTTCAACCTCCTGGGGCTGGCATTAATGACTTCCCATAAGCCCTATTTTTCTAAGGCTATGGACAGGGGATTTCAATAAGACATTAGCATCTGAATAGATCAGGAGTAATGATATTTAATGTGCTAAGCATTTCTGATATTTATTCAATTAATTATAAATCAAAAGTGTCTGGACTCTTACCAGCATTTGAGGTTCACATGTAATCTAAAGTTTCTTCTGTGAAATTAAATAAAATAGTTGCCATATATGCTATTCAAGCTAGTTATATAAAATAGCTATCATATATGCTAGTCAATAGCTACCGTATATGCTATTCTATAACTACCATACATGCTCATTCATTATATATAATGAGTTCTTCATTACATATATATGTAATGGGTTATTACGTATATGCATAATGTGTATATATGCATGTATATATAAAATTCTTAAATGGGTGGGAGAGATCTCTACTTACTCTCTGAGTTTTCTGTTTTCCTATTATGAAATTATAGTTAATAGCTTTTATATTATTTATCTCCATGCTTCCACCATATACTGTTAATATTCTGTGCCCAAAATTGTGCTATTAAAGCAATAATAGGCTTCGGTAAAAAGTGCTTGTCTTTTATGGGCCTACTTTAGTATGTAATATGTACACATTATAAATATGTATGAACTGATAACTTAATGAATTCTTCATTACATATGTTATATTACATATATATGTAATGCTTAACGTTTGTTATCTTTCTTACCTACATTGCCTAATGCACAGGCACCAAGTTCTATTAATACTTCAAGAGGCACCAGTTAGAGTGTCTTGCACGTAGTAAGAGCTCAATGAATAAATAAATAAAAAATACATACATATATATGTAATATACATATAAATGTAATGTAGGTATATGTAATGTACATATATGTACATTATTACATATGTGCTATTTATTATATATAAATAAATTGCTAATACATTTTTGGAGAATATACAGCATTTACATTTTCTGGGAAGTGAGATTCTATGTAAAGTGTCATGTGTGCTAACACAAAAGACGACCTGAGGCAGAATGGGTACCACTTTATTGTTGATGAACAGAAAATTCACAGAGAAAATGTCATTTGAATGTGGCTTTGAAAGAAAGGTAAAGAATGGAATTGGCAAACCAAGTTATATGCAGAATCTTTCTGTTGCCAGCTAGCATCTCAGAGTTATTTTTAATATCTTTAGCAACGTGCCTACGTAACGTATATATATGTACATTATTATATATATATACATTACATATATATATATACATGCACACACATTACACATATATATGTAATGAAGAACTCGTAACTTTTCTCTGTGGAGGTCAAACCTGTGATTTTACAGAGCGGTTACCTATTATATAACCTTCCTGTTCCTGCCACATATTTATGCCAAAAACTTGTTATCACTGAATCTATGGCTTATCGTTCTGTCTATATGCCTTTACCAACCTATCTATTCCTTTTACAAGCTGTCACATTTTAAGGTGGCTGTCACCAAAGTCCCTAGATACTGAATCAAAACATGAAGTAAACAGCAAGAAGAGATATTCATTTCTCTCTAGGTTTCAATTCTTTATTGTCACTACTCCCGATGGCTATGGAGGCCGTCATATTTTGTGGCATATGGAATCTGCAATGAAGAAATATAAGAAACATGAATGACCTCATTTTCAAAAGAAAGAGAACAATAAATTAAGCCAGAGTTAAATGATGTACCCTCAAGAATTTATTTGAGCTTTTACTATGTGCAAGACATTCTAACTGTTGCACCTTGAAGTATTAATAGAACTTGGTGCCTGTGCATTGGGCAATGTATATAGGAAAGATGACATACATTAAGCTCTATCTTCTTAACACTGGTATAATTTTGGGCTTTTTCATTTGTAAAAATAAAATGATGTTATATCTAGTTCATATTAATATTATGAAGTGTGTATGGTTGTTAGCCTTTGCTACAAAATAAACCTCCCAAACTTAGTGACTGCAATGAGCTGGATGACTTTTCTCTTTGTTGCTCTAACTTGGGTCTGTCATACAGCTACAGTCCTACGTCTATTTCTCTGGGGATATATAATCTAGAAATTTAACTCACATATTAATATCTGATATATGGTGCTGGTTGTTGGCTGACTTGCCTCTCCATATGGTCTCCTATCTTCAAGGATGCTAGGGGAGGCCTCCTCACATGACAATCTCAGGAGAGCAGGAGAGGGAGAGCTGAAGCTGCAAGACTTCTTGAAGCTTCAACTCTCAACTCGCAAGATGTCACTTCTGCTGCATTGTATTGTCAAAGCAAATCACAAGGAAACATACATTCAAGGAGATGGAGAGATACACTTGGGAGGCATGGTAAAATAACATTAGTAAAAGATGTGCAAACACAGAGGGGAAAATTATGTCTGTATTTTGCAATCTCCCACAAGGATTAAATGGGATAATATTTGCATAGTGCTTAGAACAGAGAGCTTAGGACACAGTCAGCACTATATGTTTATTAAATAAATTGCTAATATATTTTTTGGAGAATATACAGCATTTACATTTTCTGAGAAGTGAGATTCTACAAAAAATGTCATGTGTGCTAAAACAAAAGATGACTTGAGGCAGAATGGGGACCACTTTATTGTTGATGAACAGAAAATTCACAGAGAAAATGTCATTTATTTATTTATTATTATTATTATTATCTTTATTTTTATTATACTTTAAGTTCTAGGGTACATGTGCATAAGTGCAGGTTTGTTACATATGTATACATGCGCCATGTTGGTGTGCTGCACCCTTTAACTCCTCATTTACATTACGTATATCTCCTAATGTTATCCCTCCCCCCTCCCCCGACCCCACTACAGGCCCCAGTGTGTGATGTTCCCCTTCCTGCGTCCAAATGTTCTCATTGTTCAATTCCCACCTATGAGTGAGAATATGCGGTGTTTGGTTTTTTGTCCTTGCGATAGTTTGCTCATAATGATGGTTTCCAGCTTCATCCATGTCCCTACAAAGGACATGAACTCATCCTTTTTTATGGCTGCATAGTATTCCGTGGTATATATGTGCCACAATTTCTTAATCCAGTCTCACATTGATGGACATTTGGGTTGGTTCCAAGTCTTTGCTATTGTGAATAGTGCCGCAATAAACATGTGTGCATGTGTCTTTATAGCAGCATGATTTGTAATCCTTTGTGTATATACTCAGTAATGGGATGGCTGGGTCAAATGGTATTTCTAGTTCTAGATCCTTGAGGAATCACCACATTGTCTTCCACAATGGTTGAACTAGTTTACAGTATCTCATTGTGGTTTTGATTTGCATTTCTCTGATGGCCAGTGATGATGAGCATTTTATCATGTGTCTGTTGGCTGCATAAATGTCTTCTTTTGAGAAGTGTCTGTTCATATCCTTTGCCCACTTTTTGATGGGGTTTTTTGTTTTTTTCTTGTAAATTTGCTTGAGTTCTTTGTAGATTCTGGATATTAGCCCTTTGTCAGAAGAGTGGATTGCAAAAATTTTCTCCCATTCTGTAGGTTGCCTGTTCACTCTGATGGTGGTTTCTTTTGCTGTGCAGAAGCTCTTTAGTTTAATTAGATCTCATTTGTCAATTTTGGCTTTTGTTGCCATTGCTTTTGGTGTTTTAGACATGAAGTCCTTGCCCGTGCCTGTGTCCTGAATGGTATTGCCTAGGTTTTCTTCTAGAGTTTTTATGGTTTTAGGTCTAACATGTAAGTCTTTAATCCATCTTCAATTAATTTTTGTGTAAGGTGTAAGGAAGGGATCCAGTTTCAGCTTTCTACATATGGCCAGCCAGTTTTCCCAGCACCATTTATTAAATAGGGAATCCTTTCCCCATTTCTTGTTTTAGTCAGGTTTGTCAAAGATCAGATGGTTGTAGATGTGTGGTATTATTTATGAGGGCTCTGTCCTGTTCCATTGGTCTACATCTCTGTTTTGGTACCAGTACCATGTTGCTTTGGTTACTGTAGCCTTGTAGTATAGTTTGAAGTCAGGTAGCGTGATGCCTCCAGCTTAGTTCTTTTGGCTTTGGATTGACTTGGCGATGCAGGCCCTTGTGCCAGTTTTCAAAGGGAATGCTTCCAGTTTTTGCCCATTCAGTATGATGTTGGCTGTGGGTTTGTCATAAATAGCTCTTATTATTTTAAGATACATCCCATCAATACCTAATTTATTGGGAGTTTTTAGCATGAAGGGCTGTTGAATTTCGTCAAAGGCCTTTTCTGCATCTATTGAGATAATCATGTGGTTTTTGTCTTTGATAATCCTCCCTAACTCATTTTATGAGGCCAGCATCATCCTGATACCAAAGCCTGTCAGAGCCACAACAAAAAAAGAATTTTAGACCAATATCCCTGATGAACATTGAGGCAAAAATCCTCAATAAAATACTGGCAAACCGAATCCAGCAGCACATCAAAAAGCTTATCCACCATGATCAAGTGGACTTCATCCCTGGGATGCAAGGCTGGTTCAACATACACAAATCAATAAACGTAATCCAGCATTTAAAGAGAAAATGTCATTTGAATGTGTCCTTGAAAGAAAGGTAAAGAATGGAATTGGCAAACCAAGTTGTGTGCAGAATCTTTTTGTTGCCAGCTAGCATCTCAGAGTTATTTTTAGTATCTTTAGCAATGTGCCTACATAATCATTCCTCTACATTTTTCTAAAAGTAAAATATCAGGTTTTAGATGGGAGGCAATCATGCAAGTTAATAAGGTTGCTATGACTGAGAAATTTTAGATGGCCCTGCCTGGCCTTTTCTAATGCAGAATAAATTGCTTTAATCCCCATGGGCTGAGTTTTTCATTGTACGCTTTTTATTCTTTCTACTTAAGCAGGTGAGGAAAATAAGAATAGCTAATATTTATTGAACATATGGCAGACATTGTTCTAAGTGCTTTACATGTATTAATTAACTTAATCTTCACACCAAACCAATGAGTTCAGCATTTGGTATTATTATCCCTCGATGATAAAATTGAAGCAAAGAGAAGTTAAGTAACTTGCCCTAAGTCACACACCTAATAATTGGCAGTGACATGATTCAACTGGAGGTGATCTGGCCCCAGTGCCCATGGTCTCCAAAATGCCATGCTGGACTGTCTCTCTGCTTTCTTTCCAGCTTCTTCATTATATAATAGATTCTAAGACTGCATGTTATTAGCTTGCACTTTTTTAAACAAAATGAAATTTCTAAACACTGTCAAAACCTGAAAATCTGCAAGAACTCCATACCAGTGAATCACAGAATATGAAATTATAGAACATTATAGCTAGAAAAGAGTATAAAGCCCATCTGATTTGGCTACCACTTTTTATAGCTAAGGAAACTGAGTAATGTTTCATTTATGATACATTGTGAACTATAGACATGGGCTAAATGCCAAAGAAAGTTCTTCTCTTTGCACATGTCCGTATGTGAACTTAGAATTAGGGCATCTGGAAGCTGGAAATGACTCAATGATTGAATTTTGTTCATTTTATATAGATCACCTAGGTCATTTTAAATTTTAGTGCTTTGCCAATAAAGCTCAATTTCCCCAGCTTTATTGTTTTCTGATTCCAAAAGTAATAAAATTCATTTAAAATTTGCATACTACTGAACAGTAAAAATACATAAATACATAAGTACAAATAATATATTAACGTTAAGATTACACAACTACTATCCACAGCTAATTGCTGCTAACATGTTACTATATTTTTTCATAGAGCAAAATTAAAATTGTCCTGTATTTTTGTTAACAAAGAGCCCTCAAAGTAAGATCATGCATTTCCATTTAACCTATTGTAATGTTTTATAAAGTCATTGAATATTTTGAAGACAAAACTGGTAACAGCTACATAATATTTCATTTTATGGTTGCAGCATTATCATGCAATGTCTTCATTTAATGAATCCTCTTGACACATATTTTCCATGACCCTGGCTTGTGTGCGGTATCCTGTTTGTCCCTGCAATTTAATATCAGTGCACATGTCACAGTCTGTGATAATCCTAAATTTTTATGTTGCTCAGGGCACCTTTTTTCAAGCCTCTGGAAATCAGAGATTATGAAGCTTCAGAAATACACGAGACAAGCAAGAAGTGTTATTTTTGCATTTCAGTCTAAGAGTGAAATAACCTTTTAAGATTTATTTACTTATTTATTTTTGACAGTGCCTCTCTCTGTCACCTAGGCTGGAGTGCAGTGGTGCAGTCTTAGCTCATTGCAACCTTGAACTCCTGAGCTCAAGGGATCCTCCTACCTCAGCCTCCCAAGTAGCTCATCTACAGCCACGTGCTACCATACCTGGTTAATTAAAAAAAAAAATGTTTTGTAGAGATGTGGTCTCACTGTGTTGCCCAGGCTGGTCTCAAACTCCTGGCCTCAGGTGTAAGATGTAAATTTTTGCTCAAAATGAGGTGTTATTTTCTATATGAAAGTCTCATCAAGGTGTCTGTACATTTGTCATGTCAAATAAAATAAAGGCAACAAAATATTGAATATAGATAGACTTGTATTTTAAACCAACTTTTTCATATATTCACTCTATACTCAGGTTTTCAAGGAGGGATATTATATTTTTGTATATACTATTAATAGTTACTATTTTTAACTAGATAATTAAACTCACTTTTTTTCCTTTCTTTTGTTAATGCTATTTTAAAATTTTAGCATTTAGATACTATGTTGAATGTCACTTACCAGGTAGCATTCTCCAAATGCCAATTTATAAATTGCCTCTATTTACCATATCTCAGAACATCATGTAGTATTGATTTCTGAATTCCTCTTTCTCTAGAAAATCTTTCTGAATGATTTAGAAACACATCAGTAAGTTTTGGTGTCTTGCTGGCTGTAGGTCAAAGACCACTCTCTACTCTTAGAGACACCTGAGGTCTTTTCTAGCAGCTCCTTCGATATTCCCTCTCACAACCTGGCAGCTCACTCCTGCAAGGTCCACAAGAGAGCATTTCTGTGCTGAAAACAACTATCTTCTTGACCAAACTTTGCTCAAGCTCCTTTGAGCTCTGTTCTCCACTATGCCTTGACCTTTGGCTTCTGTGTTTGTCATTGCTGAGTCCAGTTTTAGCAAGAATCTTACGAGGTCAGTTTAGGGAGAATCCTCTACCCTTGGTATCTGATTAAGTTCTTCATTCCTCATCTTTGATGTCTCAATCTTTGACCTGCCTTTAGCAAAAATACCCTTAGGACAGTTAGCAAGAATTCACCTATTCTTGATGTCTTCTCTTAGTAATTTTCTACCCACTGACTCACTCCCTTTGCTCATTGGCATAAATCTCCAGTTGCCTTTTTTGTACTCAAGAGTTACACTCAAGCTCTCTCTCCTGTTACAACAGTCTTTCTGAATGAGGTATTCCTTACCATCTTAACAAGAGTTAGAAGAGTTTTGTTCTGTAACAGTGCTTAAAGAAGTCATGACTATGTTTTTTATTGAAGGGCTCACCTTCAAAACCCAAGAGAATCTTCTTTTGATTAACCCGAAGTTAACTGATTAGAGAGCTTAATTATATCTGAAAAGTCCCTTCACCTTTGCCATATGAAGTGAAATACGCTATCATTTTCACAGTTCCCACCCACACTCAAGGGGAGGGAATGAGGCAAGGGCATGAGTCATTGGGAATCATAAGAACATTCTAACTGCCACACCACCCTACTCAATCCTTTCCAGTTTCTCTGCCTAAGTGTCACTCATCTTTGCCCTTATCTAAAAATCAGACATAAATTTGATTTGTAGTTGGTATTGACATATTTTAATGGTATATGAGAAAAACATACATTTACAATTTAGAGTAAGTCCTGGGTTTAAATCCTGCTATCACTATTTATTGGCTACTGAGGTAAGTTATTTGACTTTTCTGAGCCTCATATTTCTCCTCTAAAATGAGGGTAATAACATTATCCTCATGGGTTGTTGGGAGACCCAAGAGAGATCATGAATGCAGGGAACCAAATGCAGCATCTGTTATATAGCACGTGCTCTAGAAATTATAGTTATTATTAATAGCACTATCTTATCATTATATTTTATTATACATGAATGCATTATTATTAGTTTGTGATAACATTGCTTACCTTACAATATAAATCTCAGAGGATGAGGATTGGGAATATGTCTGTTATTTTTTGTTATATATATACTTTTGACCATGAGAATTGATAGATTCTTTAACTCAGACTTAAAATATTAATCAACTAAATCAGTGATTCTCAAACTATTTTATTTCTAAAAAGACACGACTAATGATATTCACAAATAAAACATATTCCCTTGGATATACCTAGGATTATAATCAATTCTGGGTATAGAAGCTGTAACTTCAACCCTTTCTCTCCTACTCTGAATTTGCATTTCAGGAGGCAAATGCAAGATATTGATGTTACTGCAGGACTACCTTGAGTCCGTGCTTATCAATTAAAGAAAGTAAAATCATAAAATATCAGTGACATTCCTCATAAGTGATATGGAGTCATTATTAGGGTTGGGTTCCTTTGAGTTAGAAGATAGATTGTGGTGAACAAATGTTTTATTTGTGATCTCCTTTTGCTTCAACTTAATGAGGATTTACTTTCTATATAGTTTAGAGCTCAAGGCTACCCAAAGGCTAAATGCCCCAGCAGGGAAGAATAGTTAGTGAATTCATTCATTATCTGTTTACATTTTAATAACCAGTAAGATTATCTGCTTTTATCACAAGTGCGAGCTGAGGAAGGATTGTTCATTTAGGTTGAGTTTGGCTTCTTAGAGTGAAATTCCAATAGAGTTTCCTGTATTATCAAGCCAATGAGCCAAGGAACGTCTATTCTCTAAACAATTAGCTTTCTTAAATGAAGTGTAGAAAGAAAGGCAATCCATGAATTCATTATTTATTCTTTCTGGGTGCAGACATCAGCTGGCATTAAGTAGCTCTTTGAAGTGTGACATATGAGATGTGATTCAAAAGGAAGAGACTGATTGCTGCTAGTCACCCAGGAAATCAATCACAGCCCTTTATAGTTACAACCTCATGCTCATTTCTCTTTATGGGGAAACACGTTTTACCCTGAAAGTGGAAAACTGTGGACTCAGTGTGTTTTATTTTTTTCCCTACCATTCTTGACAATTTATACCTTCCATTTGGAGTTCTCAGTTATCATTATCTTTTATTAGCCATTGTTTGACTTAGATATTATACAGGAATATCCAGATGCCACACAAATGAAAACTGGCAATCTCAAATAGTGCAATTCTATTTCAGTGACTATAAATCAGAACCTGCGGTCAGAACCATGGTTCATTCTGTTGCTTGTACATTGCTTCTGCTGTTATAACTAGTTGAGTTGATTTC
Organism: Homo sapiens; assembly: GCF_000001405.40. Classification (NCBI taxonomy): domain Eukaryota; kingdom Metazoa; phylum Chordata; class Mammalia; order Primates; family Hominidae; genus Homo; species Homo sapiens. Next base: position 44,117,429 of record NC_000004.12, on the reverse strand, counting down.
GGGTTACATTTATGGCCTCAGCCTGACAAATTAACTGGAGCAAAGGAAATGGAATACTTTCACCAGTTTAAAAATTATCCAAAATGTGACAGTTAAAAGTTTTTTAAAAAGTTCAATGTAATACTGAAAACTGCTACATAAAACACAGGATTCAGCATCTTAGTTAAAAGTGCCATATCTATCCTTCTTAGTATAAATCATTAAACGTCTGTCTTATTGCACCCACTCACAAAATTGTGATATGGGATTCTATCTGAGCATCAGTGCTATAAGATAAATGAAAAATATTTTCAAAGTTTCTGGCAAGTGGAAATACTTATGGGAAAAACGGTGAAGTTGTCAGGCACATAGACTCTGGAATCAGACTAACTGGGTTCAAGACTTAGTTCTAGCACCTATTGGGAGTTAGGATCTTGGTCACAATGCCTTAATCTTTGTTCCTCAGTTTCCTTATCAATAAAATTAGGATGACTATTTTATAGTCAAGATTAAACAAGAGTGGAATGTATGAAAATCACGTAAAATAGTGCCTGAAACATTATAATAACTATATAGGTATTTACTAATACTATTGTTGTTATTGCTATCATTATTAAATGTTTTCAAAATATTTATTCCTTAAGTCAATCAAACACAACAGAATAGTAATGGAACTCCAGCTTTAATTTTTATTTGTCAAGACATCTTATAATTTCTGGCTCTTCTTAAGCAAAGCAGCATCTGGGAAAATTATTCAAAGGAGAAAATAATCAATATCTTCATAACATTCAGATGTGTTTATAGTCTCTTATTCTTAGTAAATTCAAGTATTCTTTTTGCAATAAAAATCTCCACATCAAATGAGAAAGCACTTGAGAAACTTCTAATGTACAAATTTACAAATATATTTACGCAATCCATGCATGGTTATGTGTTCAGGGTTTGATAGATATTGTCTTGTTAAATTATCTATTTATATTTTAATCACACAACAATCCCATGGATACAGGACACAGAAAGAAAACAAAACAGTGGTTCAAAGAATGTAATGACTTTCTCAAAGTCACATAGAAGGATGAGTATTTGTAGACACATTTGCCAGAATCCTAAATAGGCCTGATAGTTAGCTGGTATGTTTCAGGAAAATTCTCTTGCTTGTTTAGGGCTAGAGCTAGCTGTGATTGGTTCCTAGGGACTCTGACCTGATTGGCTAGCATCCTGTGTTGCCCATTGTTAATTTTTTCTATATTTATTCTGATCTTAGGAAATAGGAAATATTGCTAATTTTTAAGTGCCTGATGTTGACTTTTGAGGGGGTTTTCAATAATCATCTGGCCATTTCTCATAAACTTCAGAAATGAGATTTCTGTAAGTTTTAAGATTTGAAGGAAAACAGCCATTCCCATCATATTTTTTCAGGAGTCAGAATAAAAAGGGTCCCCAAAATATGATACTTGAAACCTCTGAATTGGCTTCTGTAATACACAGAGAAATGCTGGAGGCAAAACAGACGGGCAAATCAGCTCCATAATCATTTACCATCAACTTTGACTTTAGAAATATGTCATGACCTGAACATCATCAAAATAGCGACTCCCCAGCAGGCTTAGAAATGATTACAATTTATTTGAAGTTTATTAAAAGTTCCAGATTCTCATATCGAATTTTTATAAAAATTAACCATTTGAACTGACCTCATTTCCAAGAGAGTATTGTCATCAAGAATTGAGTGTTCAAAGCAACACAAAACCCAACAATAACTTCTGTTCTTTGTACACTAAGTTGCAGTCTCCTATGCGGCCTTTAAAAAAAATCAGTTGATTAATAGATACAACAGCAATGTTTTTATGTGTGTGTGCTATCAAGCATTTATAATCTTTAGCTTTCAGTGGCCTTGGAAAATCAAAAAGTCTTAAGGCCCAAAGGATGAATAATCAGGATAGCATTTTCAATTCAGCATCCTTGTAGCTAATTTCCTTTACAAAATAGCAAGAGTAAGAGCTTATATACAACTAGATACAACTCAGTTGGCTCTAATTTTCAATGCATAGCAATAAATTCTAAGTTTGTTCTGGGTCTAAGACACAAGTTAGACATACCTTGAAGGGCTGTGTAACAGATTTTGTTTCAGTAGTACCCTATGCAGTGGATCAAGACAACAGTAAATATGAAAATTTTCCAAGACCTAAGTGGTAAATGGTCAAATTTAATATATTTTATTTATTAATCCACCCTTTCTCAGATTAAGAGCATACTTTTCCCATTTAACCTGTTAGTAACATTTTCTAAGGTTATAAGATATTTTGGAGACAAAATTTTAAATAACTACTTAATATTTCATTTTATGGATGCAACATCACCATGTAATATCTTTATTTAATGAATCCTCTTGGCGTATATTTTTCATGACCCTGGCTTGGGTGTGGTATCCTTCTTTTTTCTTTTGCAATTTAATGCCAATGCAGATGTCACAGTCTATACTAAATCTTATGTTTTGATGCTCCTCAGCGCATCTTCTTCAAGCCTCCAAAAATCAGAAAAGATTCTGAAGTTTCATAATTATATATGCATGAGACAAGCAAGAATTGTTATTTTTGCATCTTAGTCTGGAGGTAAAATGACCTTTTAAAATGTTATTTATTTATTTATTTTTAAGACAGCATCTTGCTCTGTCACCCAGAGACTGGAGTGCAGTGGTTCAGTCATAGCTCTCTGCAAACTTGCATTCCTGGGCTCAAGGGATCCTCCTACCTAAGCCTCCCAAAGTGCTGGGATTACAGGCATGAGCCACAGTGCCCAGCCTGGAATCTTTAAAGATGGAATCTTAAAGAGGTATTTAAGTGAAAATAAGGTCACTATGGTGGGCTGTAATCCAATATGTCCGGTGTTCTTATAAGACGAGAAAATTTGGTTACCTAAAAATGCAGAGAGCAGACGATGTGGAGACACAGGGAATCAATGGCCATCTAAAATCTAAGGGGAGAGGCCTAAAACTGATCCTTTTCTCATTGCCCTCAAAAGAAACCAACACTGCTGACACCATAATCTTGGACCTCTAGGATACACATGTATGAGAAAATAAATTTCTGTTGTTTAAGACATCTAATATGTGGTACTTTGTTATGGCAGCCCTAGCAAACTAATATACTGGTCTAGTCTTATAAAACTCTTAATGCTAAGTGGACATCCTTGTATTGTTTTAGTTCTTAGAAGAAATGCTTACAAATTTTCCCAATTCAGTATGGTATTAGCTGTGAGTGTTTTGTATATGGTCTTTATTATTTTCAGGTATGTTTCTTCTATGCCTAGCACTTGAGCCTTGAGTGAAAATAGGCAGTAGCCCAAGCAGTGATCACTGCAGGCCTTAGGTGAGACTCAGTGCTGGGCTGGCTTCAGGTCTCACCCAGTGTAGTCCCAGTGGTGGTGGCCACAGGGATACTGTGTCACCCCTCTTACATATTTAGGCAGCTCAGTACAGAGACAGAGAGACTCTGTTTGTTTGGGGAAAAGTAAGGGAACAGAACAAGAGTCTTTACCTGGTGATCGAGGGGAATTTCCTGGAGCTGACCCAAGACCACCAAGGTGATACCTCTACATGTCTATGAGAGCAATGGTGTTACTGGGCTTCAAGTGCCCCCTAAAGCAGATATGGCTTCAGTGACCAAAGATTTAGATCACAACACCCAAGTCCCTGAGAATACCTGGAAAGCGTTTCCATGAAGGATGGGTTCTAACAAGCCCAGACTGCAAAGATTACAATTACAACTCTTCAATGCACAGATATGAATGAATATCCATAAGCATCAAGACAATCCAGGAAAACATGACCTTACCAAATGAACTAAATAAGGCAGCAGTGACCAATGCTGGAGAGACAGAGTTATGTGACATTTCATAGAGATAATTCAAAATAGCTGTTTTGAGGAAATTTAATAGAATTCAAGATAATACAAAGAAGGACTTTAGAATCTTATCACATAAATTTAACAAAAAGATTGAAAGAATTAAAAATAATCAAGCAGAAATTCTGGAGCTGAGATATGCAACTGACAGACTGAAGAAGACATTAGAGTCTCTTAACAGCAGAATTGACCAAGCAGAATAATTAGCCAGCTTGAAGACAGGATATTTGAAAATACATAGTCAGAGGAGACATAAAAAAAAAGAATAAAAAAGAATTAAGCATAATGACAAGATCTAGAAAAAGACTCAAAAGGACAAATCTAAGTTATTGGTCTTAAAGAAGAGCTAGAGAGAGAGATTGGGGCAGAAAGTTTATTCAAAGGAATAATAGAGAATTCTAAAATATTAACATTCAAATACGAGAAGAATATTGAACACCGAGAAGAGATAACCCAAAGAAGACTGTCTCAAGAAATTTAATGATCAAACCCCAAAGGTCAATGATAAAGAAATGACCCTAAAAGAAGCAAAAGAAAGAAATAACATAAAATGGAGCTCCAATATGTCTATCAGCAGACTTTTTACTGGAAACTTTACAGGCCAGGAAAGAGTGGCATGATGTATTTGATGTGCTGAGGGAAGAAAGTTTAACCTAGAATAGTATATCCAGCAAAAATATCCTTCAAACATGAAGGAGAAATAAAAACTTCCCCAGCCACAAAAGTGAAAATAAAGCTGAGGGATTTCATCAACCCCATCAACCCTGGACCTGTTCTATAAAAAATTGTAAAGAGAGTTTTTTAATCTGAAAGAAAAGGATGTTACTGAGCAATAAGAAGTCATCTGAAAAGACAAAACTCACTGGTTATAGTAAGTACACAGAATAACACTATAATTGTGAGTGTAAAATACTGGTGCCTTGAATAGATACAATAACTATAAATATATATGCCTCCAACACTAGAGCACCCCAAATGTAGAAAACAAATATTATTAGAGTTAAAGGGAGAGATGGATCACAATACAATATTAGCTGGAGACTTCAACACCCATGTCCACTTTTAGCAATGGACGGCAATCTTCCAGGCAGAAAATCACCCCGGAAACATTAGACTTAAACTGAACTGTAGATCAAATAGATCTAATAGATATTTATAAACATTTCATCTAATGGCTATAGAATATACATTTAATATCAGCATATCAATCATTCTCAAGGATAGACTGTATGCTAGGTCACAACACAATTCTAAAAACATTTTAAAAAATTGAAATAAGATCAAGCATCTTCTCTGAACACAATAGAGGGAAACTAGAAACTAATAACAAGAGGAATTTTGGAAACTATACAAATAAGTGGAAATTAAACACTATGCATCTGAAAGACCAGTGGGTCAATGGAGAAATTAAGAAGGAAATTGAAAAATTTCTTGAAACAAGTAAAATGGAAACACAACATACCAAAACCTATGGTATACAGTGAAAGCAGAACTAAAAGGAAAGTCTGTAACAATAGTCACCTACATCAAATAAGTAGAAACGTTTCAAGTAAATATTGATGCATCTTAAAGAGCTAGAAAAGAAAAAGCAAACGAAAGCCAAATTGTAAAATAAAAGAAATACTAAAGGTCAGAGCAAAAAAAAGTGAAATGAAACCAAAAAAAATACAAAAGATGTATGAAACTAAAAGTTGTTTTTTAAAAAGATAAACAAAATTGACAAACCTTTAACAAGACTAAGAAAAAAAGAAAAAAGACCCAAATTAAAAAATCAGAGATGAAAAAGTAGACATTACAATGAATACTGCAGAAATTCAAAGGATCATTAGAACTTACTATGAGCAACTATGGACTAATAAATAGGAAGATCTGGAAGAAATGGATAAATTCCTGAACACATAAAACCTACCAAGATTGGACTACGAAGAAATCCAGTGGTAACCTCACTTACCTCATTTGTTACTTGCACTTACCAATAACAAGTAATAATATGAAAACTGTAACAGCAACCATCTCTCCACAAAGAAAAGCCTTTGACTCATTGGCTTCACTGCTGAATTTTACCAAACATTTAAAGAACTAATACTAATTCTACTGAAACTATTCCCATAGATAGAAGAGAATGAAAAATTTCCACACTCATTCCATAAGGCCAGTGTTACCCTGATACCTAAACCAGAAAAAGACACATCAAAAGAAGAAAACTAAAGCGCAATATTCCTGATGAACATTGATGCAAAAATCCTCAACAAAATACTAACAAACTGAATTCAACAACACATTTAAAAGATCATTCCTTATGACCAAGGGGGATTTATATCAGAGATCCAAGGATAGTTCAATATATACAAATCAATCATATGATATATCAACAGAATGAAGGACAAAAACTATGTGATCATTTCAATTGATGCTGTAAAAGCACTTGATAAAATTCAGCATCCCTGCATAATAAAAACCCTTAAAAAACTATCTGGTTGGAAAATATCTCAACACAATAAAAGCCATATATAACACACCCATAGCTAGTATCATACTGAAAGAAGAAAAACAGAAAGCTTTCCTCTAAGATCTGGTACAAGATAATGATGCCCATTTTCACCACTATTATTTAACATAAGACTGGAAGTCCTAGAGAGAACAATTAGACAAGAGAAAGAAGTCATATTACCCTTGTTTGCAGATAATATGATCTTATATTTGGAACATAAAGACTCCAAAAAAAAACTATTAGAACTGATAAACAAATTCAGTAAAGTTGCAGTATACAAAATCAACATACAAAAATCAGTAATATTTGTATATGCCAACATTGATCAATCTGAAAAAGAAATCAAGAAAGTAATCCCATATATAATAGCTATGAATAAAATAAAACACATAGGAATAAACGTGGTCAAATAAATGAATAATCTATACAATAAAAACTATAAAACACTGAGGCAGAAAATTAAAAGGGACACAAGAAATGGAATGATATTCCATGTTCATAAATTGGAAGAATCGATGATGTGAAAATGTTCATACTATTAAAAGAAATTTACAGATTCAATGAAATTCCTATCAAAATACCAATGATATTCTTCACAGAAATAGAAAAAATAGTCTTAAAATTTATATGGAACCACAAAAGACCCAGAATAGCCAAATCTATCTTGAGAAAAAATAATACAACTGGAGGAAATATATTACATGACTTTAAATTATATAACAGAGATACAGTACAAAACCAGCATGGTACTCTCATAAAAACTGATACCATGGTACTGTCATAAAACAGGTACATAGACCAAGGGGACAGAAAAGAGAACCCACAAAAAACCTGCACATTTACAGTGAAGTTACTTTTGACAAAACTGCCAAGAACATATATTAAGGAAAGCACAATCTCTTGGTACTGGGAAAACTGCATATCCATATACAGAGGAATGGACTAGACCTCTATCTCTCACTATATACAAAAATCAAATCAAAATGGATTAAAGTCTTAAGTCTGAGACCTCAAACTGTGAAACTACTAAAATAAATCATTGAGGAAACTCTACAGGACATTGGGCTGGGCAAAGATTTCTTTAATAATATCCTGCAGGCACAGGCAACCCAAGCAAAAGTGGACAAATGGGCTCACATCAAGTTAACAAGTTTATGCACAGCAAAAGAAATAATCAACAAACTGAAGAGATAACCCAAAGAATGAAAGAAAATATTTGCAAACTACCATTCTGAGAAGGAATTCAGAACCAGAATACATAAGAAGCTCCAATAATGCAATAGGAAAAAAATCTAATAATCTGATTAAAAATTGGTGAAAGATCTGAATAAACATTTCTCAAAAAAGACACACAAATGGCAAACAGGTATATGAAAAAGTGCTGAACATCACTGATCATAAGAGAAGCAAATCAAAACTACAATGAAATATCACCTCACCCCACTTAAAATGACTTTTATTCAAAAGATGGGCAATAACAAATGCTGGTGAGTACGTGGAGAAAAGGGAACTCCTGTAAACTGTTAGTAGAAATGTAAATTAATACAGCCACTGTGGGAAACTGTTTGGAGGTTTTCAAAAAGTTAAAAATAGAGCTACCATATGATTCAGCAATCCCACCACTAAATATATACCCAAAAGAATGGAAATTAGTGTATCAAAGAGATATCTGCACTCCCATGTTTGTTGCAGCACTGTTTACAATAGTCTGGATTTGGAATCATCCAAATTGTCCGTTGAAAGAAGAATGGATAATGAAAATGTACACACTGGAGTACTATTCAGCCATAAAAAATGACAGCCTGTCATTTGCAACAACATGGATGAAACTGGAGGTCATGATGTTAAGTGAAATAAGCCAGGCACAGAAAGACAAACATTGCGTGATCTTACTTATTTGTGGGAGCTAAAAATTAAAAAAAAAAATGAACTCATGAAGAGAGAGAGTAGAATGATGGTTACTAGAGGCTGGGAGGGATATTGGCAGGGGAGGGGGGGATAATTAATGGGTACAAAACTATAGTTAGAATGAATAAGGTCTAGTATTCTATAGTACAAGAGAGTGACTACAGTCAACAATAATTTATTGTACATTTTAAAATTACTAAAAGAACATATTTGGGTTGTTTATAAACCAAAGAATGGATAAATTCTCGAGGTAATGAATACCCCACTTACCCTGATGTGGTGATTACACATTGCATGCTGGCATCAAAACATCTCATGTACCCCATAAATATATACACCTACTATGTATCCACAAAAATTAAAAATAAAAACCAAAAACCAACCAAACAAACAAGCAAACACATGAACAAACGAAAGCTTCCTTTTTTGTTCCTTTTTAAGATATCCTGAATTTCCTTCCTTCTATCCTTTCCATCTTCTCCCAGAAACTTTGGCTCTTTCTTGTCCTCTATCTCATTCAGTTTTGTTTTATTTTTAATTTTTTTTAATTTTACCTCTGGATCATTTTATAGGACTGGTTTGACTGCAATTTGACAACATTATACAAGTAAAGGGATGAAAGAATTGGACAGCAAATCCAAAACTTAGCTTAAACTTCCATTTTTAAATCGTAAAATTAATTATAAAATTCAGAGGGCTGTAATCAATATCCATTTAATTTTGTCTGTAATAAATTATTTGGTAATGTAATCAGGAAAGAAGCAATTACCTAAAGCAATTAAGAACCAACTTCTTCCATGCTAAAGAGATTTTAATAAAAATAGAGATAGAAATCCATATACTACTACTAGCAATTTATTTATACGTATTTTAGTGAAATTTCTATAATTTAAAGTGGAGCTAAATTCAGTGCATTGATTTCATGCAGAAAAGAAATTAATTAACTATAATAGTGAGTTTTTCCTGGGATACTTAATGAGAGCAGTTAATCTATATTTTAAAAAAGAAAATCTTACAAAAATAAACTTTATTTACTTTCTAAATTATTTGGAAATCACAATTTCTATGCTCCTTCACAGTGGCTTCTGTATCCTTCCTTTTTTGTTACAAGGTGTTACATTTCCTAACAATCTTCTTAAACACAATTTCAACCTCTTCACATTTTATGAAATTAGGTATAAAACAGCTACTTCCCTCAGACCTCCCTCTAAACATAGTGCACCTTCTATTTCTATGTCCAGGAAAGGAAATCAGCATTCTCCTTATTGTCTGCTATCACTTCTAACCAAAGTTCCAGTATTGCGTTTCAATAAGCAGTCTCTTAATCTTGCTTTCTCTTTCTTTTTTCTCTCACTCAAGTTTTGTCATAATGTATATCTTCTCAATGAAAGATATAAAGAAAATAAATTAATTCATCATCTTCTCAAAACTGTCACCTCTTCAACTTCTTGAACTGAATAGTAGCTATTGCTGCTCTATTTCAGCTGCCCCATTCTTAGATCAATTGTTTTCAAACCTTAGTATTCATTCAAATTTCATGAGGTTCCAGTTTTCAGTTCTACATATAAGGATCTTGGAAGTCATCATTCTATCCTAACCCAAGTAAAAAGCTGAACAGACTAAAAATCAACAACTCTTCTAGCATCTGTAACAGAGACAAGGACACAGAGCAGACCATTGCTCCTAGGAAGGGAAAGACAGAAAGATGAATACAGAGAGTCAAGGCTTATTGGAGCAGAGAATCATTAGTGGAAATCACCCTAGAAACCAGGGCCAGAGTAGAAAAACTTGAACTATAATCACCAATGTTCTGGAGGCACAGTGTAGACAACTCTAATGTTAAAAATTTGCGGGGCACCCAGTAGTGGAGGGCCCCCACGATATTGTAAGATTTATCTCCATGAGATCAACTGTAAACATCAAAGAAAAATTCCTTGTGCTCCTGGCGGGAGGAGAAGAAAAATAACCATTTTTATAAATGCTAGAGCACACTCTTCTTCTTTCTTCCCTCAGGAAAAATTGTTTAACCTGATGTGAAACTGCTGGGCTATTAACAGGACCTGATTAACATGGGGGAAGGGATATACCCAACTCCATCCCACTCTAGCCTTCCACTCTGAAACCCACTAGCATGCTCTAGCCCACTAGCCATCCTCTCCCACCTGATGAAGGAAGGACTGAGAAGCATTTGTCAGGGTCATGATTCAGAGGCATAGATTCTCTAAAAACTGCTATATAATCATAGCACTATAGAATGCCTCCCCTCCCATCCCGCCTCACCACTGCCTTGCTAAAGGCCGGTTCACAGCAATTTTTTTTTCTCTTTTTTTACTAGCTGGTTATCAAGGAAAAGTTACAAGACATAATGAAAGGCCAAAAATACAATTTTAAGTGGCAGAGGAAGCATCAGAACCAGAGTCATATATGACAGAGGTTGAAATTAACAGACTGGAAAATTTTAAAGACTATGATTAGTCTGCTAAGGGCTCTAATAAATAAAGTAGTATACAAGAACAGATGGGCAATGTAAGTAGAGGGATGAAAATACTAAAACTGAACCAAAAAGAGATGCTAGAGATAAAAAGGACTATAATAAAAATGAAGAATGATTTTGATGGGTTTATCAGTAGACTAAGCACGTATGAGGAAAGGCTCTCTGACCTTGAGGATATGTCAATAGACACCTCCAAAACTGAAAAGCAGAGAGATTCAAGATTTTAAAAAGAGAGAAAAGAAAAGAAAAAAGAGAAAAAAAAAGAGTCAAAAGAAAAGGAAAGAACAGAAAAACAGAGCAGAATATACAAGGACTGTGAGACAACTACAAAAATTGTAACATATGTGTAATGGGAATACCAGAAGGGGAAGAAAGGTAACGCCATAGAAGAAAATTTTGAAACAATAATGATTGAGAATTTATCCAAATTAATGTAAGATAGATATAAAAGCCCAGATCCAGGAAGCTTGGAGAATACCAAGGAGGAGAATGCAAAAAGAAACAAGCAAAGCAAAACAAAACAGAATGAAAAACTACACCTATGCATATCATTCTTAAACTACAGACAATCGAAGATATAGAAAAAGTCCTGTAAAAGGTCTGGTTTGGGGTGGAGAAACACCTTACCTATAGAGGAAAGATAAAAATTACTTCTGACTTCCCTTTAGAATTCACACAAGCAAAAAAAGAGTTGAGTGAAATATTTAAATCTTTAAATATCCCTCTACCCAGGAATTCTGTATTTTGTGAAATTATCCTTCAAAAGTAATGGGGAAATAGATTTTCTTAGACAAACAAAAATTAAGAGATTTTGTTACCGGTAGAACTGCTACAAAAGAAATATTAAAAGACATTATTTAAGCCAGGCACAGTGGTTCATGTCTGTAATCCCAGCACTGGAGGCAGGTGGATCTCTTGAGCCCAGAGATCGCTTGAGCCCAGGAGTTGTCTGGGCAACATGGTGAAACCCCATCTCTACAAAAATAATTAAAAATTAGCCATTGTGGAGTACACCTGTAGTTCCAACGACCCAGGAGGCTGAGGTGGGAGGATCACCTGAGACTGGGAAGTCAATGCTGCAGTAAGCCAAGATTGCACCACTGCACTCCAGCCTCGGTGACAGAGTGAGAATTTTCTCAAAAAACAAAACACAACAAAAAAGTTATTTAGTGAGAAGGGTAACAATGTAGATCAGAAACTAGGATCTACATAAAGAAAGACAGAACATTAAGGAAGGAATAGGTCAAGGTAAAAATAAAGACTTCAAGTTTTCTTAGTCTTAATTTAAGAGATAACAGTTTGTTCAAAATAATCATAGCGTAAGATGGCTCAACATATGCCACTGAGGGTCTGAGACATCAAGAAGAATGGCATACTCTGAACAGATCTCCTCAGAGGTATGGCATCGAGAGCAGTCAGAGGGAGGACACAGATGCTGAGCCGAAGAGGGAGGAAGCTGGGAACGCTGCATGGGACTACTGTGCACCAGGACTTGTTCCTGGCCACCAGTGACTCCTGGGGAAGGAGTGAGTTGAGTGGGTGAGGAGCAACCTATTCTCTCCATGGACCTCTGGAATCCTGGCAGCAGATCCCTGATCCTCATGGACACTTGAGCTGCCAGGATGAGCTGCATAGAGAGATGATAGGAACAGAACAGAACCCCAGCCAGTCTGGAGTCCACAGGTCATGTGTGGGAGTGTCAAAGTGGAGCATGGCTGGGGATGCCCACCCCTCAAGACTCGCCTTGTTCTCCTAGGAAACTTTACCTTAGAGGAACTGTTGTACTTGAACAGAGCAGGGCAATTTTGCCCATGAGACAGGGCCAGTCTGACTTGAGCGACCCCTGTCTGCTTGCCTTTCCTGGGACCCAGCCTGGCCATGCCTGCTTGCAGTGCTATCTAGAATGCCCAGGTGCCTTTTGGGGGCTTGCATTATAGCTCCCATGCCAGCCAACTGTGCCTGATCATCAGAGATCTCCAGTAAAGCAGCCTCTGCTGATGCACACCAGCCCACCCACACTCTCCTTCCACTGCACCCTTTCCTGTGCCTCTTTGACCATGAAAACCTTGCAGATTGCTTTGCCCATGGAAACCTTCCAGATTGCTTTGCCGGCGTGGTTGCGTGCAGGCAGACCTCTTCTGCCCTTTCCCACCAGCGTGTGTGTGTATGTGCACCCCACTGTGCCACTGCTGCAAGCATGAGTGCACCCCACCCCCACCATGCTAACATTGCCAATGCAGATGCATGCAAGAAGACCAGTGGCACTGATCCCTGTCCTGAGCTTCCATCCCCGTCCTGAGCTGCTGGTGCAATGTGCATATGGAGACCTCCAGTCCCAGGCCCACCTGCACCCTGCTCCCACACCAACACTGCTGCCAGTGAGAATGCATGCAAGGATGCCAGTGGCCCCACCTAATCCTCCCTCCTCACTGTACTGTGCCATACCACCACTACTGCCAATGTGGGCATGGAGGCCAGGACCCTTGGACCCACCAGCATTCTCTCCTCAACCAAAAAGCGTCCATCCAACCATGCTGCCACTGCTGCTAGCACATGCCAATGAACCCAGATCCCACTGCCATGGCCTGATGAAGCATTTTGGCTGGCACCACTCTTTGGGGTGTTGTAACTAGCAGTCTGGAACACCTTGGCCTTTCCAGCACAGCAGATTCCTTAACTTTAAGTTACCAGAAAACAAAGGTGAGCATGCGATACCAGTCCCCCAGAGTTAGAACACACAGCCCAGGAGTCCTGAACTGAACATTGGCCCCCTAAAATCTTTTAGAAATGAAGGCCATTGAACTGAACCCACCTTATACCCCAATCAAATTTCCAAGGACATCAAAGAGGATAAAAGAAAAAAAAAAAAAGGACAGAAATGTTAATGATTGAAGGAACATTAGTCCATACAGATGAGAAAGAACCAGCACAAGAACTCTGGCAAATCAAAAAGCCAGATGTCTTTTCACCTCCAAACAATCACACTGGTTCCCCAGCATTGGTTCTTAAGCAGGCTGAAATGGCTGAAATGACAGAATTCAGAATATGGAGAGGAATGAAGATCATCAAGATGCAGGAAAAAATTGAAACCCAATCCAAGGTTTCTAAGGAATACAATCAAGTGATACAGGAGATGAAAGTCAAAATGCCCATTTAAAAAAGAACCAAACTGATCTGACAGACTTGAAAAAGTCACTTCAAGAATTTCAGGATATAATCGCAAGTATAACAGCAGAATCAACCAAGCTGAGGAAATATATCTCAGAGCTTGAAGACTGGCTCTCCAATATAACTCAGACAAAAATAAAGAGAAAACAATAAAGAAGAACAAGCAAAACCTCTGAGAAATATGGGATTATGTAAAGACACCAAATCTATGACTCATTGGAATCCCTGAGAGAGAAGGTGAGAAATCAAGCAACTTGAAAAAAAAACATTTCAGGATGTCACCCACAAGAATTTCTCCAACCTTTTTAGAGAGGTCAACATTGAAATTCAGGAACTGCAGAGAACCCCTGTGAAATACTACACAAGAAGATCATCCCCAAGACACACAATCATCAGAATCTCCAAGGACGAACTGATGGAAAAAAATTTAAAGGCAGCTAGAGAGAAGGGGTAAGATAGCCTGATGGGGAACCTTTTAGCAGAAACATTACAAACCAGAAGAGAATGGGTCCTATATTCATTATTTGTATAGAAAACAATTTCCAACTAAGAATTTCATATTCAGCCAAACTAAGCTTCATAAGCAAAGGAGAAATAAGACGTTTTTCAGACAAGTAAATGCTAAGGGATTTTGTTATCACTAGACCTGCCTTAAAAGAGGCCCTGAAGACAGTGGCAAATACAAAAAGGAAAGACTATTACTGGCCACTACAAAAGCACACTTAAGTACACAGACCAGTGACACTGTAGAGCAACCATACGAACAAGTGTGCATAGTAACTAGCTAACAATGTGATGACAGGATCAAATCCACATATATCAATATAACCTTGAATGTAAACAGGATAAGTGCCCCAATTAAAAGGCACAGACTAGCAAATTGGATAAAGTGCAAGACCCATGCTATTCTGTCTTCAAAAGACCCAACTCACATGCAATGACACACATGGGCTCAAAGCAAAAAAAGCAAGTTCTTAGAGACCTATGAAGAGACTTGATAACCACACAATAATCATGGGAGACTTTCAGCAGCACACTGACAGTTTAGACAGATCATTGAGGCAGAAAACTGACAAAGATATTCAGGACCTGAACTCATCACTTCACCAAATGGACCTAATAAACATTTACAGAACTCTCACTCCAAAACAACAGAATATGCATTCTTCTCATCTGCATATGGCACATACTCTAAAACTGACAACACAATTGGGTATAAAACAATCCTCAGCAAATTAAAAAAAAAAAAACCTTGAAATCATACCAACCACACTCTTGGACCACATTGCAATGAAAATACAAACCAATGCTAAGAAAATCACTGAAAACCATATAATTACATGTAAATTAAATAATCTTCTCTTGAATGACTTCTGGGCAAATAATAAAATTAAAGCAGAAATCAAGAAATTATTTGAACCTAATGAGAACAAAGATACAACATATCAGAATCTCTGGACACAGGTAAAACAATGTTAAGAGGAAAGTTTATAGCAATGAATACTCACATTAAAAAGCTCTCAGATCACATTAGAAAGATCTCAGATTAACAAATTAACATCACAACTAGAGGAACTAGCAAAACAAGAGCAAATCAACCCCTAAGCTAGCAGAAGACAAAAACCAAAATCAGAGCTGAAATGAAGGAAATTGAGATGTAAAAATCCATAAAAAAGATCAATGGATCCTGGAGCTGGTTTTTTGAAAGAATAAGAAAGATAGACTGCTATCTAGTAGTAAAGAAAAGAAGAGATCCAAATAAACACAATCAGAAATGACAAAGGAGACATTACCACTAGCCTGCACAGAAATGCAAAAAACAACTTCTCATAGTCTACTATGAACACCTCTGTGCACACAAGCTAGAAAACCTAGAAGAAATTGATAAATTACTGGAAACTTACAACCTCCCAAGAATGAACCAGGATGAAATTTAACCTCTTAACAGACCAATAATAAATTCTGAAACTGAATCTGTAATAAAAAGCCTACTAATCAGGAAAAGTCCAGGACCAGATGGATTCACAGCCAAATTCTATCAGATGTATAAAGAAGAGCTGGTACCTTATTTGTATGGTTTGAATCTGTGTCCCCACCCAAATCTCATGTTGAAATGTAATCCCCAATGCTGGATGTGGGGCCTGGTGGGAGGTAACTCTATCATGGGGGTGGTTTCCAATTATTTAGCACCATCCCCCTAGTGCTGTCTCGTGATATAGTTCTTACAAGATCTGGTTGTTTAAAAGTGGGTAGCACCTCCTCTGTCCTGTTCTTCCTCCTGCTCAGGCCATGTGAGACATGCTGGCTCCCCCTTCACCTCTTATGGGTGATTAAGGGTCATTAAGGGAGGAGACCACCCCTCATATTGTTTTATGCCAATTTCTGCCTCCAACGAAAGAAGAAGTAAAAACTAAAAGGCAGAAATGAAATCCACAAGCAGACAGCCTGGTGCCATACCCTGGGCCTGGTAGTTAAAGATCGACCCCTGACCTAATTAGTTATGTTATCTATAGATTACAGACATTGTATAGAAAAGCACTGTGAAAATCCCTGTCCTGTTCTGTTCCATTCTAATTACCAGTGCATGCAGCCCCCAGTCACGTACCCCCTGCTTGCTCAATTGATCATGACCCTCTCACGTGGACCCCCTTAGAGTTCTGAGCCCTTAAAAGGGACAGGAATTGCTCACTCAGAGAGCTCGGTTGTTGGAGATGTGAGTCTTGCTGAAGCTCCCGGCCAAATAAAGCCCTTTCTTCTTTAACTCGGTGTCTGAATGGTTTTGTCTGCAGCTTATCCTGCTACACCATGATTCGAAGTTTCCTGAGTCTTCCCCAGAAGCCAACCGGATGGCCAGCATCATACTTCCTGTACTGTGAGCCTGTGGAACTGTGAGTCAATTCAACCTCTTTATAAATTTTCTATTCTCAGATATTTATTTATAGCAGTGCAAGACTATTCCAAAAAAATGGAGGAGAAAGGACTGCCTACTAACTCACTTTATGAGACCAGATTCATCCTGATAGCAAAACCTGGCAAAGACACAAAAAGAGAAAACTTTTCATTTAGAAGAAAGAAAACTTCAGGCCAACATCAGGCAAAATCCTCAAAAATATATTAGCACACCGAATCTAGCAGCATATCAAAAAGCTAATGCACCACAATCAAACAGGCTTCATCCCTGAGATGCAAGGTTTGTTCAACATACACAAATCAATAAATGTGATTCACCATAAGCAAAACTAAAAACAAAAACCATATGATCATCTCAATAGATGCAGAAAAGACTTTCAATAGAATTCAACATTTCTTCATGCTAAAAACTCTCAACAAACAAGGCGTTGAAGAAATGTACTTCGAAGTTTTGGGCCATCTATGGAAAATCCACAGCCAACATTACTCTGAATGGGCAAAGGCTGGAGTCATTCCCCTTGAAAACCAGCACAAGACAAGGATGCCCTCTCTCACTACTCCTATTCAACATAGTACTGGAGGTCCTAGCCAGAGCAGTCAGGAAAGAGAAAGAAATAAAAGGCATCCAAATAGGAAGAGAGGGGAGTCAATCTATCCCTACTTGAAGACAGTAAGATTCTATGAATAGAAAACCCCATAGTCCCTGCCCAAAAGCTTTTTGATCTGATAAAACAACATTTCAGGATAAAAGTCAATGTATAAAATTCGGTAACATTCTTATACACCAACAACATCCAAATTGACAGCCAAAGCAAGAACACAATTCTATTCACAATAGCCTCAAAAAGAATAAGATATCTAGGAGTACAGCTAACCAGGGAGGTTAAAGATCTGTATAATGAAAACTGCAAAACACTGCTCCAAGATATCAGAGATGAAACAAATGGAAAAACATTGCATGCTCATGAATAGGAAGAATCAATATTGTTAAAATGGCCATACTGCCCAAAGCAATTTAGAGATTCAGTGCTATTTCTATCAAACTACAAATGATATTCTTCACAGAATTATAAAAACTATATTAAAATTCATATGAAACCAAAACTGAGCCTGAATAGCCTAGGTAATCCTAAGCAAAAGGAACAAAGCTAGAGGCATCACTCTACCTGACTTTAAACTGTACTACAAGATTACAGTAGCCAACAGAGCATGATACTGATACAAAAACAGACACAACACGCCAATGGAAAAGAATAGAGCCCAGAAATAAGGCAGCATACCTACAACCATCTGATCTTCAACAACCCTGACAAAAATAAGCAATGTGGAAAGGATTCCCTATTCAATAAACGGTGCTGGGATAACTGGTTGGCCATATGCAGAAGATCAAATCTGGACCACTTCATTACGCAATATTCAAAAATCAACACAAGACGTATCAAAGACTTAAATGTAAAACCTAAAACTATAAAAACTCTGGAAGATAATGTAGGAAATACCATTCTGGACGTAAGACCTGGCAAAGATTTCATGATAAAGATGCTAAAAAGGCTGGGTAAGGTGGCTTATGCCTGTAATAGTAGCACTTTTGGAGGCCGAGGCGGATGGATCATGAGGTCAAGAGATGGTGACCATCCTGGCCAACATGGTGAAACCCCATCTCTACTAAAAATACAAAAATTAGCTTGGCATGGTGGCATGTGCCTGTAGTCCCATACTCAGGAGGCTGAGACAGGAGAATTGCTTGAACCAGGGATTCAGAAGTTGCAGTGAGCTGAGATCGTGCCACTGCACTCCAGCCTGGCGACAGAACAAGATTCTGAAAAAGAAAAAAAAAAAAAAAAAGCCAAAAGCAATGCAACGAAAACAGAAACTGACAAATGGGACCTTATTAAACAAAAGAGCTTCTGCACAGCAAAAGATACTCTGAACAGAGAATCAGACAACCTACAGAATGGGAGAAAATATTTTCAAACTATGGATCTGAAAAAGGTCTAACATCCAGAATCTCTAAGGAACTTTAACAAATTTACAAGCAAAAACCAAATAACCCCATTAAAAAGTGGGTAAAGAACATGAACACTTTTCAAAAGACAACCTATACATGGCCAGTGAACAACCGAAAGAATGGTCAACCTCACTAACTATCAGAGAAATGCAAATAAAAATCACAATGAGATACCATCTTCCACTAGTCAGAATGGCTATTATTAAAAGTTAGAAAATGACAGATGCTGGCAAAGTTGTGGAGAAAAGGGAATACTTACAGGCTGCTGTATCTATGATCTAGATACCCTTAGTTTCTTTACATTAAATGTATTGATTTTTCTTATTATAAAAGAAATTAATGATTTTTTATTTCCAAGAAGGATATCCTAGATAATTTAAACCAACTTTCCCCAAAAGGAAAATTGTTAAAAGAAAAAAAAATAATAAAAATTAAACAAAACAAAAACACTATAAGACATCAGAGCCCTAAAAAGTTAATGACATATTAACAAGGTAAGATCTACAAAAAGTAGACAGAAGCCAGGAGTAAGAGAAAGGGTATCCTCAATATACTGAAGGAAAAGACTGCCAAGCTAGACTTCTATACTCACTGAAAATTATCTTTCTAGATTCAAGATGACCTAAAAGCATTTCAGAAAATGAAAACTGATAAAAATTTTTAACAGTGTTTTTACATTAAAGGAAATTTTTTTCTCACTAACATTCTTATTTATTTTTTATTTTTTATTATACTTTAAGTTCTGGGATACATGCGCAGAAGGTGCAGGTTTGTTACACAGGTATACGTGTGCCATGGTGGTTTGCTGCACCCATCAACCTGTCATCTACATTAGGTATTTCTCCTAATGTTATCGCTCCCCCAGCCCCCGACCCTCCGACAGGCCCCGGTGTGTGATGTTCCCCTCCTTGTGTCCATGTATTTCCATTGTTCAACTCCCACTCATAAGTGAGAATATGTAGTTTTTGGTTTTCTGTTCCTGTGTTAGTTTGCTGAGAAGGATGGTTTCCAGCTTCATTCATATCAGGCAAACAAAAAAAATTATCCCAGATGGAAACTTGACATGTAGGAAGAAAGGAAAAGTAACAAAAATGTAAATTTGTGAGTCAATTGAAATGAACAACAAAATTATAAAACAACATTACTAATGTCTTTTGAAATGTAAACTATGTAATTAAAATACACACCAACAATATCATGCAGTGGGTAAGTGGAGTTTAATTAGGCTGGAAGAGGATAAAAGTACAGATTGTTTTTAAGTTTTCTTTTTTTGTGAGTCAAGGATTCATGATGTAATCTGTAGCAGATACATATTACAAAACTAACAGAATAAAAATTGAATAATAAAAACTACTCAATCGTAAAAAATAGGAGATTGCAGAAATGAGAGAACTGAGATCAAAAGAAAACAGCATTCTCAGTCAACATTTAAATATATTGTCAATTTCATTAAATAAAAACACCATATGTGCACAAATTAAAATGCAATGATTAAACTCAAACAAAAACATTCAATATTTTTTACTTAAAGAGAAACATATTAAAATAAATACAAAGAAGATTTAAAAACAAAAGCATAAAAAGTGATGTATCATCTAAGTGACTAGCAAATAAATGCCGTTGTACCTACATTAGTATCAGGAAGATGTTAATATCAGACAGTAGTTAAAAAGTGATTAATATCAAGCAGTTGAAAATTAATAATAGACAGTATTATGATAAAACTTTCAATTCAACAATAAGATACAACAGTTCTAAGTGTCTATGTACCTAATAATATAGACTCACATTTGAAAAACAAAAATTAAACAAATTACTAGGAGATATAGACAAATCTATAATCCTAATCCTAATGGGAGATTTTATTCCCGTTATCCATTTTTGATAGAATTCATAGCAAAGATATCATTAAGGATATAGAAGCACTAAATTACATGATTAACACATGTTAAAATACAGAATATTTGCTCTATATATTTGAGAACATTCTCAAAACATATATTATAGAACAATGGACTCCAAAACTGTAGTATTTATATTCACAAGTATAATAAATTTGAAAATATTAAAATCACAAGGAGCAGTTGCTGACTTAATAAAAGCAATAAAACTAGAAATCAGTTTTTTAAAACTTTAACAATTTTATATTTAAAAATCATATGTATAATCATAAATTATGAAAATATAATTCTTGGAAAAACAAGGATCAAAGGCAGAAAGTAGAAATTAGAAATATTTTAATTGAAAAATAATAAAAAGGATGAGAGTGAAGTTCATACTCTCAAATGTGCCTATTTGAAAAGATAAAAAATTAAAACACCAATGAGTTAAGGGTAAGATATTAGAGACAGAATAGCAAAATAAATCCAAAAACTATAGAAGGAAGAAAATAATAATAACTAAAACCAGAAAAAAAATAAAATTTTAAAAATTCCCTATGGAGACTCAACAAAGCCAAAGGTAAGCTCTCAGGAAAGTGTTATGACACAAGTAACCAATGCTGGGAATAAAAAAAAGGTCTTTGCTTCAGTTCTGTGAAAATAAAAAAAAATTGTATTATATAACATATAATAAAGCTACCAAGCTTTACCATTTACCAAAATAGATCCAAGAAGAAAAGAAAATGTGAATAGTTTTGAAACTATTGAAGAATATAAAATTATAATGTAAACATTTCACGCAATGAAAGCTCCAATTTCACATGGCTTTACTGGCCCGTTCAATCAAAAGTCATGTCAATCTTACAGCAATTTTTTCAGAAAATACAAAAACTGAAAGACCTCTCAATTTGTTTCATGAAATAAGCATACACTTGATACTAAACACCATAAATTATGTTATAAAAAAGGAAAAGTACAACAAGGAAAATTAAGATTGTTATAAAAAAGGAAATTGTTCAAAATCAATCTTGAATATTGTGGCAAAAATTACAAAGTATTTTCCAACCAAATGTGAAAATGTACAAAGAGCACAATGCATTACGTTTAAGATTGTTTATTACTAAAATGCAAAGTCGATTTAATACTAGAAAATAAATAGCTCATTGATAAGACTAGAAAATTTTAAATTATTTTGATGTAGAAAAGGCAATTAATAAAATTAAATATCAATTTATGATAAAAACTACTAATAAATGTTAGTTCTCAAACTGATAAATTTATTGCAACCCCAACAAAATCCTTAGTATTTTTCTTTTTGTGTGTGGGACTTGATAAACAATTCTAAAATCTTTTCTGGGAATGCAAAAGGCCAAAAATAGCTCATGCACTCTTAAGGATCAAGGTGAAAGAATTTGCTATACTAGAATATACTTTATAGGATACAATAATTAACCAAATTTGGAACTGGTGTGAGGATACACGAAGAGATCAATGAAGCAGAAAAATGGGCCCAGAAAAAAATCTCATACCTATTTGGACAATTCTTTTAAAATAAAGTTAGCACTGCAAAAGAGTTGGGAAAGGATTACTTTCAAAATAAATGATCCAGGATTCATCATTTATTGGGGATCCACATGTGGAAAAATAAAACTTAATCTCTACCTCATACTATACATAGTAAATCAATTCTGGATGGAATCATTACTAAATGTTAAAGTGTTTAAAACACGAATGCATTTGGAAGATAATAAAGAGAATATTTTTATAACCTCAAGATAGGAAACCAAACTGGATATAAGAAGCATTAATCATTAAGGAAATTATATTAAATTTAACTACATAAAATTGAAGCACTATTGGCTAACGAAGACACTGAAGAGAGTGAAAAAGTAACTCACGTACAGAGAGATATTTATGAACGCATGCAACTAATGAAGGCATCATATCCAAAATACGTACAGAGTTCCCACCAATCATATTTGTTTCCTTTCTTTTAGTAGAATTTGCCAAAATGGAGCACGATGTATGAATGGGAGACAGAGTTTTACAAATGAGAATATTCAAATGGCCAATAAACATAAGAAAAGTTGCTAACCTCATTCAAGACAAGAAAATGCCAGTTAAGACCACGGTAATCTACGACAAAACAGAATGGTTGAAATTGCAAAAACTGACCAAAATATAAGAGTGAATGAGAAAGTTAAGCTCAAACATTTTCATACTCCACTGGTGGTGTTGTAATTGATCTACCTTCTTAGGAAAATCCACAAATCCACTCATATTAAGATAACCACTGAAATGCCAGTGCATGTGTTCTAGGAGGCATGTGCCAGTAAGTTTAGTGCAGCATTATTGGTAATAGTTAAAAATGGATGTAACGTCTTAAGAAATCAATAAGAAAATGAACTATTAATTGCTGGTATATTCATAAAATGGAAGACTATTGAGCAGTTAGAATGTAACAACATAGATAAATCCCACAAAAATTACATTGAGTTAAAAAAAACAGTCCCAAAATAATACATGCAAAATGAATCTATTTTCTTTAGAAATGCATGCTTGGGAGGTTAAAATAAAAAAAAAAGAAAAAGCCAGAGAGCAATTACCATATAAGTCAGAGTATGATTTCCTCTAGGTCAGAAGGAGGCTGGTATAATAGAGCAGGTACCGGTGGGAGCTACTGTGATATGGGCAATGTTCATTTCTTGACCTGGGAGGTGGTTACACAATAGTTTGCTTTTTAATCATTATTTAAGCTGTACATTAAATTTTAATTCACTTTTCTCTGTATTTTATATTAAACAATAAAATAGAAACAAAAAGCAATACTTATTTATTTTAAAAAATTATATGATATGGAAATATGAAAACAAATGAAATTCTTCTGTAATTTCTGCCTTCACAACTACAAGTAAACACTGTAGAGAGTTAATTGTCTGGACTTGAGGAACTTGATATAAACAGACAAAAATATAAATATATGTATAAATATGAATACATGTGTACATATACTTGTAGCTATGTGAATTCATACATATATATGAATTAACACAATCTAAATATGCACCATTATACATAGGAACATGTATTCAAAGAGGCAGCATAATATATGTCCATAAGTAGAGGTTCCTTCAAGGCCTCACATGATCTACTGAGCATACCTCTCTGCCATCTGTTACTCTCACCTCTTCATGCTGTGCTAACTACCTTGGCCTTCTTTGCTGTTTCTAGAACTTATACTTCCACCCTAATATTTTGCTCTAAATTGTTACTCAGCCTGGAATGCCACTCCTTCAGATGCCTGCTTGTCTGAATTTCTCATCTATTTAGGTATCAAATCTCATCTTCCTGATGAGGCCCATCATCACCACTCTCTAATATTGTGACTTCTATCTCATCGCTGCCTTCATTTCTTATCTTTTTACTTTGCTGTATCTATTTTCCTCATTTTATTCTAATGCACTTTATAAAATTATTACCAATTATATTATTTATTATTTGAATTCTCCTACTAGAATATAAATTCACAAAAGCTGGGCTATTTTTTATTCACTGATATCTCTCAACCACCCAGAATAATCTCTAACCCATAGTAGATACTCCATGGTATTTGGATGAAGAAATACTCCTCTCTTAAAGAAAAAAAAAATAGAGACTGGGCGCGGTGGCTCAAGTGTGTAATCCCAGCACTTTGGGAGACTGAGGTGGATGAATCATGAGGTCAGGAGTTCGTGACCAGCCTGGCCAACATGCCAAAACCCAGCCTCTACTAAAAATGCAAAAAATTAGCTGGGCATGGTGGCGGGCACCTATAATCCCAGTTACTCAGGAGGCAGGAGAATTGCTTGAACCCAGGAGACAGAAGTTGCTGGGAGCCGAGATCACAGCCACTGCACTGCTGCACTCCAGCCAGCGCAACTGTGGGAGACTCCATCTCAAAAAAAAAAAAAAAAGAAAAGAAAAAATCAGGTCATGTTATATAAAGCTAGTACTCTATAACTTTGTTTTATTTACATCACAGACAGCTATCTATGTTAGCACTTATAGATGTAAACTTTTAAGATTTTTAATATATAGATGCAAAATAACTAGTCTTTTTTTCATTTCGGGATATTTTGGTTATTTCGAATCTCTAAAAATCATTGCAATTAATATCCTTTTTCCCATTTCTTTTAATTATTAAATTGCTTCTCAGACCAAACCAAGGGTCGGGCTGCTTATTCTCACAATCCAATAATGAGATACAGATGAACTGAGAAAAAAATAGTTGATTTATATAACCGAGTACAGCAAGAATGTCCGGGAAACATCACCAGACCAACTTAAAATTACAAAGTTTTCCATACTTTATATACCTTCTAAGCTATATGTCTACATGTAAGTATGCATGCATCTAAAGACATAAATGATTAACTTCTTCTAATCTATAACTAAGCTCTGAGTCCTGAAGACCTTCCTCTGGAGTATCAGTAAATTTACTTAATCTAGATGGGTCCAGGTGACAGGGGTGATTACCCTTATCTTGTCTCCTGCTAAATTATGGAGATTTTAGGAGTTCCTTCAGACCCCTAACAAACTTGTTTGTGGAGGTTTGGGGAGTTCCTTGAGACCCCCAATAAAACTTGTTGAATCCTAAATGGGTCCTGCTAAGAATACTTTTGTAATCTTGTCATGCTTCCAGGCCCAGTAAAGGCCTAGGCAAAACTCTTGGTGGGCTTTTGTGACATTCCAGCCTTTGTATAAGGACACTGGCTCTTTCGGCTTTTAATATTTAACTTAACCACTCAGTCACTGCTGAAATAGTTGTTGCGGAGGCTTGCCTATTCAGTTGATAAGGAGAACCGGCCTGTCACAAAACTGTGTTCTCTAAAAGTGAAGTTGGTAAATCAAAACTACATGTAACTTAAAATTTGATGCATATTAGGAAAGTCCCTTCCAAAAGCTTATATTAATTTATACTCTTACTAATTTTATGGGTGCTTATTACATTGTAAACTACAATTTGTTTTCCATCTCTGCCTCTAGCAAAGGATCTTGAATATGCAATTCTCTACTCTGGAAATTTTCTCATCGTTACACTGGTTTTGCAAGATCAGGAGGAGGTAGTGCAGTGTGGTAGACAGAAAGCACAAGCTTTGGAGTCAAATACAACTGGACTTCAATTCCGGATCTATAAATTGCTAGATTTGCTGGATCTATAATTTGCTAATTAAGCAAGTCTCTCAAAATCCCTGAGCCACCTTTCTGTGAACTGTAAAATGAGGAAACTAAAACCTCACCGAAGAAATTTCAAGACTTACAGAAGATATTTTGAACATGGCCAGTAACAGAATACATAGCAAAAATAAATATATGCAAATATATTTGCAATAAAAGAGATAGTATTGTATTTACCAGCTGCACTAAAAATGACTTTTTGATTGGGTCTGAAGTGATCATTGTTTAGTTGCCTTCTTTGTCACGATTTCTTCCTCCTTACCCCTTTTTAGCAAAACTCAGATTTGTTCTTTGGTAATCCAATTCTGTTTTCCTGTACGGCAGTCATTTGGATGGGAGTTAGCTCCACCTCAAGCTCCATGGGTGCACACTGATGGACATAAGCAAAAGGCACAATCCCAATCTACGCTGCTACAGTCATGGGTTTGAGGATGAGCATCACCCCAAGCCTAAGCTAATGACTATGCTCTGGTTACAGTTATTGGTCCATCTTGGTCCAATCAAAGTGAAACGCCAAACTTTTATTTAATAGTTGTGGAAAACTACACTCTTGCTTCAAAAGTGTGAATGGGGAAAATCTGGAGCTATAATCTATTATGTTGGGAAACATTTTGCAATGAAGGAAGCCAACCACAGGGAGAAGCCAAAAACAAACAAACAAACAAACAAACAAAAACACCAAACCTAAGCCAGAAGAATTATTGAGAAATTGATTACTCTTCTGGTTAAAATGATAAGAAAAAGGAGGCCCCTATGTTTTCTAGCTCAGCTCTATAGCTCTCTGCATTTTCTCTCAGCTCTCACTTCTCCCCCACCTCACACACCCTAAGAAACCTCACTGAAGAGCAATTCCTTCTATTTAGCTCAATAATTCTTCCCTGGAAACTCAAGCAGCTCCCATGTTTCACAATGGGGCTATCTTTTCCCTTCAGGTCCTCTGCCTGACTAAGGTAAAGTTACTGCATCATCTTTGCTAGTCCAATGGAAGGAAGCCAGAGGGAGATGACTATTTGAACTGGTTTGGAATTTCAGAGCTCAGCATATGACCAGGAAGGTCACGTATGAAGAACTCTTATATTCTCTGTGAATAAAAGAATAATAATAGAGGCTAAAATGTATGGATTGCATAATATATACTCCCATGCTCAGTATTCAAATGGCACCCTGCAACTATTTTATGAGGTATGTGTTATTATTATTCCCAAGTTACATTTGGAGTGACTGAAATATATAAAATTTAAATAACTTGCCCAAGGCCACACAGTTAGTGGTGAGAGATAAAGAAAGCATCATAAAAATTAGTTATTTGAGTTAATAAAATTTCTTAAATATTTGGGGAATATTTAAAAGCTATTGCTTTTCAGAACTCAATTATTCAGTTAAATCTTTTTTTCATTTACAATGTGAATAGTAACCAAAAATATTTATTTGCTATGTAGATATTTCCATCTTCTATTTCTCTTAGATTTCAGGGATAGGCCATGCCTTAGAACTGATATTGCTCACTGAAGACAGGATTGGAAAGAAAACATCTTTCAAAAATAGACTTGTCCATTCTTAGAGTAAAAAGAGACTTCAGAAAGTTGATTGCAAGAAACTGTTGAGTAAGGAGTTGAAGTGAAAAATTAGACCATTGCAAGGCTCCTCCAGAATCATGTCTCTGCAGCATTCTGCTGAAGACTCATTTATACAGAACTTTCTAGTTTATGTGCTTATTATCTCTACTAGCTAAGTGGTGTGAGAGCAGGACTATATCTTATTCAACATTTTATTCATGTGAGTTGCTAAGCGTCAGTAGTCAATACCTCTGTTTTATATCCATTATCTTTTTTGATTTTTAAAACAAATCTGTGATATATTTCACAGCAGGTTTCTTATTTTGTTGTTGTTGTTGAAATGAGGACACTACATTTCCAAAATCACCCAGCTAATGAAGGAGCGAACCTAGGTTTTAGACCCAGGACTTGTCACTTTAGGATCAGAATTCTTTCCACTATGCCAAATTTCTTCAATATTTAGGCAGACTCATCATAAGTAAATAAGCATACAGAATATATATCTTCAAATCAACTAAAAGTGACACTTGGGTTATCTACAGTAATGAAGAATGCATTGCTCAATTCTCCTACCCTCTTGTATTATGACAAAGTTTACTCACTATCATACCATTCATTTAGTCAATAAGAATTTTAAATCATCTTGTGCTTTAAGAACTGTGCTAGGATTGATGCAAAAAAAGAATCAAGCTTTATTTCTTAATGAAGAATAATCATAATGAAACTAACTTTTATTCCCTAAATGCAATGAGACTCCTGAAGTAGGCTTCTTCTCTGAGAAGGGTTAGTTGGTTTTCCAGACTATAAAATAATGAGCACATTCTTGTTCTGAAACAACTATTGCCTATATAGTTCTCTTCTCTTTTAGAGACCTGTGAGAGAGAAGTGATATGAAGAAATTATCCATTGAATTGGATTTTTTGGAATGTATGCAAGCGAAAGAACTCAAAATTTTGTTATAGTTTTCCTTTGGGAATGAATTAACTGGTGATAATTACATTAACAATATTTATTATATTTTATGTTAGGTGTTTTCATATTTGTTACTGAAAGGTTTTAGGTTTTGAATATATAAAGGGATATCATATAGATTTTCCATATTCAAAACATTTATAAACTTGTTGGAAATTCTCTTTTCTTCTCTCCTTCCCCCTTCCTAAAGTGTAGCATGATGGCTGTTTTCAGTATTTCTAAATAGAATAAACTCATTCAACATTCAGTGAAAAATTGTTATTGACCATCTCTTATTTGCCAGATGCCATGTTAGATTATGGGATATAGCAATATAGAAAATAACTTTAAAATATCCCAATACTCTTGAAACTTGTATTCTTGTGTTAAGAGAAAATAATATGCCTAAAATAAGGGGAATAATGACCAGAAATACGATATACAAAACAAGTGGCTAAAAGGATGACAAATTAATATCTATTCAGAATATGAACATTAGCTGCATTCCATTTGAAATTAAGTGAGCTAAAGCCATTTTTGTTTGCCTCTTCCCTCCATACTGCATATTATCTCCTCTAGGCAGAACAACTCTGAAAGCCTTTGCATGGAGATAATTGCATAATTGCTTCTCTGTTTCCCTTTTTACCTAGTAAATTGATTTGGAATATTTCTATTATTTCCATTCTTTGTTAAAAATCAGCCTCTATGATGTGAAACACATAGGAGGAGAATTGTTTAAATATTATATTTCGCTTTATAAAAGCCTTGTGAAGTTGGGTTTCAGTGAGTGCATATTGGACCATGACATTGACTAATTCAGACATGAATGCACAAAACAGCATGAATAATATGCAAAACAATAACAAATATCTTAGATTCTTGATATATGTTTCTTTAAGCCATCACAAAATTCTAACCTCCCTGAACTGCCAAAAAAGTGAAAGATGGAGCCTGGAAGCTTTGCCAGTGATCATTTAAATCACCAAAAATATTTTTGCTTTTATGAAAAGATTCATATTTACTTTAATAAGTCTTCTCCTAGTATTTGAAACTAGATTAAATGTAAATGTTACATGAATACATTAATTTATACATCTTTCTGTGGAAGAAATGTAAATTTGTCAAAACTTTTGCTGGACAAGAGGGTAGATTGGAACCCTTATCTCCCTTCTGCTAGCACCTGTTTTAAAAAAGTTAAAAACTTAGTTCGGAAAATAAGCTATTTTGGTGAGGAAACTGATAATCTCCTTCTGGGAAACAAATAGTATTTATGATAAAGTACATAAAATACAAATTTCTGAGAAAAAATAATGGGACTGGCCCTTTTTCTAGTAAAGTAGCAACCTAGTTAGCCAGAGGATTGCCTGTCAAGAGTCTAACAGTATTTAACTAGACATTCCTTTTCTTTTCCTGTAAATTCCAACAATACTGTTTATAATCTTAACTCTTTCAATGGTTTTTCCAAGTCTCTTCCCACAAATATCTCGACTAAGAGATCAATATTCCTTCAATGAATGATCTTGGGACAACTAGATATTCACATTCAAAAGAATAAAACTGAACCCCTACCTCACACCATATACAAACATTCACTCAAAATTGACCGTAGACTTAAATGTCAGAGCAAAAACTATAAAAATCTTAAAAGAAAATACAGGTGTAAATCTTTGTGTCCTTGGTTTAGGCAATGGTTTCTTAGATACAACACCAAAAGCACAAGTGACAAAAGAAAATGAACAACATAAAAGGGCTTAACTGAAATTGAATATTTTTATACTTCAAGGACACCATCAAGAAAGACAACCCACAAAGTAGGAAGAAATATTCACAAAGCATATATCTGATAATAAACTTGTATCCAGAATACATACAGAACATGCACAACTCCCAAATAAATAAGAAAGTAATCTAATTTAAAAAGTGAGTGAAAAATTTGAATAGATATTTTTCCAAAGAAGTTATACAAATGGCACATAAGCACATAAAAATGTTGCTCAACATAATTAGTCATCAGGGAAATGCAAATCAAAACCACAATAAGATACCACTGCTCATACACTGGGATAGCTATAATAAATAAAGCAAACAATAACAAATATTTGTGAGAATGTGGATAAATTGAAATCCTCATATATCTGTGATAGGAATGCAAAATTATGCAGCTGCTTAAGAAAAAGGAGTCTGGCAAGTGCTGAAAAAGTTATATATAGGGTTACTGTATTATGTCATTCTACTGCCAGATAGTATCAAATCTAATCCAAGAGAATTGAAAACTTATGTCCACACAAAACTGTGTACACATATCTTCATAACGGTTTTATTTATTAACCCACAAAGTAGAAACTCCCAAATATCCATCAACTGATGAATGCATTAAAATGTAGTATATTTATGCAATGGAAATTATTCAACAATAAAAAGGAATACAATACTAACACATATTACAACTTGGATGAATCCTAAAACATTTTGCTAAATGAAAGAAACCAGTCACAAAAGACCACTTGCTGTATGATTCCCTTTATATAAAATGTCCAGAAAAGAGAAGTCAATGGAAACCTAAAGTAGATTAATGGCTATGCAGAGCTAGGTCCAGGGATGTGGGTCTAATGGAAGAAAAACCACTGTTAGTGCTTATGGGTTTCTTTGGAGATGATTGAAAATGTTCTAAAATTAGACAGTGGGGATGGTTGCACAACTTTGTAAATAGTGCATTGATGGGGGTTAATTTTATGATATGTGATTTACATCTCAACTAACATGTCTGAAAATGAGAACTATTTGAATTGGCCTGTTAAAGACCATTTAATTTGAATAAAGATTGTAATAAAATGTTGAGGTATAATTATAAATAAATTGTAAATTCATTTTTAACACGGGTCTAACATATATAAAGTCAGAATTATAATATTGATATTTCTTAGTCCAGTTGCTTTGAGGATTTGTTATATGAAGGCAGTTAACTATCCTTCAAAGAAAGTAATCCATATCTTTTATAAATTTTTTTCATAATTAAAACATTATAGCTTTAATTTGCTTCTTTCCAATTCTTATTCATCAGATTATGTTATTCATCTCCCTGAAAATCTAGACAGCTAATTAGAAACTGGGCTTTGCTGCAGTGACACTTATTCATTCCCAGTATGATTTACTATATTGGAAAAGAAAAAAAGGTAAAACAAATAAGAAAACTTTTTTTTAAGTAGACAGAAAACATGGTTTTTTACTTTTGTAAGAAATTAGAGTCTTCTTAATTTACTGGTCAAGTCTTATTCTTTTACCATCCTCAGTTAATATGTCTCTGAGATCTGGGTGCGGTGGCTCACACCTGTAATCCCAGCACTTTGGGAGGCCGAGGCAGGCAGATCACCTGAAGTCAGGAGTTCGAGACCAGCCTGGCCAAATGGCGAAACCCTGTTTCTACTAAGAATACAAAAAAAATTAGCTGACCTTGGTGGTGGTCACCTGAAATCCCAGCTACTCGGGAGGCTGAGGCAAGAGAATTGCTTGAATCTGGGATTCGGAGGTTGCAGTGAACTGAAACAGTGCCATTGCACTCCAGCCTGGGCAACAGAGCAGGACTCAGTCTCAAAATAGATACACATTTATCTCAGTCTATATATATATAGACAGATAGATGATAGATAGATAGAGATATATGGATATATAGATATAGATATAGATATAGATATAGATATAGATATAGATATATCTGAGATCTCATATTATAAAGAAAGCAAAATCTGTGAGGGCAATTAATTTACTCTTACCAACAGATTCAGATGGGCAACCCTCATATGTATTCTTCAATACTGACTAGTACTTTGTCTCTATAGGAAACACATCTCTAGCTCATGATATCCCTATTCTAAGAATTCTTCTCCCACCAGGCAGCCATATGCATATACTGTGACCCCATCCTCCTGCTCATAGGTGATTGCCATGGGATACAAATTTGACATAAGCTGGGCTTATAGAGAATTCCAATAAAGTGTGTTATGTCATATTTCAAGATGAATGAAATATTTCTTGGGTATATACAGTACAGGTTCTTAGTGGTTCAGAGTGCATAACCAGGTAAAAAGACCACTGGAGAAAGAAGTCTACAGTGTTGGACTATTCTACCGTCTTCTTTACTCCCCAGTACCTGATATTTTTAGACTCTTTTCACTGTGATGGAAATTTGTATTCTTGAATACAATAATAACTGGAGATAATTAAGAAGGGAGATGCTCCAGATGTTCTTGCACTCCCTCAAAATCTTCTAATCTTTTGATGAGTTTACATCAGCAGAATTTACCTTTATATTTCTGGGATCTATGGGAGGCCAAAGTGAGAGGAAAAGCAGAAACTATAAATAGACCATGGAGGAAGTTATTCATTTTTGAGACACAAAAAGGCTGGAAAAAGTGTAATGTGTTTATTTTAGACAAATTAGATGAAAGGCTTCATTGGAGAAAAAGTAAACATTGTTCATATGGTTTACTGTGCATTTGTGCTAATAAAGAGATATAAAATGTATTTTTTTGAAAATATAATCACCATTTGCTTAAGAATGCAAAGATAAAGAAGGCTTTTTGGGGACATGACCTTCTGAGAATTTGGAACACTTCTGAAAATGCAAGTCACTCAAAATACCCTGATTCCAGTAATAAAATATGCTCGTTTAATTACATCTGCTATTTTTAAAAGTATACTTCTTTGACAATTGAGAAAACAAAAAATCGGACATCATTAACCTTGAATGCCTGAGGGCACAAGTTATTTATGCTTAGTGTAAAACAATTGAATCCAAGTTGAGACACTTGGGAACAATTATAGAGCAAACTGCTTATTTTCCATATCGTATGATGTCTTTTGGGAAAGCCATGACTTCCATCTTAAAAACAAGACAAAACAGTCTCTATATTATTTTGGTCATCTAGTTTCATCTTTCATCTCACCTTTTTTTCACTGCCTTTGCATGCTCACCTCTGTTCATTAGCTGAAACTAATTCATGTTTTTTTTTTCAGATGTAAACATAATCAGTTTCTCTGAAGTATTTGATGTAGACTTTCCTGCACTTGTCTTTCATAAACAAGTCTCTCATAGTTTTCTGTTCTGTTTCTCATCTTTGTCCACTCCATATTATTTCTTTTCAATTCAATTGAATTTATATTCTAGAAAGTCACCATTTTATGTGCCAAGCCATGTGTCAGGTGTTGAGAACATTAAGGTTAATAAGCCAGCCTTTCTCTGCAAGAAAGTAACTATCTCATTAGAGAGAGTAGGTTAACAGAAAATTGTCCATGACAGCACATAAAAGGGATGTTTCACCACAATTGATGGGGGCAGGAAAGGTGCTTCAGGGAAGATGCTATGTGATCTGGGTTCTCATGGGCAAATAAGAGTTAACTATGTTGGGCAAATCTTTCCACCATTGTCTATATTTTTTTCTTCCATGGCAATGTTGTTGTATCTGGGGTATTGTTGCCCAGCCAAAGGCTATCAATCCCAGCTGACTGGAGAGTGATAAGATTATGTGATTAAGTTCCTGCCAAAAAAAAGTGAGAAAAGTCATTTGTGTCACTTCCAAGAATGGCCCATGAAATTTGGAAGTACAGTAAATCATCACTTAATATGGTAGATAGCTTCTTGGAAATGGCAGCTTTTAATGAAATGATGTGTAAAGACACAAAGTCTACCGTAGGCTAATTGATGTCAACAAGACTTTAATAATTCTGGCATGTTTCTGGTCACAAAAATATTACCAAACTTCTAAAGATCAAAACTGCTAATGACTACTGAACTAAACATGAGCTATATATACATTTAAGAAAGATGAATAAAATAGGGTAATTTTTATCCAATTATTCCAGTTTAGAGTCATAAGTGGCCGCAGCCTCTTCTTGCAGCACAGAGTGCAAAGCTGGAACCTGACCCTGGACAGGGTGCCATCCCATGGCAGGATGACTCCCACACACTCACACTCACACTGGGACCATGTATACACCAGGACACCAGGATTAACCTAACATGCACATCTTTGGGATGTGGGAGGAAACCGGAGAGCCTGTTGAAAACCTACACAGACATAGGGAGGCCCTGCAAACTCCACACCTACTATGGCCTCATTTTAATGAAACAATGCTGAGAAAATTGATGTTATTTGAGGACCTGCTGTACACTCTTCCACAACTTTCTACTTACCATGCACCAGAATAGTGACTATAACAGCAACCTTAATACCTATATGCTGATGGCAGTGACACCATTAGCCTTGAATTCTGAATAACTGTGCAGAGAAGAGCCCCATCTATCCACTTCTCTGTCCTGATACAACACCCACCCTGGACTATTATATAACCCCCTACCCCCACACCCCCCAAAAAAGAAGAAGAAACCTTCTATCATGTCTGAGTCATTATATTATTTTTTGATGTGTTTTTTGTAGTAGTTAAATCTATTCCAACTAATATACCATGCTATGGGATTAGGAAAGGCATTCCTGTCAAAGAATGTGCCTCAAATAGTTAATTGCCACTTGGGCAGAGAATGTAAAGAAAATATAAGCAAGAAATGAGGTTGAATTGAGAGGAAAGCCCAAAGCGTGACAGACCTTATGGACCCTGAAAAGAGGACAAATTCTGTACATTAAGAAATGTGAAGGCATTGCCGGATTTGATGACATACAGTAAAATGACTTAGATTTGCATGTGATATGTATTGGAGGGTGTCAGTGCAGTGGGAAGAAGACAGTTAAGAGCTACTGCAGAAATGGAGGTGAGAATTGATGAAACTTAAAGTGTTGTGATTGAGAATATGAGTTCTGGTATTGGATGCTTAGGGTTATTGGATCTTGGCTGTACCATGAACCAGATGAATTACATTCTATAAAATAAAGGTAATTTGGAACTCTACTTTACAAAATTAATACTTGGGTTAAATGTGATATTCTACATAAAATGGTTAGAAACAACTCTAAACAAATAGTAAGCACTACTATTATGTCAGTAAGCTACTGATATAATACTGCTATTATTTTTAAGGCAGCAAGGATGGATAGGAGGATGTTTTGAAGAAAGATTTTCCTGGTAAAATTGACAGGATTTGGAAGCCAATCAAATTCATAGAATGAGAAAGACTCAATAATTCTTCCCAGAATTCTAACTTAAGGATCAAAATAGATGTTGAAGCCATTTTAAAAGATTTTTTAAAAACTTAAGAAGAAGAGAGATAGAGATAAAGATAGCGAGAAAGAGAGATAGACAAGCAAGAAAGAGTGACAAAAGAGTGCTGAATTTAATTTCTTCCATTTTCAACAGTTGAATTTATGGATCATCTAAGAGGAAATATTCAGTAGCAATTGGAATGTATTGTTCTGGCACCAAGGAGAGATATGTAAGCTGAAAGCTGATCAAAAATATTGGTGGTTGTTGAATTTTTGGAAGTTGCTATACACTAAGTAGAGGCTTTAGAAGCATTACCACTGAAGGAGAGTGATACCAGAGCTCTTCATTATTCATCTTGGTAATTGTGTTTTTTACTGCATTTTATAGTTATAAGCCAGCTTCTATAATAACTTTCAAAACTTTCAATGGATTAACATAATAGATGACTCTTTTTTTCTTTCTTATACAACAGTTCAGTACTGATTTCTTCATTTCTTGGTATTTTTCGTATATAAATGTACATCAGTTCAGGAACACAGGCACTCTCCTTCTTATGGCCCCATTATCTCCTAGTGTCTTGGTTTCCTCTTCATCAAGGGGAAGGCAAATGAGACAATGGGATCAGCAAACATGAATTTTTAACTGCTTCAGCATGGATGTGACTCTGCTATCTACTCAGTGTCACAAAAGGAGTTGAGAATTCGTTCCCTGAATGCACAACAGTGCCCCAGCATGAAGTCTATATTATGGAAGGCAGAGGGGTATCACACATTTTGGTAGATGATTTGCAATCGCTACTGCAGTCTTCCTCATTAACCAACAAAGTATCTATGCACATTCTTATTCTCACCCTTAGAAGGAACTCATCCATCTCAAAAAGAGACAACTCAAAGTCTCATCAAATTTCTATATCACCTAATCCCTAGGTTATCCATTAAGTCTGGTTAAGGCTCATAGATTGCAGTCTAGCTACTAAAATACTGGCTATTGCCTCACCTTTCACATACACGTCACTATACCAAGATGGAGAAAAGAAAGATAACTCCATTTAAGAATATGGAATAAAGAGAAATATAACAATGATGTTGTCTTCCAGGACAGGGACTTTGAGGACCAAGCACTTGGCAGTAAGTAAGTTCCTTGTTTTTGTAATCTGAGCAAAACTTCCTTTTTCATAGCCCTT
Source organism: Homo sapiens (assembly GCF_000001405.40). NCBI lineage: Eukaryota > Metazoa > Chordata > Mammalia > Primates > Hominidae > Homo > Homo sapiens. The sequence goes on along the minus strand of NC_000004.12, from coordinate 44,080,630 downwards.
CATGCTGCTGGTCCCACCATCTGGAAAGTTCTTCCTAATTCATTATTTTCCTTGGGCACTTATGAATTGAGCTTCATGGAATATGACCTTTGCTTCCTTATTTGTGGGATGCTTTCTGCCTGGCAAGTTTGTGTGAGAAGGGTTATCTTACAAACATATGCTCCTTTGGACCAGGATAATGGTTTCTCCCTCATCAATTCTTCAAATAAAAACACAGTATGTTCTTGATCCATTTGTTCTCTGACAGGAACCATAATCAAAATTATTTACCAAATATGAATATCTAGTCTGCCTTCTTTCTTTGCTAACTCTTCCTTCTTTCTTTGCTAACTCTTCCTTATGGCTTTCTCCACGACAAACCTGAGTGATGTGTTTATCTTGAGGTCATCTGAAATGGAGACTTATGTGGTTTGATGGTGTTTTATGTCAACTTGTATTGAGAGCAAGGCCCCCCAAAACTGGCCATAAACAAAATCTCTGCAGCACTGTATAACATGTTCATAATGGCCCTAACGTCCACGCTGGAAGGTTGTGGGTTTACCAGAATGAGGGCAAGGAACACCTGGCCCGCTTAGGGCAGAAAACCGCTTAAAGCCATTCTTAAGCTACAAACTAGCATGAGCGATCTGTGCCTTAAGGACATGCTCCTGCAGCAGTTAACTAACCCAACCTAACTATGTTGCCAGGCTGGTCTCAAACTCTTGGGCTCAAGTAATCCTCTCACTTCAGGTTCCCAAAGTGCTGGGATTACAGATGTGAACCACCATGCCTGACCTGTACAAACAAGTTTAGAGAATAATATACAAATATCCTTGCCCCACTACATAGAATAAATTAATATTAATAATTTATTAAATTTGTTTTCTAGATTTAGATAAATGAAATAAATATTCCTAATAAAGTTCAAGTCCCATTTATAATTTTTTCCTGGTCTCATCTTCATCTCCACAGACAAGCACTATCATAAATTGGTGTATTTTTTTAGTCTATATTTTGGTAATAAGAAAAAGAATAATTAGGAGGAAGAGAATGAGAAGGATAAAGGAACAATTACTTTTTTACATTTGTTGAGCACCTACTAATAACAGGGACTTTCTAAGTGCTTTTCACATATTACCTAATATAATTATCAAAACAACTGGTTTTGTACACAAGAAAACTAAGGCACAGAGAGCTTATATAAATTTTATAAAGTCACATACATAGTAAGTGCTGGAACCAGAATATAAACCCAGCCATTGTACTGCATATACAAGTATATGTGTCCATTAACAGTGTTTTTAGTATTGTTTTCTATGTTTTAATACTTTTTTTTTCATTCAATGGTTTATTTTTCAGGTACATGTATTATTTATTTTGTCAAAACAGGCATATCTTTGTAAATGTTTCCAAAAAAGTATTATATGTAATAGAAAATTGCTAGATCTAGTGAACATACAGCTCTATTTTCAGTAAGACTGTAAATTGTTACCTTATGAAACTATATTTTCTCCAGAAGATTTTAGAATTTGCAGCTTGTTTCAGATTCTTTCAAAAACTATACTGTCAGACATTTTTTTCATTCAGATATGTGTGAATTTTTTTTAATGATTATTTCCTTTGTTATTAGAGTATAGGAATCTTTTGGGTTTTTTCCCCTAAAACTTGACTAGGTTTGTATTTTTCTTAATTATCTTTTGAATTGTTAGTCTCTTTTTCATCTTTATATAAGCATTTCAACAAATTCCATATATAAATTATTTGTTTGTTAAAAATATATCCTTTCAGTTTTTCACAGGTTTTTTTAAATCATGTATCATTTTGTTTACGTTTCACATAAATTTTGTGAATTTTAATAGAGTTTAATCCATAACTCTTATAATTTGTACTTTTTAAAAACCCTTCCCCTTCTACTTTTGGTAGAGTCACTTTTCCTTTTTTTTCCACTAATTAATTGTAAAATTAATTGATTTATGTGTGTGGTATGAAATAATTAAATTTAATTCTATCAATTTTCCTATGAAGAGCCAATGGTCCCAATACCACTTAGTGAATAGCTTATCTTTTTCTTGACTTAAAAATTGCCAATTTAGAGTAAGTAGTTCATGAGGAAGAAATGGAAAAGCCATTTTTTTAGTAGTCTGAATTGTTTTTTGATAACTGTACATAGCATGTTATGAGAGATAATTAGTTTAAAAGCAGAAATGAATGAAAAACTGAGTTCAAAAGCTGGGTACCTAGTAAATGTGAAAAAGTAGACATGTAAAATTACATTGTCCAAAAATGTCACTAAAAATATCATTTAGTCCCATTTGCTCTTCTGATGTCACTTTGCTACTCCCAATGAAGATGTGGAGATTGTTTTTCCACCCTCTTGAATCTGTTTGGATGGGCCTTGAGACTGCTTTGCCCAACAACAAATGGCAGAAGTCACTGTGTGCCATTTTCTGGCACAGGCTTAAAAACTTTGACAGCTTTTTCTGCCTCCCTATTAATGGCTGTAGCCATATAAGAAATACAGCTACCCTGAGACGACTATGTCATCGGAAGCCCAGTCCACACAAGGAGAACTGCAGACTGAGATACCCTTTGGGAAGAGGTAGATGATGGAGCACCAAGGTACCAATTACGTAAGTGGAGAAGCCACCTTGGTAGTAGATTTGCCAGCCCCAGACACCTCTGCTGACAGTAAATGTATCAGAGACAGAATAACCAGCTCAGCCCTTCAGGAATTTCTGGCCCATAAAATCCTGATCAAAATAAAATTACTGTTTTGTTTTGTTTTGCTCTGTCACCCAGGCTGGAGTGCAATGGTGTGATCTCAGCTCACTGTAACTTCCACCTCCTGGGTTCAAGCGATTCTCCTGAATCAACCTTCCCAGTAGCTGGGATTACAGGCGCCCACCACCATACTTTGCTAATTTTTGTATTTTTAGTAGAGATGAAGTTTTGCCATGTTGGCCAGGCTGGTCTTGAACTCTTGACCTCAAGTGATCAAGATTAGTTGTAAGGCATTACATTTTTCAGTATTTTGTTATGCATAAATATATAATCTAAACATATTCCTTGTAGACCTCAAAATGTAAGAAATAAAATTGAGAGAAAAAAAGCTTTGAGTCAAGTCACTTAAGTAGAGGATATCAGCTCTACAAGGATCGACTAAGAATAATTCCTTCCCACCTATGTAACTCAAGTTTCACCAGAGAAACAGATTCAGCAGGATAATATATTAAGAGACATGATTATGAGGGTTGATGAGCCAAGTTTGAAATTCACAGGGCAGGCCTTCAGAAAAGGCCAGTTGCAATTCTTGAGCAAAGGTTAAAACTGTAGTTCACAGGCAGAATTTTTTTTTCAGGTAAATCTTAGTTCTGCTCTAAACAGTCTTATCCACATTATCTAGGATAATCTTACTAATATTAATTTAAAATAATCTGATTATAGAATTGAATCACAGTTACAAAGTGCCTTGACAGAAACACCTCTGGATTGGTAATTGATTGAATAACTGAGCAAGTTTGCCAAGACCAGCTCGGTTGGGGAGACCCTAACCCAGTGGCACTAGAGGAATTATAGACATAACCCAACCTATTCCTTTAATTCGGTCCATCCCTTCATTTCCCATAAGGGATACTTTTAGTTAATTTAATATCTATAGAAACAATGCTAATGACTGGTTTGTTGTTAATAAATATGTGGGTAAATCTCTGTTCGGGACTCTCAGCTCTGAAGGCTTGAGACCCCTGATTTCCCACTTTACACCTCTATATTAAAACATAGAAAACAATACTAAAAACACTGTTAATGGACACATATACTTGTATATGCAGTACAATGGCTGGGTTTATATTCTGGTTCCAGCACTTACTATGTATGTGACTTTATAAAATTTATATAAGCTCTCTGTGCCTTAGTTTTCTTGTGTACAAAACCAGTTGT